>NC_000019.10:58265930-58607616 GCF_000001405.40 Homo sapiens | reverse complement strand
AACCCTAACCCTAACCCTAACCCTAACCCTAACCCTAACCCTAACCCTAACCCTAACCCTAACCCTAACCCTAACCCTAAACCCTAACCCTAAACCCTAACCCTAACCCTAACCCCTAACCCTAACCCCAACCCCAACCCCAACGGCACCCCTAACCCTAACCCCCCAGGTCTGTGCTGAACAGAACGCAGCTCCGCCCTGGCACTGCCCTCAGCCCGCCCACCCGGGTCTGACCTGAGAAGAACTGTGCTCCGCCTTCGCAATAGCCCCGAAGTCTGTGCAGAGGAGAACGCAGCTCCGCCGTCGCGATGCTCTCCGGGTGTGTGCTAAAGAGAACGCAACTCCGCCCTCGCAAAGGCGGCGCGCCGGCGGAGGCGCAGAGAGGGGGTCGGCGCGCCGGCGCAGGCGCAGAGAGGGGGTCGGCGCGCCGGCGCAGGCGCAGAGAGGGGGGGGGGGGTCGGCGCGCCGGCGCAGGCGCAGAGAGGGGGTCGGCGCGCCGGCGCAGGCGCAGAGAGGGGGGGGTCGGCGCGCCGGCGCAGGCGCAGAGAGGGGGCGGCGCGCCGGCGCAGGCGCAGAGAGGGGTCGGCGCGCCGGCGCAGGCGCAGAGAGGGGGCGGAGCGCCGGCGCAGGCGCAGAGAGGGGGCGGCGCGCCGGCGCAGGCGCAGAGAGGGGGCGGCGCGCCGGCGCAGGCGCAGAGAGGCGCGCCGCTGTTGGGGAGACGCGGCGCAGGGCGTAGACGCACGCCGGCGCCTCCCCGGAGGGGAGGGGTCGCTGGGCGGGCGGGAGTGAGGCGCGGCGCAGGCGCAGAGACGCACGTCGCTGGGCTGAGGGTGGCTGGGAGTGTTGCAGTCGCACAGTCGCGCGCCGCCCGGCGGGGAGCGCGGAGGTGGTGCGGTGCACGCGCAGAGACACACGTCCCCGGCGGCGCGGCGCAGAGACGAGTTGAACCTGAGTAATCTGAAAAGCCCGTTTCGGGCGCCCCCTGCTTGCAGCCGGGCACTACAGGACCAGCTTGCCCACGGTGCTCTGCCATTGCGCCCCCTACTGGCGACTAGGACAACTGCAGGGCCCTCTTGCTTACAGTGGTGTCCAGCGCCCCGTGCTGGCGCAGGGGCACGGCAGGGCTCTCTTGCTCGCAGTATAGTGGTGGCACGCCGCCTGCTGGCAGCTAGGGACATTGCAGGGCCCTCTTCCTCACATTATAGTGGCAGCACACCCGCCTGCTGGCAGCTGGGCACACTGCCGGGCCCTCTTGCTGCCATTGTCGTCGCTGCACGCCACATGCAGGCAGATGGGGACTACGGACGGCCCTCTTGCTCCCGGTGTAACGGCTGGCGTCCCCTACTGGCCGCCTCCTGCACCACTTAAAGTCGGAGCGCCAGTTATTAATCCCCATCAGTTCTGCAAATTAAAACTGAAAAGGAGCTATTACTGCGGAGAGCTGATGTCCCAGTTATTAACTTGGAAGACAGCTTTTCACCAAGAGGCAGTACAAAGATGGAAGATAACTTCATTGAAAAGAAATACAGTGTAAAGAGCTTATTGTACAAAAATAGGGAGGAGTAGGCTCATAGTGCATGAAAACAGCCTAAGAGTCCTGTGCAGGGATTTTTATTTTGGACTTCTTCACATTCCTGCCTCTGTCTCAAGTCTCCGCCTGTTTTCTTTGGTTTTCCTGCTACTGCCTTAGGTCCCCGACTTGCCCCACTTAGCCTTGTGGGACCTCCTCACTGTTGATTGAGGTACATGTGTGGTGATCAATCCGAATCCACTCTGGCACCAGCCTCCTTCCCGCCATACCAGGCAGGCTGACAGCGGTCACGTTTGTATCTACTGCAGCTGCCTCTTTTGAATGTCTTTCTCTGCCCTAATCTGTACTTATGGTGCCAGGTTTCTCTTAAGAATGTCCCCTTTCTCCTTCTTATCAGCATGTAGCTAGCAATATTCTGACATTTTTATTGCAGAGTGAATGATGATTGGGGCATCTCAAGAGAAGTTCTAGGGTGTTTCTGCGTAGGTACCTCTTCTCCCTCCTAACCACAAATGACAAGTGCCCATCCACTCCAGCACTAGAGATGCTACTAATATATGCATTTTTGGTGGTCCCTCCACGTGAGCCTTCACAGACTTTCCCTTTTCCAGGAGCTCCCCCTCCTGTTCATGTCTAGCTAGCTATCTACTCTAACAGAGCCCACTATCCTGTGTCTTTCCCAAAAATAGTGAGGGAATGATTAATTGGAAACCATAAGAAATGATATGCATGTAGACGAAAACTTTACAACTTACACAAATAATCACTCAAAATCATCCTTACACTAAAAATGCAAAACTATACAATTTCTAGAAGAAACTATAGAGGAAAAGCTATGTACCTTTGCGTTTGGTAATGAATTTTAACAAATGACACAGAAGGTTGATATACACAGAAGAAATGACAATGTGGATTTCTTAATATTTACAGTTTATACTCTGGAAGAGACCTTGTTAAGAGAACAAAAAGACAAGCCACATATTGAAGAAAATATTTGCAAAATACAGATCTGAGAATTTGTATTCAAAATATATAAAAAATTGTTAAAACTAAACAATAAGTTAAACAGCCCAATTAAAAATGCACACAGATCTGAACAGACACCTCACCAAAGAAGATCTACAGATGGCAAGTACACTTACAAAAAGATGCTCAACATACTAGAGAACTGAAAACCACAAAAAGATAGCACAGCTGGTCTATATCTCTTAGAACTGCTAAGCTCTTTAACAAATGACAAATTGCTGGAGGAAAAACAAGAACTCTTTTCATTGCCAGTAGAACACAGTGTATAAGACCAAACTATGCCACCCCAAAATATAATGGTAGGAAACCAGAATATGCAACCCCAAAATATGTCCCTTTGGCTTAAAAATTATTCCAAGCTAATTATTTTGAAAAAAAAATGCTAACAAAGGAAGTTGTGAAAACAGAGTAGAAGTTACTTGTGTAAGGAAAATTTACATCTATAAAGGAAATCACCATTTAAAAGCTACCTCTCTCGACACCAAGAAGAGAAGGATAACTAAATCACTGAAGAGTCTTATCAATGGAGACTGCATGGACTTAACTCTGTATAACAAACCTTACCCCTGTCTAATGTGCTTTTGCTGGTTAACTTCCCACTACTGCACCTCAAATCTTCTTTCTTTAAGTTGAAGATAGTATTTATGCTTGAATTGAAAGCCACCTGTTGGAGATTTACTCATTTTTCCCTGAGTATATCCCATGTAACCATAAGATATACATGTTTTTAAACTTTTCTCTTTTTCTCATTTTAATCTGTCAGTTTTTACAGAGCGTTCCATCTAAGAATTCCAAAAACAGAAAATTATTTTTCCTCCCCTATTACAAGTTGGGCATTTTTTTCCAAAGCTAAACAAGTCTCACCTTACAATCCAAAAATAACATTCCTAGGTATTTTGACAACTACTTTGATGTTATTTCCCATCAAAAGCTACCATGCAGTTATTTACAGAAGCCCTATTCATAATGACCAAAGGAAAAAAAAGGAATCAGAAAGTCTTACAATAGATGACTGTGTGGGAATCCACTCAGACATCAAAAGTTGTTATAAAGATTATTTAAATGAAAACATTTGAGATACTGAAGATGAAGAAATCTTACCAGAACTTACTTTATCCAATTAAAGCACAGCTCCCAGAAAAATACAGCTGCCATTAACCCCATCCAAGGAGTTTCTTGCAAATTCAGCTGCCATGAAGACAGCGTACTCTTTCCCATTAGCATTGATAAATGAAAATTAAATTCTAAGCTCCCAACTGACTGAACAGACCCACTCTTGGCTGAGGGGACCCCAGAGTAACTTTCAAAACTGAGTTCTCAGCTTTGCTAGGATGGGATGATGGGGTTAAGATACACATCGTTATACCCCCTCCTTTGCTAACCATGATGAGGCTTTCTTCCCTAAGGATTTAACAGAAACCAGCCCTTTCAAAGCCTCCACTACTGATATCAACCTCTCCTTTCTTGCCTGATAAGAGACCACCCACGATGGAGAGGTTCTGGCCAGCGTACAGAGGATGCACAGAGCAAGTTTTCATGTCCTCTGCTTCACCTTTTAATGTCAGAGGGCTGAAAACTCCACCCTGGGATCATGCTAACACTGCCATTTTTTGTACATGGGACCCATGAAGAAGCAAGAAACTCAATTGTGCGTGCATGCATTTCTCCTTCCATAAATATTCATGACTCCTCCTAGAGCTTATTAAATAAATCTATTTGGCCATTCCACTCAGCATAAGTTGCTATTTCCTTTACCTCCTCCTTGAAGCATCTGTTTCTGGCTTCTGGCTGGAGGCTATGCTTCCCAGCCTGTCAGAAGGACAACCCTGCAGGCTACAACCCTTTATAGAAAATAAATCTCTCACTGGGTGGGTGGCTCATGCCTGTAATCCCAGCACTTTGGGAGGCCGAGGTGGGTGGATCACCTGAGGTCAGGAGTTTCAGACCAGCCTGGCCAACATGATGAAACCCTGTCTCTACCAAAACTGCAAAAAATTAGCCAGGTGTGGTGGTGGGCATCTGTAATCCCAGCTAATCAGGAGGCTGAGGCAGGAGAATCGCTTGAACCCAGGAGGCGGAGGTTGCAGTGAGCCAAGATCACGCCATTGCACTCCAGCCTGGGCAACAAGAGTGAAACTCTGTCTCAAAAAAAAATAAAAATAAGCATAAAAATGAAGAAATGTCTCCTTTCCAAATTTATGAACCTCATCATTCTTCCATTGACAGCATTAAAAGGTTCAAAAAGACCTTTCCATACTCTCCCACAGAAGCCCTAGAAATTGTCATTTTGTTAATCATTCTGGATGCCTGAGAACTTGTAATCCAATGAGTAGAAAGTTTGGTACCCCATTTATGGCTGTCAACCTGCCAGTTCTCAGGAGTTTGTATAAAAGCCTAAATCCGAAAGGATCTCATCCCATTAGGACCCTTGTCTCCTTTTCTGTTGCCTTTGCCCACTGGCTCTGGCAACAGGGGTCTTTCTTTCTCCTTGGCTATCTTTGGATATGGGGGCTCCATCTTCTGTGCCACCTTAGGGAATGCCTTTTGCAGGCATGGCTAAGTCATTAAAAAGCCTACAGTTTCAGTAACATTTTGAGTGAGCACTCTCTGAAGCTGCGTTGGAATCTCAGGCTTCTTTGTCTGGAAGATAACTCTTGGGCTACAAGTTTCTTATCCTAGCTTTGGTTTTGAGGCCTCTCTGTTCTCCTCTTGGGTTGGAAGTTATTCCTGGCTTTTTGTTTCAAGGTGTCTCTGTGATCTTGATCTTGCTGCTTTCATGGGAACTTCTCAGTTCACTAAATTCTCCCTTCTCCAACCTCTGCTGACTATGTGTTCCACCAATATGGAACTAATTCTACTTCTTTTCCTGTTTGCATGACTTTACTAAGAATTATTTACAACTTTAATGGCTCCTTTGAGAAAATTTTTATTTTCCAAATTGCCTCCTTTTAGACCTTTCCTTTCCCAGTTGAGTCTCTCAACTCCCTATAATCACTGAAACTTCAGGCACCCCACTCCATGCCTTGGAGGCTCTCAATGTGCTCAAGAATCTGCAAAAGCAAACACCTGGGGCTGAAGAATAAAATAGAAAAAAAATTATTTCTCAGCCTCCATAAGATTCTATGTCAAAAAAAAAAAGAAAATCTTTAAAATCTCCAAAAATATTGGTGAGAAAAAAGCCTTAGCCCTCATATAAAGAAGAAAAAACTTGTTCCATTTTCCAGATACATAGTTATAATACAAATATAAAATGGGGCAAAGACAAAAACCAAGTCTTCTATATAAACTAGTGAATTTTGTAGTTATTGTAATCACATTAGGCAGGGGTCTCCATAAAGGCAGAATCAATAGGATATATGTAGATAGATGAGAGAAGATTCATTAGGGGAACTGGTTCACATAATTATGGAGGCTGAGAAGTTCCACAATAGCCTGTCTCCAAGTTGGAGAACCAGGAAAGCTGGTAGCATGGCTCACTCCAGATACAAAGGACTCAGAATCGGGGAAGCCAATGGTGTAACTCTGATTGTGAGGCCAAAGGTCTGAGACCCTGAAGTTCTGATGTCAAGGGCAGGAGAAGAAGGATGTTTCCATTTCAGAAGGAGATAATTCACCTTTCCTCTTCCTTGTTATTCTATCTGGGCTCTCAACCAATTGGATGGTGCCTGTATTCATCCATTTTTATACAGCTATGAAGAAATACCTGAGTCTGAGCAATTTATAAAGAACAAAGGGGTTTAATGGGCTGACAGTTCCACATGGCTGCAGGGGCCTCACAATCATGGCAGAAGGGGAAGCAAAGCTATCCCTCTTCACATGGCAGCAACAAGAAGTGCTGACCCAAAGGGGAAAAGCCCCTTATAAAACCATCAGATCATGAGAACTCACTCACTGTCATGAGAACAGCATGGCGGTAACCACCACCATGATTCAGTCACCTCCCACTGGGTCCCTCCCACGACATGTAGGTATTACAGGAACTACAATTCAAGATGAGATCTGGGTGGGGACACAGCCAAACCATATCAGTGCCCATCCACATTGGGTCATGGTTATCTCAGTGTCTTCCAGAAACACCCTCATAGATATGCCCAGAAATCGTGTTTGACCAGCTATGTGTGTCTCTTAATCCACTCAAGTAGATGTCTAAAATTAACTGTCAGAATATTTATGCCTGATTCATGGCTGAAATTGTTTGACCAGCTGTGTGTGTCCCTTAATCCAGTCAAGTAGATGTCTAAAATTAACCGTCAGAATATTTATGCCTGATTCATGGCTGAAATTGTGTTTGACCAGCTATGTGTGTCTCTCAATCCAATCAAGTAGATGTCTAAAGTTAACCGTCAGAATATTTATGCCTGATTCATGGCTGAAATCGTGTTTGACCAGCTATGTGTGTCTCTTAATCCAGTCAAGTAGATGTCTAAAGTTAACCGTCAGAATATTTATGCCTGATTCATGGCTGAAATCGTGTTTCACCAGCTATGTGTGTCTCTTAATCCAGTCAAGTAGATGTCTAAAATTAACCGTCAGAATATTTATGCCTGATTCATGGCTGAAATCGTGTTTGACCAGCTATGTGTGTCTCTCAATCCACTCAAGTAGATGTCTAAAATTAACCGTCAGAATATTTATGCCTGATTCATGGCTGAAATTGTGTTTGACCAGCTATGTGTGTCTCTCAATCCACTCAAGTAGATGTCTAAAATTAACCGTCAGAATATTTATGCCTGATTCATGGCTGAAATCGTGTTTGACCAGCTATGTGTGTCTCTCAATCCGATCAAGTAGATGTCTAAAATTAACCGTCAGAATATTTATGCCTGATTCATGGCTGAAATTGTGTTTGACCAGCTATGTGTGTCTCTTAATCCACTCAAGTAGATGTCTAAAATTAACCATCAGAATATTTATGGCTGATTCATGGCTGAAATCATGTTTGACCAGCTATGTGTGTCTCTTAATCCACTCAAGTAGATGTCTAAAATTAACCATCAGAATATTTATGCCTGATTCATGGCTGAAATCGTGTTTGACCAGCTATGTGTGTCTCTCAATCCGATCAAGTAGATGTCTGAAATTAACCATCAGAATATTTATGCCTGATTCATGGCTGAAATTTCAGGATGAAAGCTATGAAATCTCTATTTGTGTTTGTGTATCTATTAATGTATGTTATGTATATGTGATATTTTCTTAACTCCAGAGAGCATTACAAAATTCATTTATGAAATCCTCTAAAAGTGCTCTATTCTAACTTGGCTTGGAAAAAAATAAGCATTTATAAATAAATATTCACCAAACTCCTAGAAATATAGGAACTGATCAAATGTTTCTTAAGTTAACATGATTTGGATAAAACTTAGTTAAATAAGATTAATATAGTATTTTTGGTGTAATAAAACAACTATATCTTCAAAATTATCATTATTGAATATAAAACAAGCATAAATTCCTATTCTGCTTGAGTTCTAGTCAAATAAGCTAATATTATACTTACTAGAAACGTAAAATCTTAAAGCTTATAGATTTGATTCTAATTAAGTTGTCATTCTTATGAAAAACATTATTTTTTTATGCTGAAAAGATACACATATATTTAGAGTTAGCCAGCTGGACTCAGTTTAGGTGATCCCAATTTTGTTACAACATCGAAAGCATCATAATCAGGAGCAAGTCGAACATATGCCTTCTTCTCTTTATCAGGACAAATCAGGGTGGTGACCTTGGCCACATCACTGTCATAGAGCTTCTTCACAGCCTGTCTGATCTGGTGCTTGTTGGCTTTAACATCCACAGTGAACACAAGCGTGTTGTTTTCTTCTATCTTCTTCACGGCCGACTCAGTGGTCAGCGGAAACTTGATGATAGCATAGTGGCCAAGCTTGTTTCTCCTGGGGGTGCTCTTCCGAGGATATCTGGGCTGCCTCCGGAGTCGCAGTGTCTTGGGCCGCCTGAAGGTGAGTGACATGCGGATCTTCTTTTTTGCGTGTGGCTGCGGACACCTTTCAACACTGCCTTCTTGGCCTTTAAAGCCTTCGCTTTGGCTTCGGCTTTAGGAGGAGCAGGAGCTTCCTTCGCTTTCGGTGCCGTCTTGTGAAAAGCGAAAAACATTATTTCAAAAATAATTTGTTTACAGTAAATCTGCCTAAGAATAGTTTCCAAAGTACTTTTGGTAATTTTTAACCTTAAAGTTAAGCTAAGTAAAAGATTTGCATTAAATATCTAGACCATTTATAAATAAGATACAATACTAAAACATTAATTACTGAACATAAATAATTCAAGTTTATATACTTTTGGCTTCCTATTTTTACAGAGAGACTAAAGATATTTTGGCCCGTTAATAAACATGTTTTTTTCTGCCACACTGAGGAATTGTATTATGAGGAAACACATCCCTCTAGATGTTGGGAGATGGTATATTCATACATTTTCTAACCTACTATAGAATGCTAATATATGACAGTTTATAACTGTCTACTTCCTAGTTTTCTCTGGAAAATAAAAGATTACTAAGTATTAAAATTATAATCAATATATGTAAATAAAACTACTAGAAATAATAGAATAACTAGAAACAACTCTATGCAAAGCATGCAAGAAAAGTAGGGCATGTTTCGCAAGTAAAGTAGGTTGCATTTTTTATAAGGAAAACCATACAGAAGATACAAATAAAAAGAGATACCTAACCTTCCCTGTGTTATATTTGTATGGGTAAAATGTTATGTTTTCAGAAATTATATAAAATTCCTGGAAGTTTGTCAATGTCCTCCTTATCCATGCTATGTGCCACTATAGAGTAATGAGTCATAATTCCAATTATTACTTTAAATGTTGTGCCAGGCACAGTGGCTCATGCCTATAATCCCAGCACTTTAGGAGGCTGAGGCGGGTGGATCACAAGGTCAGGAGATCCAGACCATCCTGGCTAACCCGGTGAATCTCCATCTCTATTAAAAATATAAAAAATTAGCCGGGCGTGATGGCAGGCACCTGTAGTCCCAGCTACTCGGGAGGCTGAGGCAGGAGAATGGCGTGAACCCAGGAGACAGAGCTTGCAGTGAGCCGAGATCGCACCGCTGCACTCCAGCCTAGGCGACAGAGCAAGACTCTGTCTCTAAATAAATAAATAAATAAATGTTGTCTGCCACAGAAAAAATCGAATATCCTTGTCAGCTGTGGTATAATGAACTCTCATCAGATCTTTCATCACAGCCATTTCATACTTTTTGTCATTTAGATATTATTTCCCCCTGATGCTTTCCTGAAAGCTCCTGCAATCAACTACAGGTCAGAATGTTCGTCTCCAAGACAGGACTCCCCCTGAGACTCACAGAAAAGACTATGACAGGTACTCTGGTTATAGGCTTCTGATGATATTGCTTAAATAACTTTAAGACCATACACTTGACTCAGTTAAGGTCTCCAGAAGTCCGGTTGGGAAACTGATGGGTTCATGACACTGCTAACTCAAGATCCACAAGACTGGAATTGATTACATGGCACTGAATGAACTGATGAAAATTGATTATAATTGTATAGCTTTTTGGAGCATTGCTGGTTAATATTCTAGTTTCTGGATTTAAGAAATCTCTTTCTCTTACT
This sequence comes from Homo sapiens, assembly GCF_000001405.40. Lineage (NCBI taxonomy): Eukaryota > Metazoa > Chordata > Mammalia > Primates > Hominidae > Homo > Homo sapiens. Next base: position 58,597,451 of record NC_000019.10, on the reverse strand, counting down.
CTAACTGTAACTTACAACAATTTAGTAGATTATACTTTTGTAAACAGAAATGAAGCGTTTATCTTTTTTTCTTGCCTGATTTTTCCAGAATTTTGAAATCCTTACTGAATACTCTTATTTCCACGATGATATTGTTGTTAGCAAAAGTCCAATAAGAATCTATTCATCTTATAACAGGACATAATTGGAAATTTTGGTTATATTATCAAGGTTTTTACTGGAATATCATATTTAGGGAGTGTACCTAAGATCAGTTATGACCAGCAATTTTAAGGAAGTAAGGTTGACTTTTATGGAGACAATGCTTACAAAGCACTGTGGAAAACTTTGAGGAAAGTTCTTCCTCAAAGATTATAAAGTCACAACTACCCACTATTTTTATATGTGTGTGTGTGTGTGTGTGTGTGTGTGTGTGTGTGTGTTCCAAATCACTTGTCCTAGCTTGCTCCAGCATGCCTGGACAGAACTAGACAAGCCCCAGCCCATAGTGCATGCCATTCCTTATTTGGAGGTGCTTCCTTAACTATCCCTGGGCAACTTCCTTTTCTTTCTTTCTTCTATTCCCCTTACCTAATTAAGAAAGTTTTAAACTAACAGCCAATCGGGTAAAGTGTAAAATGGGAGGTCCTATTCCAGCCAATGGAAACTGGACACAGCAGTAGGGTAGACACGTCAGGTTATAAGTAACTCTGTCTCCTTTGTTTGGTGTGCTCTTGTAGCTGGACAGCTATTGAGTAGCACCCTTTGTGCAGAAAAATAAAGCTCGCCTTGCTAAGAGATCATTTGTTCCCATGTTAGTTCTTTTTTTTGGGGGGGGGAACATAAAAAACTTCATTCCCAACAGCACTCTGAGAAAACCCAGCCTGATACCTAGATTACAGGGTTCACAGCCTTATAGGTTAGTAAGGAAGGTCATTTCCTGGTAGGCCCAGGAATTTAGGGATATTTTGGGGCCTCAAGAAGAGAGGAATTCACACAAAGCTATAAGGACTGCAGCTGAAATTTGATAGTATGTTCTTGGCTTGGCTTTTAGCCTGAATAAGGCCTTTAAAAGTCAAATCTGAGATTCTGTATGAAAACTTCCAGCAAAGAAACCTGAAAGCACCTACGTGGTCATCTCCTGTTCTTGCTGCACTTACGTAAATAATCAAGCAAAATCTAACAAAACTAGACTTATTTTTAAAACAAGAATAGTCTTACTTTGATTATGATCAAAAATGATGGTTACTACAGAGAGAAATTTTATCTTTCAAAGGAAAAGTATAACACAGCCGGGCATGGTGGCACATGCCTATAATTACAGCCCTTTGGAAGGCCAGGAGTTCAACATCAGCCTGGGCAACATGGTGAAACCCCGTCTCTACCAAAAATACAAAAATTAGATGGGCATGACGGCATGTGCCTGTAGTCCCAGGTAATCAGGAGGCTGAGGAGGGAGGATCGTTTGCACCCAGGAGGTAGAGGTTGCAGTGAGCTGAGATTGCACCTTTGCACTCCAGCCTGGGCGGCAGAGCCAGACCCTGTCTCAAAAAAAAATTTTTTAAAGGAAAACTATAGCCATTGTGAGTTATCAGATTCTAGTCTTGTTTCTTGTTTCTGGGCTATTTTTACCTCTTTGTAAACTGGATCCTGCCATCTGATGAATTTTGTCCCACAATGATGCTTGGGGAACAAGAAGCCAAGTATTGTCTCTCCTACTAATGTATCTATTGTCAGTTAACTTGAAGGTCTCCAACCCTGGAACAAAGTTAGAAGAGGAAGGTTCTGCTCCCCAAAATGCATAACCAAATTCTGCTACATTCATGTAATGGAATACTATTTAGCCATAGAAAGGAACAAGATATCAACACACACAAAGACATGAGTGAATCTTGCATGCACATTGCTAAGTGGAAGAAGACAGTCTGAGGAGGATACACACAGTGTGACCTCATTTAATGAGACACTGGAGAAGGCAAACTACACAGATGGGAAGCCATTGGCTCCATGGGGTGGGGGTTTGAGGCATTCCATATGATACTTTAATAGTGGGATATCTGCCACAATGCATTTGTCGAAATATGCAGAATTTTACAGCCAAATGGTTAAAGCAAACTCTATTCAAATTAAATCAAATTACTCAGGATGTGGAGTATCCCAGGACAGAATACATCATGTGAAAAAGAATTTATGCTACAAATTACTATGGTTTGGATGTGGTTTGTCCCCACAAAAACTCATGTTGAAATTTGACTCCCACTGTGTCAGTGTGGGGCGGTGGGGCCTAGTGGACGGTGTTTGGGTCCTGGGGACGGATCCCTCATGAATAGATTAATGTCCTCCATGGGGGTGAGTGAGTTCTGTTCTCACAGGAATAGATAATTCCTGCAGGAGCAGGTAATTAAAAAGAGCCTGGCTTCCTTGGCTTCCCTCTTGCTTTCACTTCTGCTGTGTGATCTCTGGTGCACCCCTTGCTCCCCTTCCACTTTCCACCATGAGGTGAAAAAGACTGAGGCCCCACCAGATGCAACTGCCCAATCTCACACATTCCAGCCACCAGTATTGTCAAACAAATGAAACTGTTTTACTTATAAATTACGCAGCCTCAGGTATTCTGTTACAGAAGCACAAAATGGACTAAGACACAAATCTAGGTAAAAACTTTGAAAATGAATAGAATCTGTAGGCTGAAGGCACATGAACTATACTTCATTATTGGATTCCATTTTATAAAGTTCTTTCCAACAGAAGCAATTGTGAACAATTGTAAAACCACAGTGTCTGTATCTGGAATAAAACAATGACTTACATAAGTCACAGATGGTGGGAACCAGGTTTCTTACTGTTGAAGTGGGAGGTTACAAATTAGCAAGGCGAGAAGGCTAGAATGATTCATGTGATAGTAGATCAGAGGTGGAGACATCAACGTAAACTTATGTTTAGTTTAATATAGACACACACAGTTCTACATAGAAAACTTTATAATTAGGTGTGTATAGGTAGGTTAGACACACACATATACTTCCTAGCATTGCCAATGAGGGAGAAGATACAATGTGCTCATTCAGCAGCCAGATGTAAGTTTTCCTACCATTCTGAAAGTAATCAGGCTCTTTGAAGAAATGTCTGATACTAGAACTGGGACAGTAAATATAGGAGCCAGGATAATCTGGAAGTATCAGAAAGTAAGTACTAAAAAAATTAAAACATATCAAAGAAAAATAAGAGCCAATAAAAACAGCTACTGATGGCCAACACAGGAATGAATTGTGCAACATAATACTGTAGTGTTGAATAATAACTAAAGCTTAAAGTAATTATCTAGGTGTCTGTATTTGTATACCTAGGTGAATAAGCAAATGGAGTTGCATAGAAATCTCCTTTGCAAAAGAATTCCAAATAATTGATGTAGACACTCAGCCGTCAAGAAGGTGGAGCCAACTCCTGACAGAGTGAGGCTCTGCATAGTGACTTGCTCCAAAAGAACACATGCAGTACGGACAAGGAGGAGAAATAACCTCACAGTGGAGAAACCTGACAAACATTAGCTCTGCCAAATGATCCAAGTGAACATCAAAGGTGACAGTTCACCTTGAGAACATGAAGTGACAATGGGGGACATTCTACAACATTCCTGACCAATCCTCCTCAGTGCTATGAAGGTCATCATGAGATGGAAAGCCTGACACACTGTCACAGCCAGGAAGAGCCCACGTGATGTCTACATGTCATGCGGGATCCTGGATGGGATCCTGGGTCAGAGTAAGATAGAACTAAGGGAATCCAAATGAAATATGAACTTCAATTAATAATAGTCTATCAGTATTGGTTCATTAACTGTGACAAATTATGTAAGATATTAATAAGCCATGTGAGACACACTGATAGAAGATGTTAATAAGAGAGGAAACTAGGTTGCGGCTACATGGGAAATCTCTGCTTTTTTTTGACAATTTCTGTGTAAGTAAAAAAGATGATGTAAAATAAAACTTTATTTAAAACACTGTTTTTTTTGAACACTTCCTTGTTTAATTATTTATACCATGAATTACTAGTAATTGACACTGTTAACTAGTCCTGTTTTTTTAAATAAGAGTATTTATGACACAAAAAATTAAACAGTGCAGACTGATACATAAATCAAATGTTCTTTACATGTTTTCTGTTGCAGTAGTAACACATATGTGTAAACTTAATTATCACATTTTTCTTGTGCTGTGGTTGTGTCCTGAGTTCATTCTCTAAAATGCTGTTCACCTTAGACCAGGAAAAATATTAACCATACAGACTCTGTTTTAATTCATAGCTAAATATTTTCAAAAGAGTGACTTTGTAAAAATATGTTCCAATGGCAAATTGATTCATTGTGATGGGATCACTTATTCCAAAGACTTCCTGTCTTTATTTTGTTGCCATGCCTACCTTTTAGCCATGATACAACAGAATCAAATATTGGCCACTGGGAAAAAATATTCAAAGCAAGAAAGAATGTGAACAGAACTTATGACCATGATGATTCAATGTTTTACCACAATGCTTTCTAAAACAGAAGAGTGTAAAAGGATATTCAAAGTCAATTTCCTCAGCGAGGCTTTGCAGAAAATGAGGAAACTACAGAAACAAAAATGGCAGGACATTCTACGGGTGATTTTAAATGTTGCTATGTTTTATGGGAAAAAAATACTTTACCTTTTAAAGAATCACAAAGAATTATTGGAAACCCAAACTCTGGAATGTTTGCAAATTTAGTTGAGCTTCTATGTAATTATGTCTATATAGGTAGCCAGGAAGTTGATGATTTTTTAAAAATCTGTGCCTTATTTGTGTGATAAAATACACAATGAATAATTAATGCTCATAGGAAAACCTTATGAAGGGAAAATAAATCTTGGGAATCAAAATCACTAAGCTAAAGGGAAAAGCCAAGCTGGGAACTGCTTAGGGCAAACCCGCCTCCCATTGTATCCAAAGTCACCCATCTGCTCACCGAGATAAATGCATACCTGATTGCCTCATTTGGAGAGGGTAATCAGCAATGCAAAAGAATGAAACCATTTGTCTCTTACCTACCTATGACCTGGAAGCCCCCTGTCTGGCCTTCTCACCTTTCTGGACTGAACCAATGTACATCTTACACGTATTGATTGATGTCTCATGTCTCCCTAAAGTGTATAAAACCAAGCTGTGCCCCGATCACCTTGGGCCCATGTTGTCAGGACCTCCTGGGGAGGCATCACGGGCGCACATCCTCAAGATTGGCAAAATAAACTTTCTAAAAAATCTGAGAGCTGTCTCAGATTTTCAGGGTTCACACATGTAATGTAGGATGTCAATGTTTATAAAACAGACATTATTCTATCTACTATTAGAAATATGCTGCCAATTAACCTTACACTTTCTCAACAAAATAAAAAATGTTGATGAGGTACAAATAATATATCTAAGCTTAAATAGTGTTACAAGTTTTAATATGCCTACTTTTCAATTTTTCAATACTATTTTTACTAATTTAACACTTTAAGTGAATAACTAAAACATGAATAAGTGTTTACAAGGGGTGCACATGTTTCCTCCAGCCTCTGCCTATCCCCAGCTTTCATCCCAACTGTCTTGATGGTGGCTCTAAGCATTTCTCCTTTCTCTATGCCAAGATCTCTCCCAGAAACAAACCCAAATCTTACTATATGTTATGGCACGCTATGATGATGAGCAGCGATGAGCAGCCGAAGCCTCAAGGAAGGGATGCTTTTGTAAAACAAGACTTGTAGAATATAACGTGTGAAAGTAAAGCCCATGGCAGAGCTCCCTCCTCAGCACACGGGGAGCAGACAGGAAGCTTTTGCCTCACCTTCCTCAATGGCCTCCAGCCACGTCTCCCAGGTCAGTCTTAAGGACAACGAAACTCTGGTCTTCACTGTGGACATGCCACACTACCAGGTGCTCCAAAGCCATGGTGACCCATCCTCGGGTGGGTCCTGAGAACAAAGCTCTGGTTCTAATTCTAACCCTAACCCTGTCCCAAGACTTTGAGCCTGAAGCTAAATCCTGATCCCTACCCTGGTCCCTAATTCTGACCCTTACTTTAACCCTGACTTTGATCTTGACCCTGACCATGACCCCACCTCTAACCATACTTCCAGCCCTGACTCTGACCCAGATCCTAATCCTATGCCTAACCCTATTATTATCTTTACAATCTATCTCTACTCTTACCCTCTAGTGCTAAATAGCTGTACCCAAAAGCACTTTTAAATTATTTCTTTTCTTGAATTCTCTATGGACATCCTAAAGGAGATGTCAATATGTATCTTGCATTCCCTCTGAGTGGTATGGCTTCAGATATGAAGTTCTAATACTTTGCAAGACATAAAAAGTTTGGAGGGTAACAGCACTGGGTTGTTAGGGATGTAAGTTGGCATTCATGATAGTCATTGGTGCTGTTCTCCAAATATTTTCAGTTTATTTTTTATGAATGCATTCTGACTGTTCCATCCCACCTACTTAAATTTTCCCATGGCCACATGACTTTTTTTTTTTTTTTTTTTTTTTTGCCGATGGAGGTGAGAAGAAATAACATGTGACTTTTTCAGGAGAAATCTCCAAGAAACAGCGTTCTATTCCGCATGCTTTTTTCTCTTTTCTATAGCAATGGGGATCTCATTGACGGTCCCTCCTTCCTTCTGGATTCCTGTGTTAGGATGACACAGCACAGAGCTACCTCTCACCTGACCAGTCATGAGATGTAAATAAATAAGGAAGAAGATTTTTGAGCCACTGAAATTTGGAGGTTGTTTGTCACCACAGTTTAAGCTAGCCCCCACTGACTGATGCACGGCTGAAGAATGAGTCCGAACTGGCTCTGGACAAGACGTGAAGAGCGCTCCAGGCTGAGTAAAATTCAAGGGTTGCCTCAAAGATAACAGTGAGCACGATATGTTATTGGGGTGGGTGTGGGATAAATAAGGTATATCAGGTGAGAATAATAAGAAACTCAACTTTAAAAGACGGCGCTGATTTGCACTGTGGAGAGATTCAAATGCCCTGCTTAGCATTTGAGATTGTGATGGATGAACAAACTAATTAAGAGCCCAAAATGAAAGCTGGGGATAAATATCTGAAGGTGTCTAATATCCCAATTTTTCATCCTAGAATGGGCAGAGTCCTTGACCCCATTCTAGGGAGACTTCCAAAAGAAAAAAGACCTGCATTTCTTCAACAACCCACACTGAGAGACTTTCCTGCACTTTTGTGACCTGTGGCTAACACTCCTCACCTTTCATTCTGTCATCAGTGTTTTGGGGAAGCACCTTTAACTCTCTGTGATTTACAGGTTATTAAGTGGCCCTTACAATTCCCTCCAGAGATGGAAAAGACATGATGATGGTGCCTGAGCTCACAGCAGCAAGCAGGCGTGTGTGCTCAGCAGCCACGTGGCTCATCTGCTAGGAGCTTGCTAAACACGATGTTCTACAACATTGCTTAACGCAAGGGGAGACGCTCCTGACTCAGAGGGTTTAATTGCTCACCTATTTCTTTTTCTGCCCTCTTGGGCTTCTGAAATGAAAAGAACCCTGGGGTGATACAGTGAGTCAAAGGGGTGCCAGCCGCATCACAGCATAATAGATTCCTAAAAAATCCCTGGCCTAAGATGACAGCCTTGGCTGGATAAGTTTGAATGTGCTGATAGTGGACATGGTAGAATGAAGGTGGTTGAAATGTTCATATTAAAGAACTTCCACCCAGATTGCAAGAAAAGAGAGAGGAATGGAGATGGCAGCACGAGCCCCTACAATAAAAGCAGATGTTTTGAGATCAGTTATATTTCTTCTGACAAAAATTAAAGACAGAAACCAAAGTTTAGCCTGAGGCTACAATTAATTGGGCAATAAGCCAGAGGCACATATGGCATAGACAGATTTAAACATTTCTCCCTTGTATTAATACAAACACTAAAATTACAAATACATGGATTCCAAATAAAACAAATATTTTAAAAATTTAATGAATAAACACTGGGGTCTACAGTAGTATTTGAAGGAGATCTCACAAACAGGTTTGGTTTTTGAAGGTTAGAACTGGTGGTCTAGAGAATTCATTTCATTCCAGAGAAATAAAGAGAGGAATTTCTTGGGTTCCTTCAGGAATGCATCTAGCTTTGCCTCATCTTTGTTTGAACTATGGATACGGCAGAAGAAAACATGAGGATTTCACAGATTTAAGGTGCAAAAAGTCACTGGGTTCTCTAAGAAGTCTGGGATTCTTCTGCTGGAAAAATAAGTTTGTTGAGAAAAAATGAGTTGGAGGAGGCTGTTATTGAAGTGAAGCAGAATTGTTTTTACTAATCTGCTTATTACCCACTCTGTAGTGTGGAAACAAATTATTCATGCACAAGGTCCTCTTACTGTTCCTAGAATGCAGTGGAAAGAGAACAGATTAGTTTTCCTCCCTCAGAACACAACCCCTAGAAACATCCTACCTCAGATGAGATATTGCCTAATTATTTTCAAAAGACAGTAAAACATCATGGATGTAAATGTTTGCTGCAAAATAAATACGTGCTAGAAACAGAAGCATCTGGGTCACAGCTATATTAGAGCTACCTGTGTTCCCCTGTCACTGACATTAAAACAAAAATGTCCAATACGATCCTTCACAGTGTGAGAGAGGGGAAGATGAAGGATGGAAAGGCCAGGCATAAAAGGATTTCAGAATTTCCGTCCATAAGGAAGTGGCTTTGTGCACTGTCTGTTACTGCGTGCAAGGTGAAATTTGAAGAATGAAAACGTGCAGTAACAAGGGCTCCTTTGTCCAACTCACCTCTCCAGATACCAAGTTTCAGACATGTTGCATTTTAATTGAAAGGTTGATATAATTTTTTTTAAAGAACACTTGCAGTGTTTGAAGTGACAAAGGCTACTGTGACAAAAAAGCAGGGAAAGGGAATTTTTTTTAAAAAAAGCAAACAACAACAACAAAAACCCCAGAGAAAAGCAAACAACAAACAAACAAAAAACAGAGGAAGAAGTCAAACACCCTGGGCTGTGACTACTTCCAGGAAGGGGCTACAAGAGGCAGCTGGAAATTCTATTTGCTTTGCAACTGTGGGTTTTCTGGCCTGCTTCCTTCTAAAGTATATTACTCTGCTTTTGGTTCATGAAGTTATCCATTTCTGTTTTCTGGAACAGCTATGTATTTTCTTTATCTATCATCTATCTATCTGTTTACCATCTATCTTTTCTACCTTTTGCTATCAAGAGCTTGGGTCAAGCAGGATAGAATTCCAGTGTATGTTCACTCTACCATTTAAAACAAGAGCTCTTGTAGGCATTCTCCATCACATCATAAACCTGAGCTTTCTAAAACAGAGTGTGGCAAACTACCATGCATGGACCATGTCTGACACAGTCTGCGTTTGTAAGTAAAGTTGTAATGGGGCACAGCCAATACATGTGTTACATAATGTCTCTGGCTACTTTCATGGTATAATGGAAGAGCTGAGTCATTGAGAGAGAGACCATATGGCTTGGAAAACTTGAAATATTTAACATTTAGCCCCTTGCAGAAAATATTTGCTGACTCTTGTTTTAAAAGATCTCTGTTTAGAATGCTACCTATTGCCTTCTGGATAGAATCACAACTCTTTACCACAATCGACACAGCTTCAGCCCTGCTTCTATATCCAGCCTCATCTATTTCTGCTCCTCCTCCTTATTTTCCTTCTGGACATGCTGATGGATTGTCAGCTTCCCAGATGTGCGAGAATCTCTCCTCCCTTCCCAACATTCTCACAATCTCCCTCTGCCTCTCAAGAACTTCCTGTCCCATCTCTCATGACAAATCCTTTCTTCATTCTTTAAGATGCAGCCCCTTGGCTCTTTCCTTAAGGATGTCTGTCTGGCTCTATTTTGGGTGACGTGCTCCTTCTGCATCTCCCAGAGCCAGCCGGTGTGTGTCAGCTACAACATTTCTTTGCATCTCTGTGTCATATATCACCAAATCTGCCTAAGCTTGCATGAGTCACTGCATGACAACTTCAGACTCCACCAGCATTGTCCCCACTAACCACAAGGCTTAGACATTCGTCCAGTATGCTCGGGGTTGTGGGGTGGTAGCAGTAACCAGCTGGTGACCATCATTTCTTACATCAGAATCAAATCTGTAGATCTCTGCCATTCATAAGTATTTGGAGTTTAAAATTAGCATAAAGATTTTCCTTAAAATAAGAACAAATGGCTTGAGTAGGCTTTTGGAACGTAGGATGTTTCCACTGGTTCATGTCTGTGTTCAGTATTCCCACATGAATCTAAACATGACTCTGCTCTTAGTAGCTGTGTGACCCTGGGACAGTCACTCAGTCTCCCTCAGCTAAATTTTGTTGTGTGAGTAATGAGGAGAGAGTTGTGATTTCTATTTAGTGAATAATAACAAACAAAAGGCATTTAGCTTTCTGGAACCTGGTATGTAGTAGAACCTCATGAAAATACTAGCTCTGTTGATAAAACTAGACTGAAAAAAGCTTTCAAAGTCAACAACAGTATGAGGCAGTGAAGGACGTAGAGGAGAAGCTGCTGCTGCAGCCTGTAGCTCCTGGAAGCCCGTTTTGTCCATGATTTAGCAGGAACGCATTACCTTTCCATGAGGACACTGCCCACAGAAACCAAGGCCATTCTTTGAAGACAAACATGTCTTAATAGCCTTTACATTACGTAATAGTGTAATACAAATAATAATTTATTATTAGTAATGTGAAATTATTTACAATACCCTAACCCTAACCCTAACCCTAACCCTACCCTAACCCTAACCCTAACCCTAACCCTACCCTAACCCTGACCCTGACCCTGACCCTGACCCTAAACCCTAACCCTGACCCTGACCCTGACCCTGACCCTGACCCTAACCCTAACCTAAGACCACCAGGTGTGCAGAGATGTGTTAGGGCAGGAGCTTGTGTCCTCCCTATAGACCTCAGACCTTCAGAGGAAGCAAGTCAACTGGGGCATGGCTGCCTCAGGGAGGGGCTTCCAGGAGTGTGAAAGGTTGGAGGAGTGAGGTCATCATGGGAGAAGACACCCAGCCCAGATTCTGGAAGTGCAGCAGCCACAGAAGCACCCACCTTGTCTCTGGGGAGCCTGGAAGCACACAGGCTGGCTCCACTCGCTCCACTGGCCTGTGTCACACTCCTTCTCTGCCACGTCAACCTCTGGCATGGCCATCTGGACATGAAGCCTGGCCTCAGGGATAAAGCCACAGTCCAGCTCAAAGGCTTCAAGTAGGATCCAGGTCACCCCGACAATGTGATCCCTGTGCTGGGCCCGCTGTGGGTGTGGGGACAGTTAGCAGGTGCTGAAGGTAGGGCTGGGTCCCTCAGCCCTCGAGAATACACATATGCACATGCTCACATAACACACATAGGAACACACCTGTGTTCACACAGGAACACTCAACACATTCACGTGCACACGTGCACACACACGTGCACACACACAGATAAGGCACACTCACACACAGAAACAGCTGTGTTTGACACACGCACACACAGGCAAACATGTCTACAGGCACACTTTCACACTCAGCACACTTGCATGCACACTCATATACACAAATGTGTGGACAGAAGCAACTCACCACACTCACATACACACTCATACACATAGGCATGCTCATGTGGATACTCACATATACAAACACAAGGCACAGACACCCTCATCTACACTTACATACAAAGGGGAGGGGAGGAGGGGAAGAGGGAGGGAGGGAGGGAGGGAGGTAGGAAGGGAAGAAGGGAGGGAGCGAGGGAGGGAGGGAGGGGAAGGGAAGGAAGGAAAGGGAAAGAGGAAAGGAAAGGAAAGGAAAGGAAAAGAAATTAGAAAAAAAAAACTTAGTTTTATTAATCCTCTACTGTTAACTTTTTTGTTTCATTAATTTATCCTATTATTTCTCTGTCAAAACCACAAGCTGAACTCCAATGCCTTCTCTTTTTTTTGGAAATAAGGTCTCACTCTGTCACCCAGGCTGGAGTACAGTGGCACGATCACAGCTCACTGCTGTGATCAGTTTACTGAAAACAGCCCAGTCTCCCTGCCTGGCACACACTAACCAGTGGGTGCCAACTGATGTCAGTGTGACTCCCCCCATCTGATTAATATACCCAAAGATGGTATTTGTTTGTTGCTGTTTGAGACAAGGTCTCACTCTATCACCCAGGCTTCAGTGCAGTGCCACAATCATGGCTCACTGCAGCCTCAACCTCCTGGGCTCAACTTCAACCTTCCTGCCTCAGCCTCCTGAGTAACTAGATGTAGGGTCCAACCCTACGGGGCTTAGGGGGTGTTCTCCCTATGTGCAGAGACAAGAGATTGTAATCAATAAAGACACAAGACGAAGAGATAAAGAGAAAACAGCTGGGCCTGGGGGAACACCACCATCAAGATGCAGAGACCAGTAGTGGCCCCGAACAGCTGGGCTCACTGATATTTATTGCATGCAAGACAAGGGGGCAGGGTAAGGAGGGTGAATCTTCTAAGTGATTGACAAGGTGAAGCAAGTCATGTGATTACAGGACAGGGGCCCTTCTCTTTTAGGTAGCTGAAGCAGAGAGAGAAGGCAGCATACATCAGCAATTTCTTCTCTGCACTTATAAGATCAAAGACTTTAAGACTTTCACTATTTCTTCTACCACTATCTACTACAAACTTCAAAGAGGAACCAGGAGTGTGAGAGGAGCATGAAAGTGGACAAGGAGCGTGACCATTGAAGCACAGCACCACAGGGAGGGGTTTCGGCCTCCAGATGACTGCGGGCAGGCCTAGATAATATCCAGCCTTCCACAAGAAGCTGGTGGAGCAGAGTGTTCCCTCACTCCCCCAAGGAAAGGAGACTCCCTTTTGTGGTCTGCTAAGTAACGGTGCTGTCCCAGACACTAACGTTACCACTTGACCAAGGAGCCCTCAAGCAGCCCTTATGTGAGTGTGACAGAAGGCTCACCTCTTGCCTTCTAGGTCACTTCTCACAATGTCCCTTCAGCACACCGTTTATTCCTAGGTTATATTAGTAACACAACAAAGAGTAATAATAAAAGCTAATGATTAATAATGTTTATTATAATGATTGATAATTGTTCATGATCATCTCTATATATAATTATGACTATTATTATTCTATTTTCTTTATTATACTGAAACAGTTTGTGCCTTCAGTCTCTTGCCTTGTCACCTGCATAATCCTCAGCCCACAACTGGGACTACAAGTGCATGCCACCAAACCTGGGTAATTTTTTCTTTCTTTTTTTTGTACAGATGTGGCCTTACTATGTTGCTCCGGTTAGTCTCGAACTCCTGGCCTCAAGCTATCCTCCTGCCTCAGCCTCCTAAAGTGCTGAGATTACAGGTGTGAGCCAATGCAGCCACCCCAAAGGTGGTGTTCAAAGTTGATTTCTCATCCAACTCTGATTCTAGACTGAATAGCACAGACCCTCAAATGTGAGGTGCTAACTAGCAATCCTGGAATCCAGAGATATACCCATGATGGACAGCCCAGAGAAAGCCCCAGTGCTGGGGCAGAATCCACCTGCTCAGGTGCAAGAGGCCTAGCCACTTGGGAGTGTTCATCACATGCACATTATCTGAGGTTAGGTCTGGGAATGCCTCAGCCAGGTGTGCAGAGATGTGTATGGGGAGCAGGTGAGAGACATGGGCACCTGGACTCCCCAGCCAAAGCTTCAAGACAAGCTTAGTGCAACCAATCCCCTGGGCTGTTCATAACAACCCCTCTCTGGTCCTGCAGGAGGGAGGTAGGCTCATATAGAGGCTTCCTGGCAGGGCCCTACAGCTGGAGACAGAGGCCACCCACCTAAGGACCTGCATCCTGCAAGGAAGCCAACTCATGCCCTGAAACCCAAGTCCTTACCCAAATGGATCACATCCCCAGATGGATCACAAAGCCATGGGGCTTTCCCATGTGCTGTCCCTGCAGGCCTCTTTCTGAGGGGCATCAGGTACCCCCCAGTCCTCCATCGTGGGATCTAGGGCCTTGTGTCCAAATGCCACCCTTTCCTTGGAATGAGCCCATATCCGTGGGAAAAAGAAAGTCTGGGGGCATGGCAGGAGTCCGGGGGAAAACAGCAAAAAGGAGGAGGACAGGGCAGAGAAAGCAGGGAGAGGGGAGGAGACAAGAAGAGAGAGGGAGAATGAGCACCCAGGCCTGGCCAGGGGATGCCTGCAACCATGCGGATACCCCACACCAGGGCTGGGATGCCTGGTGGGAAGAGCCCAGGTGTGCTTCCTCACTAGCTCACCTACCACAGGTCTGCTGGGGCAGAGCGTCATTTCAGAGGACAGCGTGGCAAGAAGCATCCAGGGCCCGGGAAGAACAGAGCTGGAAGGTGTGCGGCTGGGCAGTCCTCCCACTCAGGCCCACATTCTGCACTGCTGAGTCTCTTTGGGGGCTCAGCTGGCTCAATCTTTGCAGTCTACAGGATTGAAGGTCAGTGGAAATGTGAACAGAAAATAAGCAGGAAGTCCATCTATCCCTGCTAACCCTACCTCTGGACACACGGAATGCTCAGTGCAGTGGGAATAGGCTCCAGGAAGACCATGGAGGGAGATGCTGCACAGTGAACAGTGAACCTGGCTTTCTCATGGCCTTCCACTAGGTCACTGGCACACTGTGCTCCAAGGAGCCCCAGGCTGTAATAAGTCACACTTGAGAGTTCATGGAAGCGTCTGAGAACCATGTATTTGAGATGGAAGTTCACTTGAAATAATAAATTAATGCAGATAAAAAAATATTGGGGGAATTAAAGGGCCAGGCACCATGGCTCACGCCTGTAATCCCAGCACTTTGGGACGCCAAGGCGGGTGGATCATGGGGTCAGGAGACCGAGACCATTCTGGCTAACACGGTGAAACCCCGTCTCTACTAAAAATACAAAAAAATTAGCCGGGCGTGGTGGCGGGCGCCTGTAGTCCCAGCTACCTGGGAGGCTGAGGCAGGAGAATGGCGTGAACCCGGGAGGCGGAGGTTGCAGTGAGCCGAGATCGCGCCACCGCACTCCAGCCTGCGCGACAGAGCCAGACTCTGTCTCAACACCCAGGGTGGCCGGGAGTGCTGTCCAGGATGGGCAGCCCCTTGTAGGGAAGGTCGTACTGGGTGCAGCGCCCTCCACTGTAGAGCAGAAGTGCAGGAACCACTCCTGGAAGAGGCTCATGGTTACCCAGGCTTTTTTTTTTTTTTTTGAGACGGAGTCTCGCTCTGTCACCCAGGCTGTACCCAGGCTTTCTTGTGCGAGCACCACACCAAGGGCAGGTTGGGCTTGAAGGAGCCCTTGAGGAAACACGGGTTCTCCGAGGGGTACCCCAGCAGGGCCTTCAGCTTGAAGTCGCCGGCTGCGTTGCCACCGAGCAATAGGGTCAGGAGGTCTCCGGCGGCTTTGACCCAGGGGCCGACTCATCTTCCACAGGAAAATGAACGTCCTCTCGGCAGGCGCTTACAGAGGAACCTGGGCTTATTCATGGTGAACACCAGCCAGAGCTTATTCATGGTGAACACCAGCCAGAGTGTGTAGCCGCCCTCCGGGATCACCCTGCGCATTAACGCTGGATTCTTGCACGCTGCGTTCTTGGGCCGCTGGCCCCGATGCTGCTCAAGCTGTGGCGCGCCTTAAAGCCAGCGAATCACCCTCGACCGGCCCCGAAGCTCTCGGGCTAGGCGCCCTCGCCCTGCTCCTGCTTGCGGTTCTCGAACGGGCTGTGGGCTTTCTCCCGAATGAGCACCACACTGAGGGGCATGTTGCGCTGGCTCTGGTCCTCCATCCGCATGCTCAGCAGCTGCTCCATGTTCTCCATCACCAGGCTGCGGCCACGCGTCAACTTGGTGGCCGCCTGCAGTGTGGCCTCCTGGGAACTCGCCCAGATCTTTTCCTTGTTGTCACGAATGGTGGCCAAGGTGGAGTTGGACAGCCCCAGCGCCTTCCCGATTCTACTGAGCTTCTCTCCGGCTTCAAAGCGCCACAGCGCCTCGAGCTTCACCTGTAGGTTGATGGCCTTGCGATCCTACCAGATGCCTCAGTAATCGCGAGCGTTCAGCGGCCTCTTCAGGCCCGACACGGTGGAGCGGGAGACTGTCCGCGCCGCTTCCTCCAGACACCGCAAGGGGGTGCTTGTGTTCCTGCTACTGAGCCCGCTGATCTCAGCACTTGTTGCCACTAAGGCCCCAGCCATGACTCGCGCTGTAAAATGAGGACACAAGGCTTACTGGTGGGGAGTGCTGACAGGCTTGGGTAACACCTGGTAAAGATAATTTACCAAGTCTCTCTCTTTAAGGAGCAGATTCGGGCCATATTAGGGTCACAGGGCTCACTTCCCAGTGGATGTTTGCCCCATACACTAAACTAACTTCACTCTCAGGAATGCAGCAAGCTTCTGTAAACACACTAGGACTTTATAAGCTTTCCCTGCCCCTCACACTGAACATCGGGTTTCCAAATCACCCCCCTCAGCCTAACCCTAACCCTAACTTCTCCCCCCTCAGCCTTCCGAGTAGCTGGAATTATAGGCGCCCGCCACCATGCCTGGCTAATTTTTGTTTATTTTTAGATGAAGTCTCGCTCTTGTCCCCCAGGCTGGAGTGCAATGGGGCAATCTCGGCTCACTGCAACCTCTGCCTCCCGGGTTCAAGTGATTTCTCCTGCCTCAGCCTCCCGAGTAGCTGGGATTATTGGTGCGTACCACCACGCCCGGCTAATTTTTGTATTTTAAGTAGAGATGGGGTTTCACCATGTTGGCCAGGCTGGTCTCGAACTCCCGACCTCAGGTGATACGCCCGCCTCAGCCTCCCAAATTGCTGGGATTACAGGCGCAAGCCACCGCGCCCAGCAATGCCTGGCTAATTTTTGTATTTTTAGTAGAGACAGGGTTTCACCATATAGGCCAGGCTGGTCTTGAACTCCTGACCGCAGGTGATCCACCTACCTCAGCCTCCCAAAGTGCTAGGATTACAGGCGTGAGCCATCGTACCCAGCCCAAAATCCCTATTTAGAGTGCATATTATCTAGGCATCTGTTCAATGGGACACTGGGAACCAGAACTGGGGGCTAGTCCTTAAAGAGCAGGCATATGCTAGCTATTGTTCAGGAGACACTATGCCTCAAATGCTGGTGGACATGCTTAGAAAACAGAGCCCATGGCTGGGTGCAGTGGCTCATGCCTGTAATCCTAGCACTTTGGGAGGCAAAGGCAGGCGGATCACCCAAGTTCAGGAGTTCGAGACCAGCCTGACCAACATGGAGAAACCCTGTCTCTACTAAAAATATAAAATAAGCCAGGTGTGATGGTACATGCCTGTAATCCTAGCTACTTGGGAGCTGAGGCAGGAGAATCGGTTAAACCCGGGAAGTGGAGGTTGCAGTGAGGCGAGATTGTACCATTGCATTCCAGCCTGAGCAACAAGAGCAAAACTCCATCAAAGAAAGAAAGAAAGAGGGAAGGAAGGGAGGAAGGAAGGAAGGAAGGAAGGAAGGAAGGAAGGAAGGAAGGAAGGAAAGGAAGGAAGGAAGGAAGGAAAGAAAATAGAGCCCAGCACTACAGAAAAAAAAAAACAACACCCCACAGTGACTATAGATATATGCATCCAAGATGTCTCCCCCGCCCCTCATATTCATGTGTAAGGAAAAACCAGTCCTGCAAAAGCAAGGCTTTCAATCCCCTTAGCAGTAGCTGAAACCAGCTTGCAGCTATTCCAGTATGTGTAGAATCAGCTTCATGAAGGCTCTGTGGAGACCCCAGCGTCAGCCCGCAGCAACACCTCCCCAGGGATCTGGATCCCAGTGCCCCCACCACCACGTTCCCCTCCTTTGAGCTTCTCTCAAAGACTAAACCCAACCTCTTCCCTTTGTTCATAAAGCTCTAGGAATGGATGTTGTTCCCTGAAGTTCCTACCAACATGACATCTTAGGGTTCTTTTTGTACTTTTTTACTCCTTCAATATCTCGGTAACATTTTTTACCTTAATTTCCCTCTGTTAAAACAAGTGGTGTGTTAGCAGTTCCTCAAAAGGTCAAATAGTGTTATCATATGACCCAGCAATTCCACTTCTAGGTATACAACCAAGAGAAATAAAAACAAACATCCAAACAAAAACATGTACATGAACATCCATAGCAGCATTATTCATAATAGCCGAAAAGTAAATACAAGCCAAATGCTGATCAAAGAATACATGAATAAACAAAATGGGTCATATCCATACAATGGAATATCACTTGCTCATAAAAATGAAGTTCTGACATGTTAAAACATGGGTGAACCTCGAAAACATTATGCTCTGAGAGAAGCCAGACATAAAAGGCCACATAAAGTATGATTCCATTTAATGAAATGTCCAGAATAAGCAAATCCATAGAGACACAAAGCAGATTAGTGATTGCCGGGAGCTTAGAGGAGGGGGCTGATGGGTGACTACTAATGGGCATGGGGTTTCTTTTGGTTGTGATTACATTCTGGTATTAAATGGTGGTGATAGCTGTACAACCTTGTGAATATACTAAAAATACCTGAATTGTATACTTTTTTGGTATGTCAATTATAACTTGGTAAAGGTGTGCTTTTAAAAAAAGGTGATATAGTTTCTACCTCCTGACAGAGAATCGCGTAGGCAGAAGACACTGCACAGTCATGCATGAGCAATCGAGTGAACAGAGGAACAAATGCCAGGATGAATGGTGGCTGTAACCACCCTTCTCTCATATCTTGTAGTTGTCACCCCCTCCCAAGCACAAACGCATACACACGTGTGGAACCCAAGCTCACAGTGAAGATGTTAGACACTGAAAACTACAAAGCTGCTCCCTGCCAGGCCAGTCTCTGTGCTCACCTCCTCTTCCCCCACCTCCTTCAGGGAAAGGATACCTAAATTGTGACTGATGGTCTCATGGTCCATTTCTCCAACCAGACTAGGCTCCATGAATGCCAAGTGTCTTTCCCTGCTGGACCAATAGGGCCTGGCATATGGCAGGCACTTAGTGACCTTGCGGGGAAGGAAAGAAGGATGGGAAAGGAAGCCTGGTCTACCCCAAGAGAGGAGAAGTCACATCAACCTCAAGCTCATGCCTTTGGGGGGCTCAGAGGCTGCAGAAGTCTCCAAATGCGTCACAGCTTCTAGGTCCTCCTCCCCAAGACAGGGATATTGAGGGCCTAGGCAGACGGAGGGAGACACTCAGGGCCCAAGGTCATGAGCTGTGATCCCTCATAGATTCCCCTATCCCTCTGGCCAACCCCTGGACCCCTGTGGCTCACCAGTCTTCAACATCTGGGTGAAGTCCTCCACCAGCGCCATAGCCTCCTCACTGCTCTCAGGGCACTGGGGCTCCACCCAGACACAGATGGCAGGTGGCAGGACACCCAGGTACATCCTGCAGGGCCGTCCCTAATTGGTACCACCACCGTGGAGTACCCAATGATAGAAGGGGATGATGGTTCTCCATACCAGATCAAGAATGATTCAGTGAAACTAAGTCAGATCCTGACCTCTGTTGGAGCCCTCCCAGGCCTTCAAGTAAAAGCCACAGTCCTCACTGCCTCCTTTGTAAGACTCAAAGCCTCCTCCTCTACTCTGCTCACTCCTGACCACATCTTCCAGACAGAGCAAAGGGGCTTTTTTTGTTTTGTTTGTTTGTTGAGACAGAGTCTCGCTCTGCCGCCCAGGCTGGAATGCAATGGCACAGTCTTGGCTCACTGCAACCTCTGCCTCCCAGGTTCAAGCAATTCTCCTGCCTCAGCTTCCCAGGTGCTAGGACTACTGGTGTGTGCCACCATGCCCAGCTGATTTTTGTATTTTCAGTAGAGACAGGGTTTTACCAATGTTGGCCAAGCTGGTCTCAAACTCCTGACCTCAAGTGATCCACCTGTCTCGGCCTCCCAAAGTGTTGGGATTACAGGCGTGAGCCACTGTGCCAGCTACAAAGGGACTTTTGTTCCTATGGTTCCTTTGGCCCAGAGCAGGCACTCTTCCCTGTTATCTGCATGGCTTTTTCCCCTCACCTTCTGCAGTTCTTTTCAAACACAACCTTATGAGACAGGGGCCGTCCCCCACCGTTATTTATTTATTTATTGTGCGTCTGTCTCACCTTGTCTCTTTTACACTTTGAACCATGTGAATGTAACACCTGGTCAAAACAGTAAAAATTTTTTTTAAAAACTGTGCTTGTGAAAAACAGGAACAGGCCAGGCACAGTGGCTCACGCCTGTAATCCCAGCACTTTGGGAGGTGGAGGCAGGCGGATCACGAGGTCAGGAGTTCCAGACCAGCCTGGCCAACATGGCGAAACCATGTCTGTATTAAAAATACAAAAATTAGCCAGGCATGGTAGTGGGTGCCTGTAATCCCAGCTACTCGGGAGGCTGAGGCAGGAGAATTGCTTGAACCAGGGAGGCGAGGCAGAGGCTGCAGCGAGCCAAGATTCTGCCACTGCACTCCAGCCTGGGCGACAAGAGCAAGACTTCGTCTCAAAAAAAATAGTAATAATAATAATACAAAAATTATCCGGGCATGGTGGCGTGCGCCTGTAATTCCAGCTACTTGGGAGGCTGAGGCAGGAGAATCGCTTGAACCAGGGAGGCAGAGGCTGCAGTGAGGCCAGATCCTGCCATTGCACTCCAGCCTGGGCGACAAGAGCAAGACTCCATCTCAAAAAAATAATAATAAATAATAATAATAATAATAATAATCAGTTGGGCATGGTGGCGTGTGCCTGTAATCCCAGCTACTCGGTGGGGCTGAGGCAGGAGAATTGGTTGAACCCGGGAGGCGGAGGTTGCAGTGAGCCGAGATTGCGCCACTGCACTCCAGCCTGGGCGACAGAGCAAGACTCCCATCTCAAAAAAAAAAAAAAAAAAAAGATAGAAGAAAGGAAGGGAAGGAAAGGAAGGAAGGAAGGAAGGAGGGAGGGAAGGAAAGAAGGAAAAAAGACAGGAACGAAGGAAGGAAAGGAAGGAAGGGAGGAAAGGAGGAAGGGAGGAAAGGAGGAAGGGAGGGAGGAAGGAAGAGAGGGAGGAAGGAAGGAAGGAAGAGAGGGAGGAAGGGAGGGAGGGAAGAAGGGAGGGAGGGAGGGAGGGAGGGAGGGAGGGAGGAAGGAAGGAAAAAAGGAACAAATGCCGCCTGACCGTTCTTTGTGGAATGACTACACCTATGATGAGTACCTCCATGGACCATGCACCTGCCTTGAAACAAGGAGGCACAGCACACAGGGCCCTCAGCTAGAGTGACAGGGAAAGGCGGGTGGACATGGGGAAGGCTCAAACTCAAGCTTTGAAATCGGGGAAAGCCCCGAAATCTGAACCACTCTTGGGCCCATCCTTCTCTCTCCCACATTCACACCTTCGCCTGCGCTCCCATAATTGCAAATTAATTCATCCACACATTCACACATTCTCTCCCTCCCACTCTCAACAGGCAGCCCCAAGCCCGGGGGCCTCACGAAGTCTGGGTGGATGACCAAGCTCCTCCCTCGAGACTACATTTCCAAGACAGAGGAGGGAAGGGGAACGAACAGCGGACACGCGCTGTGAGGCCGAGAAGGCCCGCAAGGGACCTTAGGGCCGGGCGAACACGCCTCCACGCAGATCTGGGCCAAAGAACTCCTCGACCCAGGAGGGACCCAGACTCAGATCAGCACCTGCGCAGTATGGTCTTAGGCGGGTACCGTCCCGTGTAGCGGGTCTACATTTCCCAGAGAGCCGTGGGGCCGCCGAAGGCTCCGATTGGCCCACTCGGGTGCGTGCCAGCTGCGGACACAGTGGCCTCATATCCCAGTTCCCCGACCGAACCAAGAGGAGGGGCTGCAGCTCCTGCCCCGAAGCCGGGGCCCCAGCGCGGCCGATCAACCTCACCTTCGGGTCGCAGTGCGAGCCGTCTGCTTTAGCTGGGCTGGCGGGGCTTCGGCCCTTCCCCATCGCCCCGCCTCACAGTGCAGTTTTCCGGAGGACGCCGAGCCCAGGGTCCATCTCGGCCGCGAAGGGGGAAGGTTGCCTGGCGACGGCCGGGCAGGGAGGAGGCTGCGTCAGGCCCGCCCCTTGCGACGCTCTCCGCTCTGCGCCCGGCGTCCCGGGTACTGCCGGAAAATGTAGTTTGGCAACGAGGCCGCACCGCACAGAGTCCAGCCAGGGGCGCCAGAAGCTGCTTCTGACCAAAGGCTGGCTTTCTCGCCGCCTAATGTCTTTGTCTTACATCACCCTCCCTTCCTCCTTCCTTTCCTGGGTATGTGTCACTATTTTCTTTTTTTTTTTTTTTTTTTTTTTTTTTGAGACGGAGTCTCGCTCTGTCGCCCAGGCTGGAGTGCAGTGGCGGGATCTCGGCTCACTGCAAGCTCCGCCTCCCGGGTTCACGCCATTCTCCTGCCTCAGCCTCCCAAGTAGCTGGGACTACAGGCGCCCGCCACTACGCCCGGCTAATTTTTTGTATTTTTAGTAGAGACGGGGTTTCACCGTTTTAGCCGGGATGGTCTCGATCTCCTGACCTCGTGATCCGCCCGCCTCGGCCTCCCAAAGTGCTAGGATTACAGGCGTGAGCCACCGCGCCCGGCCACTATTTTCTTTTTCCCTGTTTGTCCCCTAGCCCGGAGAACAGGTTCCCTTCAGACTGCCAAATATAATTTCAAAACAGTTAAAAACATGACTCTCAGTGAGCATGTGTCAAAAGATTTATTTACCGTACTGAGGGAAGCAGCAAGATGATTCTAGGAAGACAGGAAAGGAAGAATAAACACTGGCCGGCCGCGGTGGCTCACACCTGTAATTCCAGCAATTTGGGAGGCCGAGGTGGGCGGATCACCAGAGGTCTGGAGGTCAAGACCAGTCTGGCCAACATGGTAAAACCCCATCTCTACTAAAAATACAAAAATCAGCCGGGTGTGGTGGAGCAGCCTGCAGTCCCAGCTACTCGGGAGGCTGAGGCAGGAGAATCGCTTGAACCTGGGAGACGGAGGTTGCAGTGAGCCGAGATCGTGCCACTGCACTCCAGTCTGGCAACAGCGAGACTCCGTCAAAAAAAAAAAAAAAAAAAAGAAAGAAAGAAAAAGAAAAACACTGAAATAAAAGCACAAAGTTGGATACAAAACTGCTTAGTGAGCTACAAAGCGATACACTGGACAGAAAGCATTTGCAACCTATCAACCTGTACAGGGTAGCATATAACTGGACAGCATCTGGACTCCTAAGTTTTCCTAACAGTTTTACCTCGGATTCTCCCTGTCTCTCTTCGTGCTGTCATCTTTCTCTAGGTCTTCGAAAACTGTCAATCCATCTTACTGTATCTCTAATTTCTGTCCCTTTTCTCCCTTCTTGTTTCTGTCCCTCTCCCTTCTTGTCTACCTCTTGAGTCTGGATATCTGCATTTCTTGTCTCTGTGAACCCATTCTGCGTTTCCTTCTTTGTGTCTCTTTCATCTGCATCCCTTTCTGATCTGCCTCTCTCTTGCTAACTGTTCTGACACCTGTTTGCCCGGCCCTGACCCTCTGATCCACTCAGCCCTCTTATAACTTGGACCCGTGTCTCTATGTTTGTTCACTTATTTTCACTGTCTCTCCTCGCGTCGAGTCTCCGGTCCTCCCAGTCTGTGAGTCTGTCTCTCTGTCTCTCTCTCTCTTCCTCCCGCCGGTCCTTCGTCTCTCTTTGCCCTTGAGTCTCTGGTCTCTCTCCGTCTCTCCTCGCTGTTTCTATCGATCGGCATCTCTCTGCCCCAGTACCCTTCCCCACCTCTTCATCCCACATGCCCCATTGCATTTTCAACGCCCGCCGCGTCTCCGGGTTACCCAGGCGATGTCGAGTCGTGTCCCCAGGTTACCATGGAGACGTTCAGGGCCCGCCCCTCGCCCATGATCACAGAGGAACGTCATCGCGCCGCGCGCGCACGTACACACGAAGGGCCTGCTGACTACATCTGCCGGAAAGCATCGGGCCAAGCCTTTCTCCATTTTGCGGTCTAGGAAGTAGCAGAGGCCCCTTCCTGTAGGGAGTTGCCATGGAGACGCGGTGGGGCACCGACGGAGTTCTAATGACGGCCGTGATTGGTGCAGGATCCTGCTAATCTCAGGAAGGCCCGTAGAGAAGTGAGGAAAACGTGGTGGGGGGCATGCGCGATCTGGTAGGCGGTGCTGCCGTCTGTTGTACCTGAGAGGCTTGCGCATGCCGACGCACGGATTCGAGGCGGGGAGCATGGGAAGAAGCGGCCAGGAGTATGACCTGATCATTGCGACCACCGCTAGGGGAAGGGAGGAGAGGGTGTAGAAACGGGGACGAGGGTGGGGGAAGGGCAAGGAGGCGCTCGAGCTGGTGCGCGGAGCATCCTGGGAGACGTAGTCCAGCGGGAGGGGGAAGTCGAAGACTGCGCGTGCTCAGGAGCGCGGAGCGGCCCGCTGAGCGCAGAGGTGAGGGCGGGGTCCTCTTAACCGGGAGGGCTATCGTGTGGACGGGGGCGGTGGCTGCAGACTCGGGGATTCCGGCTCCCCAGTGAGACCGGAAGCGCGGGGAACGAATCCGGGCAGTCCTTGCGGGAGCGCCCAGGGCTAGAGCGAGAGGCTTGTCAATCACTACTCGTTGCCACGACGACAGGCTTTGGGAGCCCCGCCCCCGGTTGCCTAGGCGTCGTCTGGACCTACCTTGGCACCCTGGAGCGGAAGTTGCCGCCTGGACTTCTGGGAAGTGTATTTCGGGACCCTCCGTAGGTACCTGCCATCTTGGCTATGACCCAAGTCTCTCCCAGGGTTTCAGGTTGACTTGGCACCTTGAAGAGTGGAGGCTTGGCCCCCAGGATGAGGCGGCCCTCGAAATCGATGCCACCCACGGGGGAATGATTCTGCGGTGCCATCCCCTTCATAAACGCAGATTCCTTCCTAAAGCCGCAGCTGCAGAAGGAACAGCGCGAGGAGGGAGGTCAGCCCCACTTGCAAATGGGGAAACAAGTTCTCGAAGGCACAGTGATCTGAAGATGGGCGGAATCAGAGTCTCGGGACTTCCTTGCAGGCTCCTGTTCCGGCAGTCTTGGAGCCTTTGCCGCCCCCCCACCCATTGCGAAGCTCCCCCATCCCCTTCCAACCCCAGCTAAATCAGGAAGCTGAGATGGGGCATTGCGTAGTGTGATGTTGGGCTTAGAAGATGGGGCTGAGTAGGGAGAGAGGGTGCTGCCTGGGAGCTGAGCCATACAAGTGACTGCACAGGTTGACATGGAGGATTAGGTGGAGTGAGGCTTCCAAGCAGGGAGGGGAATGATGGTGGGGCCCAAATGAGGAGCCACATCGAAGTAGATGAGAGAATAGAAGGTGAAGTAAGGGCTGGCGTTGGGTAGGGGGAGACGCCAGCAGTGATGCTGATGCCCAGGCTGTAGGTGTATAGGTGCCATCCACCTGGTAAAGAGAGAGCTGTAGCGCAGGAATGAGGTTGCACATGTAGAAGAAGGGAAGGATACAGGGGAGAGAAGTGTCTTCTAGTCCTAAAAAACAGCCTGTGGGCTGGCATGGTGGAACAAACCTGTAAGTCCCAGCACTTCGGGAGGTCAAGGTAAGAGGATCATCTGCTTGAGCCCAGGAGTTCAAGAACAGCCTAGGCAACATAGTAAGATCCCATCCCTACAGAAAAATTAAGAAATTAGCCGGATGTCGTGGCACACACCTGTTGTCTCAGCTACTTGGGAGGCCGATCTCTGGAGCCCGGGAGGTCAAGTCTGCAGTGACGCATGATCTCGCCACTGCACTTCAGCCTGGGCAACTGACTGACAGCATGTCTCAAAGAAAAGAAAAAAAAGCCTGTGTTTGGAGCAGGGAGACTGTCAGAGACTTTGCACAGGCCCAAGCGGAGAGAAGACCAGGGATACAGGTGGCTAAGGGAGGGCTTCCAGCTGCATAAGTCTGTGGGTTGTAGATGGCCTTTCTTTGCCTGTTTCCTCATCTGCCTTCCACATGGGGTAGGTCTGAGGATCAAACGGTACAGCATAGACTAGGCAGTGAAGCATTCACTGTACTCCTTTTGCAACAGCCTCATCCTATTTCTTCACCAGGGGCAGACACTGGCCTCAGATACCTGACCTGGTACCCTCTATGAGGCCTGCGGTGCTGGGCTCCCCAGACCGAGCACCCCCAGAAGATGAGGGGCCTGTCATGGTGAAGCTAGAGGACTCTGAGGAGGAGGGTGAGGCTGCCTTATGGGACCCAGGCCCTGAAGCTGCACGCCTGCGTTTCCGGTGCTTCCGCTATGAGGAGGCCACAGGGCCCCAAGAGGCCCTGGCCCAGCTCCGAGAGCTGTGTCGCCAGTGGCTGCGTCCAGAGGTACGCTCCAAGGAGCAGATGCTGGAGCTGTTGGTGCTGGAGCAGTTCCTGGGCGCACTGCCCCCTGAGATCCAGGCCCGTGTGCAGGGGCAGCGGCCAGGCAGCCCCGAGGAGGCTGCTGCCCTAGTAGATGGGCTGCGCCGGGAGCCGGGCGGACCCCGGAGATGGGTGAGTGAGTGTCCACGAGTGGGGTTCAGGACTGGAGCATCATCCAGCTCGGCCTCACCCTGGGCAGCACCACGCTTTGCCAGACACACGTTCTCCCTTGTGGTACAGAAGTGGCCACCTGCAACAGAGACCCTGTGCAAGGCTGCCCAGGGCAGAGGGATTCCAGGGCCAGACTCCCCAGCCCATTCCTGCATCACCTGCAGTCACGTGGACATAGGAGCTGCAGGCTAGGGGAATATGGGGAAGGTACTGGAAGGCCACGATGTCAGAGCAGGGGAGGGACTGCAGGTGGTCCCTTCATTCTTTGCTCAGGGCCTAGGGGAGGTAGGTCCTTGGAGGACCTAGTCAGTAGGTATTTACAAGGCAGGCCCCTGGGATCCTACAGTGGGATGGGCACCCACAAACCCCAGGTTGCGGCCAGCCTTACTCTCTGGTAGGACTTCTGATGGTGGGGGCACCTCCCCAGGTCACAGTCCAGGTGCAGGGCCAGGAGGTCCTATCAGAGAAGATGGAGCCCTCCAGTTTCCAGCCCCTACCTGAAACTGAGCCTCCAACTCCAGAGCCTGGGCCCAAGACACCTCCTAGGACTATGCAGGAATCACCACTGGGCCTGCAGGTGAAAGAGGAGTCAGAGGTTACAGAGGACTCAGGTGAGGGCATGCACGGTGGGCGCGCCTAAGGTCTGGTTGGGTGGGCCAGGGAACCTGGCCTGAGCAGTCAGTCTGAAGTCCACTGGGCCAGGTTTGTTATAAATGGAATGGTTTCCATCTGCCAGCAGCCCCCACATTCTACCCAGTCAGGTCTCCCCTCCACCGCAGCCAGTGCTGTCACTACCCCTCACACACCAAGCCTGACTGCCACAGCCCTGTACCCACGAACCCCATGGCATGGAGCAGGCTGTTGGGGTTTCCCAGTACAGATGGCATGTGGTGTTCAGTCCCCAAGGAGATGCGTTAGGCAATATGTGCTTGTCACTGGGGAACAGACAGCAGGCAGAGGTATAATTAGGAGCTGCTGAGGGAGGACCTCGTAGTGTTAGGGGTATGACCCCTTTCACCTCCCAGGCAGGGCACCTGAACTAGCTGCTCACACCCTGCCATTCCTATGTGGACCCTTGTACAATACCTCTGACCCCCGCTGACCACCTTGCCCCATGGTTCACATACGGCTACAGGGGCACAAACCTCAGCCCATCTCATCCCACTGCAGCTCAACCCCTGGCCTTCCAGGGTACTCTGCTTCACCCAGCCCCTGAGCTGGGCCCTCAGCTACCCTGCACTGCCCTCCCCAACCCAAGCCCACAACCAAGAATCCCACCTCTCTGCATCCCAGCACCTGGCACACCACTAAGAAGGGCAGTGGGGTGGAAACTCACTCAGGCTGCCTGATACCAGTTTTCCTCTCTAGATTTCCTGGAGTCTGGGCCTCTAGCTGCCACCCAGGAGTCTGTACCCACCCTCCTGCCTGAGGAGGCCCAGGTAAGTCCTGCCCAGGTCCATGTTCTCCTCCTTTCCCTGGAAGTTGCTGGGTGGGGTCAGGTAGGTCCCTCCCTGAGCCCAGCCAGGCACAGAGGAGCAGTGACCACTGTGATTTCAGAGATGTGGGACCGTGCTGGACCAGATCTTTCCCCACAGCAAGACTGGGCCTGAGGGTCCCTCATGGAGGGAGCACCCCAGGGCCCTGTGGCATGAGGAAGCTGGGGGCATCTTCTCCCCAGGTAAGTGAGATGGGGTGTGGTGGGACTAGGCCTTCCGCATGGACAGCACCATCTCTGCCGACCCCACTCCTGGCCCTACGCAGGCAGCCCTCTTACTCCAGCATCCCCAAGTTCCCCCATTCCCTAGATCATCCCCTATAAGGTTCAACCTCCTCTAGCATCTTCTGCCCTCAAAAAAAGCCACCCACCACTACCACTGATCCCACAGCCCCTCTACTTTCTAGAAACTCCCCACCCTAGTAAAACCTTTTGCAAGCAGGGCGAGTATTCCCCGTACCCACATTCTCTCCCAGTCCTGGTATCCTGGATGGCCTCCTGGGCTTGCATCCTGCTGGTCAGGCATCAGGACAGGTAGGGCTGGGACCTGACAAGGACAGCAGGTTAGTAGACAGAGCAGGTGGGCAGGAGGGACCTTGACACAGGATAGGGATCCTGCCCAATCATCGAAGCATTACGGACCAGAGGCCCCCTGCCATCTACCTCTCAGCCACCACCTTTGTCTGGCATCATCCAGGCTCCTCCTACAACCCATCTTCTGTTATGTTCCTTCCTGTTCCTGAGACCCAGGGTCTCCTCTTTCTTAGTTCACACCTTTGTTTTGGTGGAGCTTTGTGGGTGTTCTGGTGTGGAAGATAAAATTCTGACATGTCCCATATCTGAAACACATTGTCTAGCCCTCAACATTAGATTGAAGTTTGGCTGGAAGAATTCTTTTTATTAGTACAGTCACAGACCTTTTTTTATCACTATTGTTGGTGAGCTTTTTCAGTTTGAAATTCACATCTCTCAGTTCTGGGAAACTGCCTTGAAATTTTTTTTTATTTCCTTCCCTTCTATTGCTCTGCTCCCTGTTTCTGGGATGCCTCTTACTTGGCTATTGGCATCTGGGATGGGTCCTTTAATGTTCTTATCTTTTCACTCCAATTTTCCATTCCTTTGTCTTTCTACTCTATTTTCCTGGAAATTTTCTCACTTGTATCTTTCAGACCTTCTGTTAAGATTTTCATTTCTGGTAGCTTTTTTTTTGGTGGGGGGAGGGGGTCTCACTATTTCACACAGACTAGAGCACAGTGGTGCCATCATAGCTTACTGTAACCTTGAACTCCTGGGCTCAAGTGATCCTCTCGCCTCAGCCTCCCAAGTATCTGGGACTGCAGGCATGTGTCACTGTACCTGACTCATTTTTAATTTTTTTATTTTTTTGTAGAAACAGGTTCTCACTATGTTGCCAGGGCTGGTCTTAAATTCCTGGCTTCAAGTGATGCTCCCACCTCAGCCTCCCAGAGTGCTGGGATTACAGGCATGAGCTACTTCATCTGGTCTCTTGTAGCATATTTTTACTTTCCAAGAGTGTTTTTATTCTCTGAATGTTCATCTTTTTAGCTGTCTCCTGTTGTTCTTTCATTTACAATGTCTTTCCTTATTTCTCTGAGAACAGCAGTAACTTTTTAAAAAAAAACAGTGTGTTCTCTATTCTCTCCTAGTTGTTGGCTTATATGCAAGAGAGGGGCACCACAAATCTGGCTGACAGCTCTGAGCAGGTAGATGTGGGGCTTACTGGCTGGAAGGGACATAGGGGAACCCCACTCCCCAAGGAGACCCTTTTCTTAGGGTATGTGAGCAAGCAGCTTGAGTATGAGTGGATGCTGCAAACAGATCCATAGGGCAATGTGGCTAGGCCATTTTGGGGGCACTCTTCCTCCAAGCATGTTTCGTTCCATCGTCTGAATCCTGCAAGAAGGTAACTTCAGCCTCCTGCCAGCATCCTTGGGAAAGAGATTAACATCTCAGCATCCAATGGGACTGTTTACCTAATAACCCTGACTTTCTCAGTACGGTTTCTCACCCTTAACATAGCCTTCTGCCAGGATGGGAGAAGAAATCCAGAAGTAAGTCATGGCAGTGCATACTGTTGGCTCAGAATTCTGTGCAGACAGAGCCCACAGCAGCAGCCCTGCCCAGCATCTGCTTCTGAAACAGCCTCTCCAGCCTGGCTGGTGCCCTGCTCATTCACTTGCATGGCCAGAAGTACCAGGTACCTCCAACTCCTGAGTTTTTAGAATCTTCTTAGCCAGGCGCAGCCGCTCATGCCTGTAATCCCAGCACTTTGGGAGGCGGAGGCAGGTGGATTGTTTGAGTCCAAGAGTTCGAGACCATCCTGGGCAACATGGCAAAACCCTGTCTCTACTAAAAAATAATACAAAAAACTAGCTGGGCATGGTGGCACGTACTTGTAGTCCCAGCTACTTGGGAGGCTGAGGTGGGAGAATCACCCAAGCCAGGGAAGTCAAGGCTGCAGTGAGCTGAGATGGTGCCAGTGCACACCAGTCTGGGCAATGGGGGTGAGACCCAGTCTCAAAAAAAAAAAAAAGAGTCTTGGGAATAAAACTGTGCCTTTTCTTTGCAGCCAGAGAGGTTTATCTATCTATCTATTTATTTATGAAATGGAGTCTTGCTTTATTTATTTAAAGGACAGGGTTTTGCTGTTTTGCCCAGGCTGGTCTTGAACTCCTGACCTCAAGTGATCCTCCTGCTTCAGCTTTCCAAGTAGCTGCAATTACAGGCTCAAGTCACCACACCTGGCTCAGAGAGGTCTTTTTATGTCTTCATCAGGAGACTATTCTGAATAGCTAATACATTCATATGTTAGGAAATTCAAAAGGCACAAGACAGTATACAGTGGAATGCCCCTTCCCTGCCTGGGCCACACAGTCTTACTCTCCAGCAGCCAACACTGCTTGTTTCTTATGTGTCTTTGTAAAAAGATTCTGTACATACAGAAGCAAAGACATTCCCAGACACATGTTCATTCCCTTTTTTTTTTCTTTTGAGATGGAATTTCGCTCTTGTTGCCCAGGCTGGAGTGCAATGGCGCGATCTCGGCTCACTGCAACCTCCACCTCCCGGTTCAAGCCATTCTCCTGCCTCAGCCTCCCAAGTAGCTGAGATTACAGTCATGCTCCACCACGCCCAGCTAATTTTGTATTTTTTTAGTAGAGACGGGGTTTCCCCATGTTGGTCAGGCTGGTCTGGAACTCCCGACCTCAGGTGATCCGCCCACCTTTGCCTGCCAAAGTGCCGGGATCACAGGCGTGAGCCACCATGCCTGGCCCATTCCTCTTCTTTTTTTTTTTTTGAGACGGAGTCTCACTCTGTCGCCCAGGCTGGAGTGCAGTGGCACAATCTCGACTCACTGCAAGCTCCGCCTCCCGGGTTCACGACATTCTCCTGCCTCAGCCTCCCGAGTAGCTGGGACTACAGGCGCCGGCCACCACGCCTGGCTAAATATTTTGTATTTTTA
Organism: Homo sapiens; assembly: GCF_000001405.40. NCBI lineage: Eukaryota > Metazoa > Chordata > Mammalia > Primates > Hominidae > Homo > Homo sapiens. Next base: position 58,565,975 of record NC_000019.10, on the reverse strand, counting down.
GTAGAGACGGGGTTTCGCCGTGTTAGCCAGGATGGTCTCGATCTCCTGACCTCGTGATCCACCCGCCTCGGCCTCCCAAAGTGCTGGGATTACAGGCGTGAGCCACCGTGCCCAGCCCCATTCCTCTCCTTTAAAACACACATGGGCCCGGCGCGGCACGTCACGCCTGTAATCCCAGCACTTTGGGAGGCCAAGGCGGGCGGATCACGAGGTCAGGAGATCGAGACCATCCTGGCTAACACGGCGAAACCCCGTCTCTACTAAAAATACAAAATATTAGTCAGGCGTGGTGGCGGGCGCCTGTAGTCCCATCTACTCGGGTGGCTGAGGCAGGAGAATGGCGTGAACCCGGGAGGCGGAGCTTGCAGTGAGCTGAGATGGCGCCACTACACTCCAGCCTGGGCAACAGAGCGAGACTCCGTCTCAAGTGCGCACACACACACACGGGCTGGGCGTGGTGGCTCACACCTGTAATCCCAGCACTTTGGGAAGGCGAGGCGGGTGGATCATATGAGGTCAGGAGATCGAGACCAGCCTGGCCAACATGGTGAAACCATGTCTCTACTAAAAATACAAAAAATTGGCTAGGTGCGGTGGCTCACGCCTGCAATCCCAGCACTTTGGGAGGCTGAAGTGGGCAGATCACCTGAGGTCGGGAGTTCGAGACCAGCCTGACCAACATGGAGAAACCCTGTCTCTACTAAAAATACAAAATTAGCCGGGTGTGGTGGTGCATGCCTGTAATCCCAGCTACTCGGGAGACTGAGGCAGAAGAACCGCTTGAACCCAGGAGATGGAGGTTTGCAGTGAGCAGAGAACACGCCATTGCACTCCAACCTGGGCAACAAGAGCAAAACTACGTCTCAAAAAAAAAAAAAATACAAACAATTAGCCAGGCATGGTGGTGCACGCCTATAATCCCAGCTACTCAGGAAGATGAAGCAGCAGAATCGCTTGAACCCGGGAGGCAGAGGTTGCGGTGAGCCGAGATCACACCACTGCACTCCAGCCTGGGCGACACAGCAAGACTCAGTCTCAAAAAAAAAAAAAAAAAAAAAAAAAAAAAAAAAAAACACACACATGGATGCTTATTCTCCACCCTGTTCCACATCTGGCATTTTTTGTGCATCTTCCAACTTAAGTACACAGCAGCAAGTGCTCTACATCTTTGGGTAGCTACACAGAACCCCACTGTGGCTCACTGTGGACACACCATTGAAAACCTTGTATGTAGGTCACTTAGTACAAGGAGGAACACAACTGTTGAAGAAGTACCTAAAAATTGAATTACTTGAACAAAGTGTGGGACATTTGCTGTTTTGATGGATTTTACCACACTGTCTTCCCATTTATGCTTACCAGCAATACATAGGAACACTTGGGTCCCTGCAGTCAGGGTGTGGAAATGGCAGATGAGTTCAGCCCTAAGGTGCATTTTTCTTACTAGGAGGAGATGGAGTGTATTTTATGGGATATAAGCATTAGCTACATTTCCTGTCCTGTTCACATCCTTTGCCCATGTGTCTATGAGGTTATTGATCTTTCTTACTGATTTATTGTAGCTCTTTACTTAGGAGGTTAATTAGCCTTTTGCCTGTGGAGAGTTTTTTGGTTTGCCATTTGTCCTTTTTTAATTTTTTTTGTTTTTTGGCCATTTGTCTTTTGACTCTGATGTGGTTTTTGCTGATTTCCTTTGATGTATTCTAGTTTATCTGACTTTTCTTTGGCGACTTATGGACTTTCTCTCACCACTAAAAGCCCTCACTGCTCTCTCAGTCTTCTTGATTTAACCTCCTCCAGGCTTCCGCCTTCTCCAGGCCCTGATTCTCAGTTGGAGTTGCTGGTGCCTCCTCCTTCACCCAGCGTCTGACGCTGGAGTGCTCACAGTGTGGCTGGGACCCACTTCTCTCCTCTGTAGATACCCACCCCTGTGTTGATCACTTGCAGGCCCGGGTTCTGTGTGCCATGTGTATGCCCTAGAGCCCTTGCTCACGTTTCCCCACAGCCTTCATGAAGTCTGTGTTCCTCAGATGCCCCACAGACATCACAAGCAAGGCACATCCAAACCCCAGACCACTATCCAGGAGCCTGCACCCTCTTTCTGTTGGCTCCACCTCCAGCCTCCGAGACCCACCCACTTCCCTGCATTTGCTGAGACCATCATTTTCCACCTAGACAATGCCCCCACGCTTGCCCTACAGCCCTTCCAAAAACGATTTTTTCCAACCTAAATCAGACCTAGAAAGCTTTTTCACATAGCCCAGTCTTCCTCCTTGTGCTGGGTTCTGTCTCATTATCACCTCATCAGGGAAGTCTGTACAGATAGAATCCCTACCCCTGCATTTGTCGCCTCCGTCTGCCTCTTTGGTCAGTTTCAGGTCCCTGTAGTTCACACTGTGTCCCCAGGGATGAAGTGGGTCCCGGCACGGTGGGCATTCTGTCATGAATGAATGGTCCCCTTGTGTATGCAGGGTTCGCGCTGCAGCTAGGCAGCATCTCCGCAGGTCCAGGTAGTGTAAGCCCTCACCTCCACGTCCCCTGGGACCTCGGCATGGCTGGCCTTTCTGGCCAGATCCAATCACCCTCCCGCGAAGGTGGCTTTGCGCATGCGCTTCTGCTCCCCAGCGATCTGAGGAGTGAACAGGACCCCACGGACGAGGATCCCTGCCGGGGTGTGGGCCCTGCTCTGATCACCACCCGCTGGCGCTCCCCCAGGGGCCGGAGCCGGGGCCGCCCCAGCACTGGGGGCGGGGTGGTTAGGGGCGGCCGTTGCGATGTATGTGGCAAGGTGTTCAGCCAACGCAGCAACCTGCTGAGGCACCAGAAGATCCACACGGGTGAGCGACCATTCGTGTGCAGCGAGTGCGGCCGCAGCTTCAGCCGCAGCTCGCACCTGCTGCGCCACCAGCTTACGCACACCGAGGAGCGGCCGTTCGTGTGCGGCGACTGTGGCCAGGGCTTCGTGCGCAGCGCGCGCCTGGAAGAGCATCGGAGAGTGCACACGGGCGAACAGCCTTTCCGTTGCGCTGAGTGCGGCCAGAGCTTCCGGCAGCGCTCCAATCTGCTGCAGCACCAGCGCATCCACGGCGATCCCCCGGGCCCTGGCGCTAAGCCCCCGGCCCCTCCTGGTGCGCCCGAGCCTCCCGGCCCCTTTCCGTGCAGCGAGTGCCGCGAGAGCTTCGCGCGGCGCGCCGTGCTGCTGGAGCACCAGGCGGTACACACGGGCGACAAGTCCTTTGGCTGCGTCGAGTGCGGCGAGCGCTTCGGCCGCCGCTCAGTGCTGCTGCAGCACCGGCGCGTGCACAGTGGCGAGCGGCCCTTCGCCTGTGCCGAGTGCGGCCAGAGCTTCCGGCAGCGCTCCAACCTGACGCAGCACCGGCGCATCCACACCGGGGAGCGGCCCTTCGCCTGCGCCGAGTGTGGCAAGGCCTTCCGCCAGCGGCCTACGCTCACGCAGCATCTCCGCGTACACACGGGCGAGAAACCCTTTGCCTGCCCCGAGTGTGGCCAGCGCTTCAGCCAGCGCCTCAAGCTCACGCGTCATCAGAGGACACACACCGGCGAAAAGCCCTACCACTGCGGTGAGTGCGGCCTGGGCTTCACGCAGGTCTCGCGGCTCACCGAGCACCAGCGCATCCACACGGGCGAACGGCCCTTCGCCTGCCCCGAGTGCGGCCAGAGCTTTCGGCAGCACGCCAACCTCACCCAGCACCGGCGCATCCACACGGGTGAACGGCCCTACGCATGCCCTGAGTGTGGCAAGGCCTTCCGCCAGCGGCCCACGCTCACGCAGCATCTGCGCACCCACCGACGAGAGAAGCCCTTCGCCTGCCAGGACTGTGGCCGCCGCTTCCACCAGAGCACCAAGCTCATTCAGCACCAGCGCGTCCACAGCGCCGAGTAGCTCCAGCCGGGACGCACTGTGTCCGCCATGGTCAGAACACCTACCTCCCCTGGTTATTGTGAGGCTGGCGATTACATAAGTATAAGCAGGTCCGCCCAGGGCTTGGCTACTGTAGGTGTCCAATAAACAGTAGATGGAAACTGGGTCTCCACCCACTCAGTGCCTCCCTACCTGTGCGTCCTTCACTCCCCACCCTCCAGCCCCCCGAGTGCTGGGCTGGTGTGCTCCCTCTGTAACCACGTGGTTCCTGTGAGGGTTCACCTCCACAACACCCCTCTTCACCCTGAGAGAGGTGGCTCCTAGCATCACCTACCCCGCGTGTGGGATGGCCGCTATACCCAGCTTCTAGTTTACAGAGGGAATGGACCAGCAGCAGGTGGGGCAGAACTGCCCTGGGCAGTCCAGCTTCAGCTCTCCCTGGGCAATGGACCTCGGTTTCTCAAACCCAGAGAGGAAGAAATGTTCTCTGTGAGCATCCACCAAGAGTACATATGTGCATAGCATGGTGCCATGCCTGATCTGATTGAGTCCCATCAAGAGACAGAGCACAGCTAACTAGGTGTTAGGTGATTGATGGGAGAGTGAGAAGGTTAAGTCAATCTGTCTTAGAAATGGGAAAGTTCCTGCAGGAAGCAGCTAGACCCTTAGGACTAGAGGAACAAAGGGAAGCATTGCAACTTAGAAGCTCCAATGAGTTTCCCATGGAGCTGGAACTCAGGCCCCTGAGAAGAGGGCACTGCTGAGCCAGTCCTGGGGTCTCTTAGCTGGCAGGGAAGCCCTGTGGGCCTGAGGGGGTACTGCTCAGCTGGTCTGGAGGTCTCTGTTCTCAAGAGGGTGCCCCATAGGCCTAGGAGACTCCTGAGGGGGCACTGGTGTGGGTGTCTCCAAGGGGCCCAGTGAGCCTGGTTCTGGGAGGTATGTAAAAACTGTTGCTCCTGGAAGGACCTGCTGTTGCCAAGGGGAAGAGGTGGTGCTGGCCTAGTCTCTTCTCCCTTTCCAACCCCTGTTCCAGCCTGCCCTTAACAGATCTGCAAGTGAAGAGAGGTGTTTGTAGTCTCTGCCCTGCACAGTGATGCCTAGGTGGGTAGGTCTGGAGCCCAGCCTTGTCTGGTGATGAAATCCCATGGGATTTTCCCTTGACACTGAGACCAGGGCCTCCAAGGGCTGGGAGAACACTCAATCCTCAGGGAGGTTACCAGCCTCCTGAGCACCAGTCCTCCTTGCTCCAAGTCAGCGTTAATGATTCATTCCCATGATACTACCTCTCCCACCCCAGCTCAGCTGTACAGCTACCCTTACCCTAACAGCACCCTACTCCCTAAAGTGGTCCTGAGCGGCCAAAGCTTTCTACCTTTATCTACCTATCAGTAGGAGTACCCGCTGAAGAGTTGTACTCATGGGGACATTCAGCATCTCACCCTTAGTACTAGAGGAACAAAGGGAAGCAGTGGGGTCACAGCACTTCTTACAGCTGGGAGCCAAGGATCCCACTTGGATCTGCCAACCCCCAGGTTTGTGGGTGGTACTGTGCCTAAACTTGATGCCTGCAACCTGCATGCTCCCCTCCACACCCTGTCACGGCTGTCCCCTGGGCCATGGGCCAAGCCAAACCCCAGGAAAGGACCCAGACAGGCCAGAATCTCCCTAGCCAACCAAGATTATGCGATCCAGCAGGAGCAAACTGACACCTGGTGATCCAGATTCTGCCTCAGGATGTCTTTGTAAAACTCCTTTACACCTAGGAAACCATTTCCTAGTTTTAAAACTAGAAGATTTCACCTGGAAATTCAGATTTTTCAAGACTTTCCTGTTCTCGTGTTCACAAGCAGCAGGTGATGAGGGTGTAGGACCCTGCAGATGGAACCCCAGCCAGTCTGAGAAGCAAAGGCTGCAGGCCCTGGGCCAGTTTCCCTGCCCTGTGGTGATCATTCCCATCGCTAGAGCTGAAGGCTTCTCCCACCCTGGCCCCATGCACATTGGAAGGTTTCAGTCAGGAGTAGATTCAGCAGCAAACCAGTGGAAACGCAGCTTAGGTGAAAGTGGACAGATGCTGAGAGCATAAGTTCAGCATACTGCAGGCTTCAGGGCAGCGTCTCCAGGACCCAGTGCCATTGCCTGTTTTGCCCTAGCCATCTTCCCCTTCCATCCCATTGTCCAGGTCCTTCACACAGCCCCTCTCCCCCAACCCTCCAGTGGGTGACTTGGGTGCAGGTAACACAGGCTGAAAGGCAGTTTCAAAGAAGGGGCTTGGCCTTGGCCAGAAGCCACTCCTGGGGGAGCATCTGCAGAATCAGAGGAGTGGCGCCTGGGCCCCTCCGCAGGCAAGTGCCACACCATGCGCTCACGGGGCTGGCAGTTTCCGTGGTGACGGCCGGAAGTCGCTGACCGGCAGAGTTCCGTTTCCTCCCGCCCTCCGAGGCACGCTGAGCTGTGATTGGATGGGAAGCTGACCCCCGCCTCCATCCCCTTTTCCAGATAGTGGGGGAAGCGCAGAGGCTGCAGTGCGTGTCCGCTGGAACTTGAGGCCCACGCCAATAGCGGCCCGATTCCGCCCCCACGTCGCGTTCCCCAAGTGTCCACCCCGACAGGTCTTCCCCTACACCACTGTAACCCTCCACAGTGCTTACCACTCTCTGGCACAATACATGTTTTGTTAGTTTACCTCAATCAGAATCTCCAGGAACGGGGATCTTTGGGTTTGCGATGGGACAGGGAAGGTACTCGACCTCGCACCCTCTGGGTAACGCATCTAGTCTCACTCAGGGTCTTGCCGCGATCACCCTGCCTTGTCTGTGACCCATAGGGTCAAAGGCAGGCCGGGCGGGTGGCGGCAGCAGCGGAGGTGACCACCCGCGCCGCGCTCTGCACATATATACAACTTAAGATGAAGTGACCGCGAGCAAAAGCGGCCCACGTCTGCCCCACTCAAAGATGGCGACTAACTCCGCTTCCTGCCCGGCCCCGCGAAAGTCGCCGGAAGTGACCTGCAAGGCCGCCGAAGCGTCATCTCCATGAACGGAAATGCCCGAGTCCAGCCGAAGGAGGCCGAACCCCAAACTCCATCGCTGAGCAACGCGGGTTTGCGGCGGCTGCGCAGGCGCACAACGCAGGCCGGGCGGGAAGAGCCAAAGCGGGCAGGCGGCGGAAATATCCGAAGCGGCGGGGCGCCCGAGGCCGTTGCCGACCTCCGCGCTAAAGCCGCTGCTGCCGCGGAAGACGATCCTCCAGTACCCGCCCGCCGTCACCGCAGCTGCCGTGTCCTCCTCCCACCCCTAGCCGCACCCCCTCGCGGAGGGATCAGCTGAGCGGCCAAACGGCACGGTCGGGGGAGCCCCGAGTCCGCAGCTGCAGCGGGGCCTGAGACCAGAGTTGGCGAGGGCAAGGAAGGAGCGGCCCCGGGCAGTGGGGGCGGGGCCGGGCGGGCCCGAGAACAGCCGAATTTGGCCGAGCGCTGCCGAGCGAGTCCGAGGCGCTGGGCCAGGCCGGAGCCGGACTACGGGAGCCGAGGCGGGCCGCGCGGTGGGCGCGGAGAGGAGCGGAGCGGCGCGGCAGGCCGGGCGGGTGGCGGCAGCAGCGGAGGAGGCCGCAGCTGCGGGTCCGAGGAGCGGAGGCGACGCGGGCGGCGGCGGGGGGCCGGGTGGCCGGGGTCCCGGGCCCCGCGGCGGCGGCAGCGGCGGCGGCGGCGGCAGGATGATCAAGCTGTTCTCGCTGAAGCAGCAGAAGAAGGAGGAGGAGTCGGCGGGCGGCACCAAGGGCAGCAGCAAGAAGGCGTCGGCGGCGCAGCTGCGGATCCAGAAGGGTAGGGGGTCAGGGGATGGGGTTGGAGCCGGAGGTCGGAGGTCAGGGCCTGAGGCAGGGTGATGTGGGAGTCAGGAAGGGGTAATGCGGTTGCTGAGGGTCAGAGGTGAAGGGCCCCGAGCGTGGGGGGGGTCGGAGGTCAAGTCTTGAGGGTTGGGATCATGCAGTCACGGGGAGGGGGTCAGAGATAGGGGCCCGGTATGTGGTGGTTTAGGATATTAGGAAGGCCTGGTGTCTGCTACTAGGGACTCGGAATCTCAGAGTCAGGCAGTGGAGTGGAGGAACTGACGACTCGAGAGTCTGGGGGTTAGACGGGAACTTGGGTTTGGGGTGACAGGCGGAGAAGAGAGGGATAGTAGAGGCCAGGGGTTGGGGATATGAGTGGAAGAGGATTTAGTTTATTATGCTGGGGTCTCTGGGAATCTCTGAGTCAAACGGGTGAAGTAGGTTGGAGGACCAGGGACTCATGGGCCTGCCTGAGTCACAGCAATTTGGGGTTTGGGGTGACAGGTGGAGGAGGGAAGGTTAATGAGTACCAGGGATTGGAGACAGGGGTGAGGGGAAATTTAGGCTATTGTGCTGTGAACCTCAGAGTCAGAGGGGGTGGGGTAGGGTGGCGGGGGTTGGGGACTTGAGAGTGTGGGGGTCACATGGAAAGCTGGGTCTGAGAGACAGAGAAGAGGAAGGACAGTGAGGACTGAGGGTTGGTGGGGGTGGGCAGGATCTTTGAGTTTGGGTGAACAGGTAGATACTGTAGAGTGGAGGTCATGGATGGGGAGCCTGGGGTTTAGGGCGGTCAGAGGATGTTTGGGAGTGGGGGCATTTGGGAGCTGTGGATACAGAAAAGTTGGGGGTCACCCTGGGCCAGGAGTTGGGACACGCATACACAGCTGAACATGCATGTTTGGGGTATGCTGTGTATCCACAAGAGCCAAGCTGGGGAGCAGGGAGAGGGCTGGAGGTGTGGAGCACAGCCCAGGAGAGGCGCCTGGGGGTCCAGGAGGAGACGATGGGGGCTCTGCTAACAAACACCCGCCCTAAGTGTCCTGCTGGCTCCCTCTCTCTCTCTCTTCCCCTCCCTCTTTCTGTTCCCGACTCTCTGCTACCCAAACCCAGACATAAACGAGCTGAACCTGCCCAAGACGTGTGATATCAGCTTCTCAGATCCAGACGACCTCCTCAACTTCAAGCTGGTCATCTGTCCTGATGAGGTGAGGGTGCATATGGCTGAATTCCCAGGAGCAAACCAAGGGTGTCCCCACTGAGAGGAGGGAGACATGTTCTGCCCATCGGGCCCCACAGGATGGAACCCTAAAATTTTCTTCTCCCCCTTTTCCTCCCAGGGCTTCTACAAGAGTGGGAAGTTTGTGTTCAGTTTTAAGGTGAGTCCCAGGCGGGCAGGGATGGCTCCCTGGACAGAGGAGGCAGCAGCTGAGGCCCTTCCAGGCACCTACCCATCTCTCTTTTCTTTTCCTGGAGCCAGGTGGGCCAGGGTTACCCGCATGATCCCCCCAAGGTGAAGTGTGAGACAATGGTCTATCACCCCAACATTGACCTCGAGGGCAACGTCTGCCTCAACATCCTCAGGTGAGGACACTGGCCCTCTAATGCCCTCCTCAGCGCTGCCTGCCAGGCCTCCCTCATGGTCTTGTGGGCACTACATCAGACTCTGTCCCTTCCCACCCCTTTGTTGTCTGTGGTTTCTTGATTTCCCAGTCATCTTCCTCATGGCCTGACCTTGGTTTTCTCCTTGGCCTGTCCTGCTCCACACCCTCCCTCCCAGCCTCTCACATGCTCACTCTCCTATGCCCTGGATCTGACCTGCCCAACACCAGAGGGGCCTGTGGCAGTCTCCCACTCACCAAGCCCTGACCCTGATGCTCTCTGTCCACAGAGAGGACTGGAAGCCAGTCCTTACGATAAACTCCATAATTTATGGCCTGCAGTATCTCTTCTTGGTGAGTAGGAATAGGTGGTTGGGTCTGGGGAGATTGGCCTTCTGTCCCTCTGGCCTGTTGACCCCCCCTACCTGTACTGGCCACAGGAGCCCAACCCCGAGGACCCACTGAACAAGGAGGCCGCAGAGGTCCTGCAGAACAACCGGCGGCTGTTTGAGCAGAACGTGCAGCGCTCCATGCGGGGTGGCTACATCGGCTCCACCTACTTTGAGCGCTGCCTGAAATAGGGTTGGCGCATACCCACCCCCGCCACGGCCACAAGCCCTGGCATCCCCTGCAAATATTTATTGGGGGCCATGGGTAGGGGTTTGGGGGGCGGCCGGTGGGGGAATCCCCTGCCTTGGCCTTGCCTCCCCTTCCTGCCACGTGCCCCTAGTTATTTTTTTTTTTTTAACACCATGTGATTAAGGTCGGCGCTGCCTCCCCCGACCCACTCAGCGATGGGAAATGAATTGGCTTGTCTAGCCCCCCTGCTGGGTGCTTGTTCAGCCCCCACTCTGGGCTGTGGAGTGGGTGGGCAACGGGCCTGGGTAGCTGGGCCCAGGCAACCCACCCCTCCACCTCTGGAGGTCCCACCAGGCTATTAAAGGGGAATGTTACTGCATGGCCTCTGCTTCTTACTTCTATGGGGTGGGAGGGGCAGCTGAGGTCCATTAGGGCCTGCAAAGCTGGGGTGGTGGAAGGTGTGGTCACAGGTGGCATTGGAGCACCCTACAACAGGCTGCCCAGTGCCTGGGGCAGCTCTAAAGTTGGTGGGGATACCATGACTGTGCCTGGGGTTGGTTGGGATGAAGCCTACTCTAGGATGAGAAGCGTAGGCAGGATCCAGTGACCTGTGGCTTCCTGGCCAAGAGGCCAGCAAAGTGGAAGAAACAAGCCATCTCTAGCTTTGCCCCTTTCTTGTGTGGGTGGGCCCACCGAGGAGGAGGAGCCTTCTGAGGCTCCTTCTATCTGAGGCCTCAGGCAGAAGTCAAGGTCTCACGAATAAGCTGGGTCCTCAAGTGGAGGTTGGGTGGAAAGCGCCCACCCCGGTACTGGCTTGGGTCACTCGGGCGGGACTCAAAACATGAAACACTCGGACGCGCAGAGGAAACGGGAGCTGTTGCGCATGCGCTCGGACGCTGGCCCGTTCCGGGGCACGGGCGCACGCGCGCTCCTGGAGTTTCCCAACCTTCCGGGTGCGGGCGGGGCATGTTACGTCACGTCGTTTAATCCGGAAACGGCGGCGGCGGCGACAGGACCGAGGGGCCTTAGTTGGTGGGCAAGTCGGGGATCCCAGAAAGAGAAGCGTGACCCGGAAGCGGAAACGGGTGTCCGTCCCAGCTCCGGTGAGTGGCCCCTGCTGGACCGTGGATCCCGGGCGGGCGTGCGGGCGGCAGCGTACGAGGCCTTCTACTCGCCCGGGTGTCCGGTGCCTCGCTTCTCCCTGGGACCCTGTCGTCAACATCGAGGTCTCCAACACCACCTTGCTTTGGTGCCGGGCCCACTGACTGTCCTCGGTGTATAGTGCGACCGAATCTCCATCATCCCGTCCTCAGTGTACAGGATGCCCCAGCGCCCCCAACCGTCTCCCTCAGCATTCAGGGTCCCCAAATCCTAATGCCTTGTCCTGAGCTTCACAGCCCCACATTCACCTGTTCTTGGTACTTAGCGTTTCCGCCCATCCTGTCCTCCTCTATCAGAACCCCCACAATTGCTCTGTCCTCGGTGCCCACAGTCTCCAAAACACCAGTGCACCGGCCCGCGTCATCCCCCGCTCTCAGTCGTATCAAGGACTCCAGGGCCTCACCCATAGTTCTGGAGAGGGAAGCTGAACTTGCAAGCCATAACTTCTTTTGGGGCATGGCGATGAAGGAGGGGCTCGGGCCAGCACTTGGATAATTTTCAGGTCTACCTGTCCCCCTTTATGTGTCCCCGGGACAATCCCAGTGTTCTCAGCTGCTCCCTTTTGGCTCCTCATTCCTGCCTCCAGTCTCCGTTAGCCCCTTCCCATTTGGCAAGGCTCCCGTGACCCTGTTCTGCTTCTTGCCCTCCTGGGCCCCATGCCCTACAACTGGGCCTCACTCACATCTGTCTCAGGCCTGCCAGTGAGCTTCTACCATCATGGACCTATTGTTCGGGCGCCGGAAGACGCCAGAGGAGCTACTGCGGCAGAACCAGAGGGCCCTGAACCGTGCCATGCGGGAGCTGGACCGCGAGCGACAGAAACTAGAGACCCAGGAGAAGAAAATCATTGCAGACATTAAGAAGATGGCCAAGCAAGGCCAGATGGTGAGTGTGGGTGGTCGGGCAGGTTGCTGTCAATCAGGCACGGCTCTAACAGCAGTGAACAAGAGAGACCAGACACCAAACACAGGTGCTTTCAGCAAAACGAGTGGAGTGAAAGGTCAGCAGGGCTTCCCTAGTTTGAGGGTCTGGAAGGCTGCCTCCAAGGAACTGGTATGAGATCCAAGGCTTGAGTGATGAGAGTGAGCCTACAGATCTGGGCAGGGAATGTGTTAAGCAGACAGAGCAGCAAATGTTAAAAAAGAGCCTCAAAAAAATGGGAGATGACAGGTGAGCTTCAAGAGTTGGGCATGGACCAGACAATTCAGAACTCTGGGCCAAAGTGGGAGCTAAGTTGGAAGGTTAGGGATTACAGGGCCGGGCGCAGTAGCTCAGAGACCTGTAATCCCAGCACTTTGGGAGGCAGAGGTGGTTGGATCACCTGAGGTCAGGACTTCGAGACCAGCCTGACCAACACAGAGTAACCCCGTCTCTACTGAAAATAAAAAAAACTAGCCAGGCATGGTGGCGCACGCCTGTAATCCCAGCTACTCAGCAGGGCTGAGGCAGGACAATCTCTTGAACCCAGGAGGCGGAGGTTACAGTGAGCCAAGATCATGCCACTGCACTCCAGCCTGGGTGACAGAGCGAGACTCTGTCTCAAAAAAAAAAAAAAAAACCAGTTAACTATAAGGATAAGCTGGCCCGGCATGATGGCTCAAGCCTGTAATCCCAGCACTTTGGGAGGCTGAGGTGGGTGGATCACCTGAGGTCAGGATTTCGAGACCAGCCTGGCCAACATGGCAAAACCCCACTCTACCAAAAATTAGCCGGGCATGGTGGTGCATACTTGTTATCCCAGCTATTCGAGAGGCTGAGGCAGAAGAATCGCTTGAGGCCGGGAGGCACAGTTTGCAGTGAGCCAAGATTGTGCCACTGCACTCCAGCCTAGGCAACAAAGCAAGACTCCAACTCAAAAAAAAAAAAAAGGTAAGGGTAAGCTATAAGCTATGGCCAAGAGGCTGGTAAGAGACAGCCGGAACCAGTAGGGAGAGCATGAAGAAGGAACACAGCCTTTGATGGGTGAGAGGGTTTTGGCCTGAACAGGTAGGCAGAGAAGATACCATTTCTTGGGATGGGCAAGAAAGATGTTTGGAGAGGAAATCAAAAGCTGAGCCTCAGATAGGTCTGTATGTGATTCTGGATAGTTCGAGGTATGGGTTTGTATCAGGTGAAGGAAGAGACAGATTCTTTGTCTAGGCTGGGAATAAAAATTGAGGAATGGCTGTTGTAAGTCAAAAGAATGACTGAAAACATGGAGGGAAAAGGAACCCTCAGGAGTGAGCCTGGGGCCTTTCTTTTACCATTTACAGATCAAGAGAAGTGAGGAGGACCTTACAAAGGAGCCCAGGGAGTTGGTGGCCCAAGAGGCAGAGGAGGGTTAGGTCAGAAGGAGGGAGGGACCAGTGACCATTGGGTTAGCCAGAGTCTCTGGAAACTTCAAGTGGAATTGCAAATTGGGCTGGTGGGGAGGGACAACCAACTAATGGGGTGTCAAGAAGTGTAGGATAATCTCATTCCTGTGTCCTTGATACCCTTGTCTACTCTGCAGGATGCTGTTCGCATCATGGCAAAAGACTTGGTGCGCACCCGGCGCTATGTGCGCAAGTTTGTATTGATGCGGGCCAACATCCAGGCTGTGTCCCTCAAGATCCAGACACTCAAGTCCAACAACTCGATGGCACAAGCCATGAAGGGTGTCACCAAGGCCATGGGCACCATGAACAGACAGGTGCGCTTTTCCCAATCCCCCTTCCCACTCCCACGACCCATGGGGATCACACTCACACTCCTGTCACTTCCAGCTGAAGTTGCCCCAGATCCAGAAGATCATGATGGAGTTTGAGCGGCAGGCAGAGATCATGGATATGAAGGAGGAGATGATGAATGATGCCATTGATGATGCCATGGGTGATGAGGAAGATGAAGAGGAGAGGTATGGGGAAACTGGATGGGAGGGTGGAGATGTTTGCCTGGCCCTCACGGAGTGCATAGCCCTCACTGAGTTCTCTCTCTTCCCTAGTGATGCTGTGGTGTCCCAGGTTCTGGATGAGCTGGGACTTAGCCTAACAGATGAGCTGTCGAGTGAGTGCTCCAAATCCTGGACCCCATTTCCCACCCAAGGCCCAGCCACAGCTCCAAGCCCTCCCTTTCCCTGCATTACTCCCCTCCGCTGCCTGACCCCACCTGCTCAAACCCCCACTTTCTCTGCAGACCTCCCCTCAACTGGGGGCTCGCTTAGTGTGGCTGCTGGTGGGAAAAAAGCAGAGGCCGCAGCCTCAGCCCTAGCTGATGCTGATGCAGACCTGGAGGAACGGCTTAAGAACCTGCGGAGGGACTGAGTGCCCCTGCCACTCCGAGATAACCAGTGGATGCCCAGGATCTTTTACCACAACCCCTCTGTAATAAAAGAGATTTGACACTAGTCTCCAGGCCCATGTGACTTTTGGCCTGATGTGGGACCAGACTGGGGTCCCTGGGAGGATGGGCATCACTAAGGCAAGAGGCACTTGGTACTAAGCTAAGGGTGGGGGTTTGGGGCAGGGGTGAACAAGCAAAGTCCACCTGGGATTTTCAGGAGCTGGGAGCTTCAGGTGAGCTGTGGGCCCTTCTCCATCACCTCTCCCAAGATACTGGACTGCCCAAACACCCTGGTAGGATCTTGAGAGTCCAGGCCTCATCTGCCAGGCTGTAGTGTCCAACACTGTTTGGTCCAGTGATGGTTTAATGACAACACTCAAGGACAGTCCAGACCAACCAATAGAGGCAAGGGGGTGGCCTTGGGATTCACACAGGCTCGACTGTAGAGTAACTAAATCATAACACAGAGATGAATGATAATGTTAAGTGGACTCAGCAAAGGGAGACAGGGAAAAAAACCACATCTGGAAGGTCTCAGTTCACTGTGGGACCTTCTGAAGATGAGAAACAGCTACAGCACCAAAATTTAGGAAGCATTCAGTAGAGTGGCTGTGCTACACCTGGGGCTAACCCTGCCTACACAGGGATGTAGGTCACACCTACCCAGTATCCCACAGGGTACCCAACAAGCCTCTAGTGTGTACATCCTTTGCCCTGGGTGACCCTCCCCATACCCAGAAAGGGCAAGGAGGCAGTCTTCCCCACTCCCTAGGCATCCATACACATGGGCTTCGATAGGTGGGGGACAAGACCCCCCTCCCTTGTGCCACCAGTGCTTGATAAGGCTGACTAGTAGATACAGTCAATAAACCAGGCCCCAGGACCACAGTCCCCCAACCAGCCAACGCCTGAGGAACTGGTGAAGTTTTTATTAAATCCACAGAAGTAAAAACCATATCGTGAGGAACTGGGGGATGGGGCCACCAGGGAGTGGGAGTCAGGCCACCAGGGGAGTGGGGATGGGGTGACAGGACAGAGAACAGAGCCAGGCTGGGCTGGCCATGGGGGCTCCAGCCTCAGGGGCCATCACCAGGGCCACCAGACAGCTCCTGGGAACTCAGGCCAGCACCAGGCAGGCTCATCGGCGGGGGCTCCACCAGCACAGCAGAGAACTTGGTGTCACCGAAGGCCTCGTTCATGCGCGTCTCGAAGAAGCGCTGCAGGCCGATGATGGACTGCACGTCTGCCTTGTCCTGGGCCAAGCAGGAATGCAGTGGATGAATGGGTCCTAGTTCTTTCCTTCACATCTCCCCCTGCCCACAGCCTCTCCATTCCACTGGCTCACCTCAGTTAACTTGTTGAATTGCTTGAACATGCGGCCCACATCCTGGGCAAACTCCTGTGGGGAGCTGTAGGGAGGTGACAACTTCTCCTGGAGGCGGGCACGGATCAGGGTCAGATCCAGGGTGCCACCGGGCTGGTCCTGCAGGCAGAGATCACACATACACACACAAAGACACACATATACATGCACAGGTTGAGGGCGAGACCCAGCAGCCACCACCCCCTTCCCCTTTCCCATCCTAGGACTCACCAGGGAGAAGGTGGAGTCGGTAGCCAGCTGATGCAGGGGGCGGCAGGGTTCGTGACAGAATAGGGCCAGCAGTACACGCTCACATTTCTACAAACATTGTAAGGGATGTCACAGCTCTGGGCAGCACCTATAAAGCCTCTCTGGGCAACCCCACCTAAGTAACCCCAGCCCTCACCCGCTGGTTGGCTGGTGAGAGCTTGGCCACCACGCCAGTGCTGTCTGCACCATCCAGGCTGAGGCTGCCATCCTCCTCCTTCAGGTCAGGGAGCACATGGCAGAGTGAGCAGCTCCACTCCTCCCTAGGGTGAAGAAAATAAGGGTCTGCACATGATCCTGTCCAGACAGCCCAACACCCAGACTTGACCCCCACCAGCCTCACACTCACCCTGGTACATCCTGCAGGGCCGGCAGGTGACAGTCCAGGTGGAAACAAAACTCACACTGGTTGCACATAACCAGATCGCCTGGCTTCTGGCAGACACGGCAAATGGTGGCACTGTCATCCAGGGTTCCCGGGCCACCACCTGGGGCTGAGGTACCCTCAGGAGCCACCACCTCCAGCCCTGAGCTGGTGCTGCCACTAGGTGAGGCCAGGCGGGGACCCTCAGCACCAGGACCCTCCGCAAGAGCCATAAGCACAGGTTTGGTCTCAGGGCCCTCAGTGGCAGTAGGAGGGGCTCCAATGGCAGCCTCCGTCTCCTCCTCCTGCAAGGTGGTGATGAGGGGTGTTCAACAGGGTCCAGACCTGGACTACAGGCTTCATCCTACAGCTATAGTTCCTTGGGACAGGCTTACCTTGACAATGGCCATGCCAGCCAGGGGTGGGGCACCAGGGGTTCCTGCAGGCGCAGTCCCTGGCTGGCCGGTAGCTGCAGCGGCAGCGCCACGTTCAATAACAATAAGGTTGTAGTCCTCAGTGGTACTGCCTGGGAAGACCTTGAAGACGGGTGGCTGGCTGTCAGCTGTGAGGTCCAGGTCCAGGCGTTCAAGGCTCACTCGTGGCACCTTGCGCATAAGGCCGCTCACCTCGCCCTCACCTGAGCGGGACCTGTAGATGCAGCAACCTGGCATGAGTACACCCCCACCCTCCATCCACCTCACCCCCAGGGGAGGTGCCATACTTACCGTTTCACACCTGACACATGGGGCTCTGCACTTGAGTAGGGATCATCTCCTTAGAAAATGGAGAAAGAAGACTGGCAGGTTGGGGTAGAAACAGCACTGGGGCCCTTCCCCACCCACTAGGCAGACCCACTCACCTGACCCAAAGCCATAGCCTTCCTGCACCTCCATGGGCTGTGAACAAAGCAGAACCCTCTGCCTCAGTGGGACAGGAACCCTACTGGACCCCATTCCCTGCCCACCCCCCCTGCCTGGGTCCTCTCTCCTGCTACTGGACCCCATTCCCTGCCCACCCCTTCCTGGGTCCTCTCTCCTGCTCACCTGGCTGCTGCCAGAGCCCTGCTTGCTCAGGGGCCCTGGGGCTCTTGGAGGGGCCATGGGTGCAGGGCCTGTTGAGTTAGTGCCAGGACGCTCTGCCACAATCTTGCCTGCAAAAAGAAGAGAGAAACGTAAGTAGGTGCAGCACGTGGGGTAATAACAGAGTGAGGTAAAGCTGGGGACCCACCAAAGGCCTCGGCACTCTTGGTCCAGGCATTGAGGTCCCACTGAAACTTCATCTCGCCATGTGGCTCCACGGGATCCACAATCATCTTGAGGGCCCGGTGCAGCTGGAAGTAGATCTGGTTGGGAGTGAAAGGGAGGAAAGAATGAGCACACCAACAACAAATAGGGATTTGAGGTATTGGGAACCACCTGCCTGGAACCCACCAGCCAGGAGCCCACCAGTACACACCAACTTCTTAGAAAGCAAAAGGGCTGTGTTGTTGTCACTCTCCAGAGCCCAAGAGGCAAAGCGCAGAATGTGCTCCTGGTGCTTCTGGATCTTGGTCATGGTCCAGTGCTGCCGCTCCAGGCGCTCCTGCTGCCCCTCAGTCACCTTCTGCAGATAGAAGGTGTATGAGGTAAGCAGAGAAGGCAGAAGAATACTAGGATCACTCCTCACCCCAGACAGCATCATCAATCAGCAGAGGGGGCTCAGGGACCCTTCTCACCGGCACAAGGCTTACCTGGGCATCATTGACCAGCACACGGCCCCGCTTATTCAGCTCCTTCATGATCTGCAGGATGGCCATCTTGACATCCACTTGCACACGCTTCTGTACGTCAGACACCTGGCGGATTCTAGGGGACACAGCAGGTCAGGCTAGGTAGGGTCTTGCTGCCCTGGGCCACCCCCACAGCCCCAGAACCCACACTTACGAGCTGCGAACCTCCTTGGTGCTCTTCTGCAATGTTGCATGTTTGTCCCCAAGGCGCTTCACCAGTGAGGCCAGGAGCTTGCGCTGGTTCCTCACTGCATCCTCTAAGAACTGGTACCTGAGAGCAGACAGATGTGTTCCTGAGCACTAAGCTACGGAAGGGGTGGCACCCACCCACCCAACCACTATGCCTTGGGACTCACTGGTGGTCCTTGTGGGCATTGAGCTGGCAGTCTCGGCAGGTGAGAGTATCACAGCTCTCACAAAACAGCACAAGGGGTTCATGCTTGTGTACGTTGCAATAGACAGTACGTTCACCATCCCGAGACTTGGCTGGCCCTGGGGAGTGGGAATCATAAGGCTGGACCTTGCCCTTCACCACCCCCAACTCAGGAAGCAGAATGAGTTGGGGCCTCATTTCCGGCCTGTTCTGTGACACTGGGCCATTTATTGGGAAGATGTAGAGGGTGTGGCCAGGGAAGAACACAGGCCTGCAAGCCCAACTCCTTGCTCCCAGAATCCTCTGCCCCAACATAGCTGAGAAACACATCCCTTTCTTCTAGCTTCTAGAGATAACAACAATGTAAGGGTAAGGATAACAGCGTCTAGAAAAAGAGGACCACCCCACCCCACCCCCCACCCCCGCTGACCCTTCCCCACACTGTTCCCTTTACTGAACACTTCTCCAAGTGGACATACTCAGAATTCTGCCTACACACCACCCTGGATTCCTTTTCTTCTCCTTTCATGGTTAACTTCCTCCCTCTTCCCTGACAAGAGAACACCAGGGTCTCTTACAATCCAAGGGCCCAGAGGAAACCTTGTAGAGGTTCTCATACTGGGAGAGATGAAATGTCAAACCAGGACCCTCAGAATGGTGGTCACACCCCCTCTAGAGCAGAATCTTGGTGCTCAGCATAATCCCACCCAAAGACCAACCCATTAATAACCTCCAAAGCCTGTCTCCCCATTAGAAAACTGATCAAACACACTGGTCCCACATACCAACCAAATCCAAAATATGTAGCATCAGGGCTCATTGGGGAAACTGACTTCCCCAATGCCACTCATTCCTGCACCCTGACCTTTGCCTGGGACGTCTGGAATGTAGGACACCCTGCAGCCCCTGCGTATCCCTCCTGGCTGCTCAGGCCCCACAGCCACCACCTTCCCGCTATCTTCCACCAATGCTGTCCTCTGGGATGGGAAGAATCACAGTATGGCTACCAAAAGGCCACTCATGGGAGGATTCTGGCCCCAAAACTTGGCTAGACTCAAAAGACTCTCAAGCTCCTTCCAAACCAAAGCTAGCTGTGTCTGTGAAAAGCTGGAAATGCCAAACCAAACTTTGGGTAAGTCTCTGCCAACTCAAAAGCTAAAACACTTCCAAAAATCATCATCACTTATAATCCATGGACCCACAGTCTACTTTCCCTAGCAGCATCTTATACCAGATGTGTGCCAGGGAACCACAAACCCAGAAAGCCCTTCACACCATGCCTTTCCCTGTTTGCATATGCTGAGCCCTTCACCACCAGGTCTGACAACTCCCTGATAAGCCTTCTCAAACCCTTTGTACCTCCCTGCAGCACATTAAGGTCTCCCTTATTTCCCCTTCCCACCCTCTCCCACCTAGGCCCTAGAGACTACACACCACAACCCCAGTTTTTCTGCTTCTGGAGTTCTGCCCTCGGGCCCTTCGGGCGGCACCCCCTAGAGAACTCTAGGACCCATCCACCAGATGCAACCAACATCATAAAAGCAACTGAGGGCACACATGGGAGAACAACTCCAACAGCCCCCCTCAGCCTCATGTACCAGTAGAGCGCACAGTATGGTCCTTGGTGTACTTCACCCGCTGGTGCGCCTCTACACAGGTCTCACACAGAGGCTCCGAGCACTCCACACAGTAGCTGGTGGCTGGGGCATTATCCTCACAGCTAGTGCAGCACTGCCAGACAAAGGCAGGGTCAGAGAAGGCAAGACAACTTGATAGATCCACGTTTACATCCCAGAAAATACAACCGGAGATTTAAGATTGGTCCCTTGACCCAACCTAGGCAGCCCACCCAGAGCCTTGGGAAAGTGGAGTAACAGCCTGGAGCTGGTGCCAAGCTCCTCCTGCGCAGATGCCCCCTCCCCAGAAACCTCCTTGTGGTTGCTGAGATAGGACGCACCTGGTTCGCATCCTGGGCGTCGGTGGCAGCCTTGCTGCCACTATCACGCATGAAATAATTCTCCACGATGTCTTTGGAGAAGCACTGTTGCTTGCACACGGGACAGTCCACCACTTCGAGAAGCAGGGATGTGGGAGACTGTTACAAGTTCCCACCCAGGTTATGGCCCCCACCATTCCCCTGCTGGGTGGGCCCCCGACCATTATCCCGCAGCGAACCAGCCCCTCCCCTCCCCGAGCCTTCTTTTCTCCAACTTTAGTCAGATGTCCCATCTCAGCGGCCAGCACAAACCCACGTTCGTATGCAGGACCCAGAAAGTATTTCCCGTGCCCTGTCCGGGCCCCCATCCTCTCGCCCAGGTGGCATCCTCATCTCTGCACCCAGTCGGAATCAAAGGCAGAGAGTAGGGGGAGGGGTGGCACCGATCACTTCGTACTTACCGGTGCCGTCGCCCGCCGCCCCGCCGTCCCCCGAGCTGTTGGCGGCGGCGGGGGCCGCGGGCCCTAAGCAGGCACTACAGGCCGAGTGCAAACAGGGCAGCAGGCGGGGCTCCCTCTCGGGTCGCAGGCGCTCTCTGCACACGCCGCAGTGCTCCAGCAGCTCCAGCGCCTCGGCGCCGCCCCCCGCGGGCGACGACGCCGCGGCTGAGGCAGAGGCCGAGGCTGCGGCCGAAGGGGCGGTGGAGCGCTTTTCGCCGCCAGCGGAGCCCTCGCCCGGGCCCGGGCTGCCAGAGGCGGCCGAGGCCGCTGCTGCCGAGGCTGCCGCCGCGGAGGCCGCCATTCACACGCCGCCGGGGGCGCCCAGGGGGGGAGGAGGGGCGCGGGGCCCGCCGCGCAGGCGCAGACGCGCTCGCCGCCAACTGCTGGGCCGCTGCCGCCGCCGCCGCCGCGAGGCCGAGCGCCGCCACGCGCCTCCTGGGCCGCTGCCCGCCGCGCGCGGGACGCTGCTACGGCACGGCCAACTGCTGCCTGCTCGCCTCCCGAAGGCGCCGCCCGCGCTTCTTCCTCAGCCGCCGCCGAAACCCGCACCACGCGCCACAAGCACAAGCACAACCGCTCGCCCGCGCGCCCGCTCGCAGAAAGAGCCGAGGCCGGGGGGCGGGACAGAAATAACTGGCGCCGACGCCGCCGCGCACGCGCATTGGGCGCCTCACGCCCGGGGGCGGGGCCCAGGCCGGTCGGTGCGGGAGAGGCCGCCAGTACGCACGCGCCAACTCCTAGTCCTTCCACCACCGCCAACCCCACGTCGGTGGGGCTCTTGTGGGGGCGGGGCGGGGCCTCTGTGACGTCACTGCCGCAATTGAATCCGCCAGTGGGGTATGCGAACCTTTATAGAGTGTGATTCCCCTCTCAGCTCCACCTCCAGACCACACAGAAGCGGGCCGCTGTGCGCCCAAGCGCATGGGCAATCCGTCCCTCTTCCTCAACCCGCGTCTCTTCGCCGCCGTAGAGTCGTCTCCAGCCTCTGCGTCACTAAGAGTTCGGGATAGGGGGCAGGGCCGATGGAGAAGTAGGCGGGGCCAAGACCGAGTGAAGGGCTGTGTCCAGGGAGAGGGGAGGAGAGTCTCCATCCCAAGAGGGAGGAAGCTCCTGTGTGAGCTCGGGTGCTGACTTTTGGATTTTAACCACGCTATAGTTAAACTTGAGAAACACAGAAACTTGACTGAATCAAATGTAGATCACAGCCGGGCGCCGTGGCTCATACCTGTAATCCCACCACTTTCTTAGGCGAGTCGGGAAGCTCCGTTTAGCCCAGGAGGCCGAGGCAGCAGTGAGGCGGGATTGTGCCACTGCACGCCAGCCTAGACCACAGATGGAGAAAAATGTGGCCGGGCGCGGCGGCTCACGCCTGTAATTCCAGCACTTTGGGAGGTCGAGGCGGTTGGATCTTAAGTCAGGAGTTCGAGAGCAGCCTGGCCAACGTGGTGAAACCCCGTCTCTACTAAAAGTACAAAAAGTAGCCGGGCGTGGTGGCAGGCGCCTGTAATCCCAGCTACTCGGGAGGCTGAGGCAGGAGAATCGCTTGAACCCGGGAGGCGGAGGTTGCAGTGAGCCGAGATCGTGCCATTGCACTACAGCCTGGGAGAAAAGAGTGAAACTCCATCTCAAAAGAGGAGAGAAAGGTTTTTGTGTTTGTTTTGAGACGGAGTTTTGCTCTGTTGCCCAGGCTGGAGTGCAGTGGCACGATCTCGGCTCGCTGCAACCTCCGCCTCCCGGGTTCAAGCGATTCTTCTGCCTCAGCCTCCCGAGTAGCTGGGATTACAGGGGCCTGCCATCACGCCTGGCTAATTTTTGTATTTTTAATAGAGACGGGGTTTCACCACGTTGGCCAGGCTGGTCTCGAACTCCCGACGTCAGATGATAGACCCACTTTGGCCTCCCAAAGTGCTGGAATTACAGGTGTGAGCCACCACGCCGGGCCCCCCAACCCCCCATCAAGAAAAAAAATATATATATATATATACACATATATATAAATCACAAGAGGCTAAAGAGCAATGAGTCTGTGAAATCCCACCCAGCCCCCCAAGGCATCCCCTCCCCATGTTTTCGTCAGCAGCTACCCTGACTTTGATGCTTTTCCAGATGGGGAAACTGAACCTCAACAGTGGGGAATCCCAAGGAGGGAAGGAAGCAGGTCCATGTGGGGAGAATCCTGTCTGAGGTGGAAAGTAGGGTTTGTGTGGGGAAAATCCTGTCTGAGGGAAAGAGGGTGTGTGTGCGGAGGGGAACCCTGTCTGAGGAGGGAAGCAGGGTCTGTGTGGGGAGAATCCTGTCTGAGGAGGGAAGCAGCG
Source organism: Homo sapiens (assembly GCF_000001405.40). NCBI lineage: Eukaryota > Metazoa > Chordata > Mammalia > Primates > Hominidae > Homo > Homo sapiens. Next base: position 58,542,743 of record NC_000019.10, on the reverse strand, counting down.
TCTGTGTGGGGAGAATCCTGTCTGAGGAGGGAAGCAGGGTGTGTGTGGGGAGAATCCTGTCTGAGGAGGGAAGCAGGGTGTGTGTGGGGAGAATCCTGTCTGAGGAGGGAAGCAGGTTCTGTGTGGGGAGAATCCTGCCTGAGGAGGGAAGCAGGGTCTGAGTGGGGAGAATCCTGTCTGAGGGAAGCAGGGTCTGTGTGGGGAGAATCCTGTCTGAGGAGGAAAGTAGGGTGTGTGTGGGGAAAATCCTGTCTGAGGGAAAGAGGGTCTGTGTGGGGAGGGGAGCCCTGTCTGAGGAGGGAAGCAGGGTCTGTGTGGGGAGAATCCTGTCTGAGGAGGGAAGCAGGGTGTGTGTGGGGAGAATCCTGTCTGAGGAGGGAAGCAGGGTGTATGTGGGGAGAATCCTGTCTGAGGAGGGAAGCAGGGTGTGTGGGGGGAAAATCCTGTCTGAGGGAAAGAGGGTCTGTGTGGGGAGGGGAATCCCTGTCTGAGGAGGGAAGCAGGGTCTGTGTGGGGAGAATCCTGTCTGAGGAGGGAAGCAGGGTGTGTGTGGGGAGAATCCTGTCTGAGGAGGGAAGCAGGGTGTGTGGGGTGAGAATCCTGTCTGAGGAGGGAAGCAGGGTCTGTGTGGGGAGAATCCTGTCTGAGGAGGGAAGCAGGGTCTGTGTGGGGAGAATCCTGTCTGAGGAGGGAAGCAGGGTCTGTGTGGGGAGAATCCTGCCTGAGGAGGGAAGCAGGGTCTGTGTGGGGAGAATCCTGTCTGAGGGAAGCAGGGTCTGTGTGGGGAGAATCCTGTCTGAGGAGGAAAGTAGGGTTTGTGTGGGGAAAATCCTGTCTGAGGGAAAGAGGGTCTGTGTGGGGAGGGGAGCCCTGTCTGAGGAGGGAAGCAGGGTCTGTGTGGGGAGAATCCTGTCTGAGGAGGGAAGCAGGGTGTGTGTGGGGAAAATCCTGTCTGAGGAGGGAAGCAGGGTCTGTGTGGGGAGAATCCTGTCTGAGGGAAGCGGGGTGTGTGTGGGGAGAATCCTGTCTGAGGAGGGAAGCAGGGTGTGTGTGGGGAGAATCCTGTCTGAGGAGGGAAGCAGGGTGTGTGTGGGGAGAATCCTGTCTGAGGAGGGAAGCAGGGTGTGTGTGAGGAGAATCCTGTCTGAGGAGGGAAGCAGGGTCTCTGTGGGGAGAATCCTGTCTGAGGAGGGAAGCAGGGTGTGTGTGGGGAGAATCCTGTCTGAGGAGGGAAGCAGGGTGTGTGTGGAGAGAATCCTGTCTGAGGAGGGAAGCAGGGTGTGTGGGGGGAGAATCCTGTCTGAGGAGGGAAGCAGGGTGTGTGGGGGGAGCCCTGTCTGAGGAGGGAAGCAGGGTGTGTGTGGGGAGAATCCTGTCTGAGGAGGGAAGCAGGGTGTGTGGGGGGAGAATCCTGTCTGAGGAGGGAAGCAGGGTGTGGGGGGAGAATCCTGTCTGAGGAGGGAAGCAGGGTCTGTGTGGGGAGAATCCTGTCTGAGGAGGGAAGCAGGGTGTGTGTGGGGAGAATCCTGTATGAGGAGGGAAGCAGGGTGTGTGGGGGGAGCTTCCTGTCTGAGGAGGGAAGCAGGGTGTGTGGGGGGAGAATCCTGTCTGAGGAGGGAAGCAGGGTGTGTGGGGGGAGAATCCTGTCTGAGGAAGGAAGCAGGGTGTGTGTGGGGAGCATCCTGTCTGAGGAGGGAAGCAGGGTGTGTGGGGGGAGAATCCTGTCTGAGGAGGGAAGCAGGGTGTGTGTGGGGAGAATCCTGTCTGAGGAGGGAAGCAGGGTGTGTGGGGTGAGAATCCTGTCTGAGGAGGGAAGCAGGGTCTGTGTGGGGAGAATCCTGTCTGAGGAGGGAAGCAGGGTCTGTGTGGGGAGAATCCTGTCTGAGGAGGGAAGCAGGGTCTGTGTGGGGAGAATCCTGCCTGAGGAGGGAAGCAGGGTCTGTGTGGGGAGAATCCTGTCTGAGGGAAGCAGGGTCTGTGTGGAGAGAATCCTGTCTGAGGAGGAAAGTAGGGTTTGTGTGGGGAAAATCCTGTCTGAGGAGGGAAGCAGGATGTGTGGGGGGAGAATCCTGTCTGAGGAGGGAAGCAGGGTGTGTGTGGGGAGAATCCTGTATGAGGAGGGAAGCAGGGTGTGTGGGGGGAGAATCCTGTCTGAGGTGGGAAGCAGGGTGTGTGGGGGGAGAATCCTGTCTGAGGAGGGAAGCAGGGTGTGTGGGGGGAGCATCCTGTCTGAGGAGGGAAGTAGGGTCTGTGTGGGGAGAATCCTGTCTGAGGAGGGAAGCAGGGTGTGTGGGGGGAGCCCTGTCTGAGGAGGGAAGCAGGGTGTGTGTGGGGAGAATCCTGTCTGAGGAGGGAAGCAGGGTGTGTGGGGGGAGAATCCTGTCTGAGGAGGGAAGCAGGGTGTGGGGGGAGAATCCTGTCTGAGGAGGGAAGCAGGGTCTGTGTGGGGAGAATCCTGTCTGAGGAGGGAAGCAGGGTGTGTGTGGGGAGAATCCTGTATGAGGAGGGAAGCAGGGTGTGTGTGAGAAGAATCCTGTCTGAGGAGGGAAGCAGGGTGTGTGGGGGGAGAATCCTGTCTGAGGAGGGAAGCAGGGTGTGTGGGGGGAGAATCCTGTCTGAGGAAGGAAGCAGGGTGTGTGTGGGGAGAATCCTGTCTGAGGAGGGAAGCAGGGTGTGTGGGGTGAGAATCCTGTCTGAGGAGGGAAGCAGGGTGTGTGTGGGGAGAATCCTGTCTGAGGAGGGAAGCAGGGTGTGTGTGGGGAGAATCCTGTCTCAGGGAAGCAGAGTCTGTGTGGGGAGAATCCTGTCTGAGGAGGAAAGTAGGGTTTGTGTGGGGAAAATCCTGTCTGAGGGAAAGAGGGTCTGTGTGGGGAGGGGAACTCTGTCTGAGGAGGGAAGCAGGGTGTGTGGGGAGGGGAGCCCTGTCTGAGGAGGGAAGCAGGGTCTGTGTGGGGAGAATCCTGTCTGAGGAGGGAAGCAGGGTCTGTGTGGGGAAAATCCTGTCTGAGGAGGGAAGCAGGGTCTGTGTGGGGAGAATCCTGTCTGAGGGAAGTGGGGTGTGTGTGGGGAGAATCCTGTCTGAGGAGGGAAGCAGGGTGTGTGTGGGGAGAATCCTGTCTGAGGAGGGAAGCAGGGTGTGTGTGAGAAGAATCCTGTCTGAGGAGGGAAGCAGGGTGTGTGTGGGGAGCATCCTGTCTGAGGAGGGAAGCAGGGTCTCTGTGGGGAGAATCCTGTCTGAGGAGGGAAGCAGGGTGTTTGTGGGGAGAATCCTGTCTGAGGAGGGAAGCAGGTTCTGTGTGGGGAGAATCCTGTCTGAGGAGGGAAGCAGAGTGTGTGTGGGGAGAATCCTGTCTGAGGGAAGCAGGGTGTGTGTGAGAAGAATCATGTCTGAGGAGGGAAGCAGGGTGTGTGTGGGGAGAATCCTGTCTGAGGAGGGAAGCAGGTTCTGTGTGGGGAGAATCCTGTCTGAGGAGGGAAGCAGGGTGTGTGTGGGGAGAATCCTGTCTGAGGAGGGAAGCAGGTTCTGTGTGGGGAGAATCCTGTCTGAGGAGGGAAGCAGGGTGTGTGTGGGGAGAATCCTGTCTGAGGAGGGAAGCAGGGTGTGTGTGAGAAGAATCCTGTCTGAGGAGGGAAGCAGGGTGTGTGTGGGGAGAATCCTGTCTGAGGAGGGAAGCAGGGTGTGTGGGGGGAGAATCCCGTCTGAGGAGGGAAGCAGGGTGTGTGAGAGAAGAACTCTGTCTGAGGGACGCAGGATCTGGGGGAGAGGAATCATGTCTAAGGGGAGAAGCAGGGTCTGTAGGTAGAGGCGAACCCGCCTAGGGACTATCAGCGCGTTGAAAACGTGGTGGGTGGGTGCATTGAGGCTGGCCCCGGGGGGGTGGGCCTCAGCCCCCTGTGCGGTGCCCCTGGGGTCGTGAGGTCTCCGGTCCAGGTGACAACGGCTGGGGGCGGGGTAGGTGGCAGCTTCCGGAGGATGTTTGGAGGCCGCGAGGACTGGCGCGAACAACCATGAAACCCATTCGCCACTCCCAAGGCGCGCACAGGTAAAGGTGGCTAGCCGGGCGGGGCGTGAGGGTAACGGGGCACTGCCTCCCCGGGCCCCGCTCCCAGGTGTCCGCACGTGGCTGCAGCACGGGCGCGTCGACCGCTGGGCCGGGTGTGGCCTTTGTTCCTGATGGGGACTGGGGGCCGCGGGGCTTTGTCCCCGCCTCTGCCTTTGTTCCAGCCCGGGCGCGCGGCCCCCCAGATCTGGGCCCACCCCATCCGCGGCATAGTCACCGCCTCCACGCCCAGCCTGCCCCTTCATAGGGCCACGCCTCGCTAGCCGGCCCGCCCCCTCCAGCCCACCACCCTGAAGACGCCCTGGCCCCTGGCTTCCTTCCTCTGATAATAGGGAAAGTTAATGCCAGAGGCTGACGCGTTGAGATCGCTTGAGCCCAGGAGTTGGCTGCAGTGAGCTATGATCGCTCCCCTGCTCTCCTACCTGGGACTGCAGAGCGAGGCCCTGTCTTTAAAAAAAAAAGAAAAGAAAAGAAAAGAAAAAAAAAAAGTTGGTGCTGGCAGTGCACAGGGCGAGGTGTGGGCGTCCTTTAGGAATATTTGCTGTGGCCAGGAACGGTGGCTCACGTCTGTAATCCCAGCACTTTGGGAGGCCGAGGTGGGCGGATCACCTGAGGTCGGGAGTTCGCCACCAGCCTGACCAATATGATGAAACCCCGTCTCGGCTAAAAATACAAAAATTAGCCGGGCGTGGTGGCACGGGCCTGTAATCCCAGCTACTCCGGAGGCTGGGACAGGAGAATCGCTTGAACCTGGGAGGCAGAAGTTGCAGTGAGCTGAGATCCGGCCATTGCACTCCAGCCTGGGCAACAAGAGTGAAACTCTGTCTCAAAAAAAAAAAAAAGGAATATTTGATGAGCACTTTCCACAGCCCTATCCTGCACTGGTCCCCAAAATCACGGGAGAGGGGGACGTGTGGGTCACACAGGACCCACACCTGCCTCTGGCCTCTAGGGTAGACAAGGGTACCAGGGCCAGAAGGTCAAAATATTAATACTATGGTACAAAGTGTGGAAATGGCTCTCCTAGGGGCTGCCCCAAACACTTGCAGGAAGGCAGTTGAGCAGAAACAAGTCCAAGGTCCCTGAGGCAATAGGGAGGCAATAGTGAGGAGTGGTGGGAGGTGCTCAGAGAGGTTACTCTACAGCTAGCAGGGTCTGGGGTATGTTAGATCCCCTGCCACCCTATCATCGGCTGCCCCTCATAACAGGCCCTCCCCAGGCCCTGGCAACACACCTTGGGGTTTCAGTGGCCCATCAAGGTCCATGCTCTTCTCTCTGCACAATAGAGAGGTATTGTAAGAGCACCCCTTTTCCTTCTCCTGGGCCCAAGACCTTCATCCCCAGTATGAGGCAGCCACACAAGCAGCAGGTGTTACCCAATGCCAGCAGCAGACCTTGGAGCATCACCTCCCCACCAGGTTCCACACCACTGTGGGGCCCCATTGTCCACATGGAGAACCTGAGGCTTCAGCAAGTGCCAGGACACCAGTCGGGGAAGGGAGATTAACTAGAAAACAGGCTCAAGCTGACTCAGGGACAGCAGAGTGGGGCTTCCTAGGATTGGCCAAGCCAGGGTGGGTATATAGGAGAGTAAGACTAGGGACCTCACTCAGAGGTCCATAAGTATATGGCAGGACGCTAGTGCACCTTGGTTGGCTCCGCTCCCCAGGTGGCCCGGCAGAGCAGTCAGTATCCCTTATACTTCTGTCCTCCATGCTCCTTGCCAACACTTTACCACGTCTCTCCCTTCCCAGTCCTGGACCACTGTGAACTGTCAATATTTTGGCTTTGCAGACAGGGCATAAGACAGGTGTAGCAATATGCAGTGGTCACTCAGACTGCACCCAGGCCACCTGAGGACTGCCTACTGCCTGGTTGTGCGCCTACCTGAAGATAGCCATCCTCACCCTCTCTTCCCCAAACCCCACACGTGTGCATGCTCTCCTTCCCACCCTCAGGTGTCACCCCCAAAGCCACTTTCTGAGGAGGCATTGTGGCTACATCACTCAAATTTCTTTTTTCTTCTTTTTTCTTTTTTTTGAGATGGAGTCTCGTTCTGTCACCCAGGCTGGAGTGCAGTGGCGCAATCTTGGCTCACTACAACCTCTGCCTCCTGAGTTCAAGCGATTCTCCTGCCTTAGCCTCCTGAGTAGCTGGAATTACAGGTGCCCACTACCACGCCCGGATAATTTTTGTATTCTTTTTTTTTTTTTTTTTGAGACGGCGTCTCCCTCTGTCGCCCAGGCTGGAGTGCAGTGGCGCGATCTTGGCTCACTGCAAACTCCGCCTCCCGGGTTCACGCCATTCTCCTGCCTCAGCCTCCTGAGTAGCTAGGACTACAGGTGCCCACCACCATGCCCGGCTAATTTTTTTGTATTTTTAGTGGAGACGGGGTTTCACCGTGTTAGCCAGGATGGTCTCAATCTCCTGACCTCATGATCCACCCATCTCGGCCTCCCAAAGTGCTGGGATTACAGGCGTGCACCGTCATACCCAGCCAATTTTTGTATTCTTAGTAGAGAGGGGGTTTTACCATGTTGGCCAGGCACTGCACTCCAGCCTGGGCAACAAAAGCAAAACTCCATCTCAAAAAAAAAAATCCAATTCTGGTGACAACTCTAGGGTATGGCCCTGCTGACCTCTGACTTCTGACCTTATCACTCTTCCAGCCACATAGGAGACCTGTTGTCCTCAACTCAGGGCCTTTGTACTTGCTATTGCCTCTACTCAGAATGTTATTCTCTGGGCTCTCTTCTTGGCTCTCTTCTTCCCCATTTCAGCTAGAGAAAATCACAAGGACATGAGCTCCAAATTGTACTCACTACTGCATCCACTGTGCTTAGCCCAGAGCCCACTTCTTGGTGGATCAGTCATCAGCAAATATGTGAAAGGACAAGCAAATGGATGAAGATGATGACCATCTTGAGCCAGTTTTGTAGACCATAACATGAGATTTGGTATCTATTACTTTAAAAATTTTGTTTGTTTGTTTTTGGTAATTGAGTTACAATGTATGGCCAGGCCTGGTGGCTCTTGCCTATAATCCTAGCACTTTGAGAGGCCAAGGCAGGAGGATAGCTTGAGCCCAGGTGCGATCTCTGCTCACTGCAACCTCTGCCTCCTAGGTTAAAGTGATTCTCCTGCCTGATCCTCCTGAGTAGCTGGGATTACAGGCACTAACCACCATGCCCAGATAATTTTTGTATTTTTAGTAGAGACGAGGTTTCACCATGTTGGCCAGGCTGGTCTCAAACTCCTGATCTCAGGTGATCCACCTGCCTCAGCCTCCCAAAGTGCTGGGATTACCAGTGTGAGCCACTGTGCCTGGCCCCGTGTCTATTATTAAAGTACATTTTTTAATTCAAAAAAATCAAACAGGCCGGGTGCAGTGGCTCATGCCTGTAATCACAGCACTTTGGGAGGCTGAAGCAGGCGGATCACGGGATCAGGACATCAAGACCATCCTGGCCAACATGGTGAAACCCTGTCTGTACTAAAAATACAAAAATTAAGGCTGGGCACGGTGGCTCACACCTGTAATCCCAACACTTTGGGAGGCCAAGGCGGGCGGATCATGAGGTCAGGAGTTCGAGACCAGCCTGGCCAAGAGACCAGCCTGACCAATATGATGAAACCCCTTCTCTACTAAAAATACAAAAATTAGCTGGGTGTGGTAGCGGGTGCCTGTAATTCCAGCTTCTTGGGAGGCTGAGGCATGAGAATTGCTTGAACCCAGGAGGCGGAGGTTGTAGTGAGCCAAAAATCATGCCATTGCACTCCAGCCTGGGCGACAGAGCGAGACTCCAACTTGAAAAAAAAAAGAATTAGGTCGGGCACGGTGGCTCACGCCTGTAATCCCAACACTTTGGCAGGCCGAGGTGGGCGGATCACAAGGTCAGGAGATTGAGACCATCCTGGCTAACATGGTGAAACCCTGTCTCTACTAAAAATACAAAAAATTAGCCAGGCGTGGTGGCGGGCACCTGTAGTCCCAGGTACTCGGGAGGCTGAGGCAGGAGAATGGCGTGAACCTGGGAGGTGGAGCTTGCAGTGAGCCGAGATTGCGCCACTGCACTCCAGCCTGAGCAACAGAGTGAGACTCCGCCTCAAAAAAAAAAAAAAAAAATTAGCTGGGCGTGGTGGCACGTGCCTATATTCCCAGCTACTTGGGAGGCTGAGGCAGGAGAATTGCTTGAACCAAGGAATCAGAGGTTGCAGTGAGCTGAGATCATGCCACTGCACTCCAGCCTGGAGATAGAGATTCTGTCTCAAAAAATAATAATAATAATAATAATAATATTCACATAATATCAAATTTATCATTTTAGCCAGTTTAAAAGTGTACATTCAGTGGCATTTCATGCATTCACAATGTTGTGCAGCCACCACCTCTATCTATTTCCAAGTCATTTTCATTACTCCAAAAGGAATCCCTGTAACCATTAACACTCACTCCACAGTCCCCCTCCAACCAGCCCCTGACAATCACTAATCTACTTTCTGTCTCTATGGACTTTTTAACTTTTTGGTGGAGGCTTATGATATGTAGAGATGCAAGCAGGGAGCACCTCAGCTAACCAGCTGTGATAGCAAAGAACAGAACATCTCTGGCTCTCAGAAGCCCATGTCCCTTGTAGCTGACGCCCTAACTTCACAGACAAGCTTTGCCTACCCATAAAACACATGGGGCTTTACTTCTCTGTCTGGCTTCTCAGTGCACATTTGTATGGCCATATATGACCTTAGTTCCTCCCCGGCCCTTGTTGTGTAGGGTCAATTGTATGAATGTCCTTCAGTTTGCTTACATGTTCTCTTGACTGCATTCTCCCTCCTGCTCAGGCTGTTATTAACACAGCTGCTACAGTGGGCAATACCGTATGTGGCTTTTGGCTGGGTGTTTCTTTAACTGTAATGAGGAGCTAACAGAAGATTTTAGCAGAAGGTGGCATGATCTGATTCCCATTTCAAAGGTTCCAGTTGGGGAATGGGTGGGAGCAGAATGGAGAACAAAAGATGAGTGTTCAACTAGATCTTCTCAACTGCTCTTTGGAATCACTATGATTCCTGTTAGTTTCCTGTGGATTTTGTAGCATATTACCACAAACATGGCAGCTTAAAAAAAAAAAACTTTATTCTGTCAAAGTTCTGAAGGCCAGGAGAGGATCCTTCCTTGCTTCTTCCAGTTTCTGGTGGCCTCGGCTTGTCACTGCATCACTCCAGTCTTGAAGGCTGACAGCTTCAAATACCTCTGTTCTCACTTCATATTGCCTTGTCTTCTATGCATCGTTGCTGTGGACTGAATTGTGTCCTCTAAAATTCGTATGTTGAAGCCCTAATCTTCATTGTGATGATATTTGGAAATGGGGCCTATGGGAAATAATTAGGGTTAGATGATGTCCTGATAGTGGGGCCCCATAATGGGACTAATGCCCCATAAGAAAAAATGCCTTTGGGAGGCTAAGGCGGGAGGCTTGCCTGAGATCAGGAGTTCAAGACCAGCCTGGCCAACATGGTGAAACCCTGTCTCTACTAAAAATATAAAAATTAGGCCGGACGTGGTGGCTCACGCCTGTAATCCCAGCACTTTGGGAGGCCAAGGCGGGTGGATCACCTGAGGTCGGGAGTTTGAGACCAGCCTAATCAACATGGAGAAACCCCATCTCTACTAAAAAAATACAAAATTAGCCAGGCATGGTGGCACATGCCTGTAATCCCAGCTACCGGGAGGCTGGGGCAGGAGAATCACTTGAACCCGGGAGGCAGAGGTTGCAATGAGTCCAGTTCACGCCACTGCACTCCAGCCTGGGTGACAGAGCGAGACTTTTTCTCAAAAACATGGCCGGGGTGGTGGCTCACGCCTGTAATCCCAACACTTTGGGAGGCCGAGGTGGGCGGATCACCTGAGTCAGGAGTCTGAGACCAGACTGCCCAACATAGTGAAACCTTGTCTCTAGTAAAAACACAAACAATGAGCTGGGCATGGTGGCACACACCTGTAATCCCAACTACTCGGGAGGCTGAGGCAGGAGAATTGCTTGAACCCGGCAGGCAGAGGTTGCAGTGAGCTGAGATTGTGACACTGCACTCCAGCCTTGGCGATAAGCGCGAAACTCCATCTCAAAAAAAAAGAAAAGACAAATATGTGGAAGAGCTCCACCCCAGCTTCCCCCAACACAGCAAGAGGAGAGTCCTCAGAATGAAACCTACTTTGCCTGCACCTTGATTTTAAACTTTCCCTTCCAAAACTGTGAGAAAAAATCTTCTGTTGTTTGTGCCATGTAGCCTTACGTTATTTTCTCCTCTGCCTCTCTCTTACGATTCATGTTAATTTGCATGTAGGGCGCACCAAATAATTCCAGGTAATCTCCCCATTTCAAGAACCTAAATCACAATTACAAATACCCCTTTTCCTAATAAGGTAACACTTCCAGGTTTCAGAGTTAGGATGTATATATCATTGGGGGCCATTTTCAGTTACTTCAGTCCCAATTTCACAGATGGGAAAACATTCCCAGAGAGTAGAAGGGACTGTTCAGAGCTCCACATTGTGACCTGTACAAATTCAACCCACTCCTGGACTTGGTGGGTGCCCTCGCCCCTTCTGTTTGCTGCCTTCCCAAAGCATCCTGTAGCTTCCAGGGAAAGGAAGGAGGGGGGAGGACAGGAGACACTCAGAGCCCAGAGTCTCATCCCTTTCCCTGCTAATAGGAACCAGGGCTCCTGGGGAAAATGGCTGATTCAAGGACTGTACAGGGACAGACTATACAGGGAAAGTCCTAGCTGAGCCTGAAACACCTTGTTGTATTACAAAGTAAGAGGTGCCCAAAGAATGGTGGAAATATGTTAAAAGGACATAGATGCCAAACCTGATCAAACAGCTGGAGCATCAGAAAGAACAGTGACCGTCATCGGCTGATGCACAATAAATCCACACTACCCATGAGTCCTTAAGTGTTCTCAAAAAAAGAGATCCAGAAAAATAAACCCATCTGTCACCATATGATGCTGATTTTAAGCCAGCCCCTCACTCTGAGAACTTGGCATCAATCCTGCCTTCCCAAGGGGAACCGTATTTCAGGGGAACACATGGCCCCAGTTCTTGCTTGCTTACCAAAGAATGCCCACTGATAATTAGATGCTAGAATTTGAAAAAGCCTAATTTGCCAACCCATAATGAAATCCCTGCACTGCCCAGGATTATCTGCTTATGTTATGAGGTACATGGAGGGTGTGGTGTCAACATGGCTGTGTAGGGGGAACCCGTAAGTGTACAGGGGACAGTCAGGCTGTCAGTGCCCCACGTTAGGGTTGATGACACGATCCCACCCTATAAATGCTGTATGTATTTTATGGCTTATAGATTAGACATCAATACAACTATTTAAAAAGGAGAAGGAGACGAGGTTCAAAGAACATATACAAATGGCCAATAAATGCTCCACATCAGTGTTCATCAGGGAAATGCAAATCAAACCGCAATGAAATACTGCTTCACGCCCACTAGGATGGCTATAAAAATAACTGAAAATGACAAGTGAGAGTGAGGATGTGGAGAAATTAGAACCTTCATACTTTGCTGTGGGAATGCAAAATGGTGTAGCCACCATGGGAAACAGCCTGGCAGTTCCTCAAACAGTTAAACACGATCCAGCAATTCACCTCCAAGGTATATACCCACATGAATTGAAAACAGGTGTTCAGGCCAGGAGCGGTGGCTCACTCCTGTAATCCTAGCATTTTGGGAAGCCAAGGCAGGTGGATCATGAGGTCGGGAGATCGAGACCATCCTGGCTAACACAGTGAAATCCCATCTCTACTAAAAATACAAAAAATTAGCCAGGCGTGGTGGCGGGCGCCTGTAGTCCCAGCTACTTGGGAGGCTGAGGCAGGAGAATGGCGTGAACCCGGGAGGCGGAGCTTGCAGTGATCCAAGATCGCGCCACTGCACTCCAGCCTGCGCGACAGAGCGAGACTCTGTCTCAAAAAAAGAAAAAAAAAAAAGAAAGAAAACAGATGTTCAAACAAATCCTTGTGCAAGAACGTTCACAGCAGCACTATTCATAATAACTAAAAGTAGGGCCAGGCACGGTGGCTCACGCCTGTAGTCCCCACACTTTGGGAGGCCGAGGCGGGCAGATCACCTGAGGTCGGGAGTTTGAGACCAGCCTGGCCAACATGGAGAAACCCCATCTCTACTAAAAATACAAAGTTAGCCAGGCGTGTTGGCACGTGCCTGTAATCCCAGCTACTTGGGAGGCGAGGCAGGAGAATCGCTTGAACTCTGGAGGCGGAGGTTGTGGTGAGCCGAGATCATGCCATTGCACTCCAGCCTGAGCAACGAGCAAAATTCCGTCTCAAAAAAAAACACTAAAAGTAGAAACAACCCAAATGTCCATTAGGTAATTAATTAATGGATAAATAAATGTGGTGTATCCATACAACTGAGGTGTGTGTGTGTGTGTGTGTGTGTGTGCATGCGCTCTCATGGCAAGGTCTCTGTCATCAGACTGGAGTGTAGTGGTGCCATCATGGCTCACTGCAGCCTCGACCTCCCAGGCTCAAGTGATCCTCCTGCCTCAGCCTACCCAAGTAGCTGGGACTGCAGGCATGCACCATCATGCTTGGCTAATTTTTGTATTTTTTGTAGAGACAGGGTTTTGTAACGTTGCCCAGGCTGGTCTCAAACTCCTGTGCTCAAGTGATCCACCTGCCTTGGCTTCCCAAAGTGCTGGTCTTACAGGCATCATGAGCCACCACACCCAGCCATAATGGGGTCTCATTCAGCCATAAAAAGGAAGTACTAATATGTGCTACAACACGGTTGAACCTTGAAAACCTTATGCTAAGTGAAAGAAGTCAGATACAAAACTCACATATTGTATGGTTCCATTTATGTAAAATATGCAGAATCTGGGGTGGGGGTCTAGGGGAGGGATAGCATTAGGACAAATACCTAATGTAGATGACGGGTTGATGGGTGCAGCAAACCACCATGGCATGTGTATACCTATGTGACAAAACTGCACGTTCTGCACATGTATCACAGAACTTAAAGTATAATTTAAAAAAATCCAGAATCAGCACATTTGTTTAGACAGAAGGTTAGGTTAATGGTTTCCAGGGACTGAGGAGAGGGGAGAAAAGTTTTTATTTTGTAGTGAGGAAATTGTTTTAGACCTAGATGGAGGAGGTGGTTGTACACCATTGTGACTATACTAGAAGGCACTGTGTTGTTCACTTTAAAACGGTTATCTGTGTATTTATTGAGATAGGGTCTTGCTCTGAGTGCGGTGGTACGATCCTGCTTCACTGCAGCCTCAACCTCCTCGGGCTGCCATCTCAGCCTCCAGCATAGCTGGGACTACGGGTACACGCCATCATGCCTGGCTAAACTTTTTTTGTATTTTTTTGATACAGGGTTTGCCATGTTGCTCAGGCTGCTCTCATATTCCTGGGATCAAGCGATCCCCCTGCCTTGGCCTCCCAAAGTGCTGGGCTTACAGATGTGAGCCACCACATCCGACCCCATCCTTGTTTTCAAAAGATGCTTTATGAGGTTAAAAGATGAGCTCATCAATGTCTTTTTTTTTTTTTTTTTGAGATGGAGTTTTGCTCTCATTGCCCAGGCTGGAGTGCAATGGCGTGATCTCAGCTCACTGCAACCTCTGCCTCCCGGGTTCAAGCAATTCTCCTGCCTCAGCCTCCCAAGTAGCTGGCATTACAGGCATGCGCCACCACACCTGGCTAATTTTTCTTTTTAAAATGTTTTAATTATTATTATTATTTTTTGAGACAGAGTCTCGCTCTGTCATCCAGGCTGGAGTGCAGTGGCGCGATCTCAGCTCACTGCAACCTCCGCCTCTCGAGTTCAGGTGATTCTCCTGCCTCAGCCTCCTGAGTAGCTGGCACTACAGGCGCATGCCACCACACCTGGCTAATTTTTTGTAATTTTAGTAGAGACAGTGTTTCACCATATTAGCCAGGATGGTCTCGATCTCCTGACCTCGTGATCCGCCCACCTCGGCCTCCCAAAGTGCTGGGATTACAGGCGTGAGCCACTGCGCCCAGCCTAATTTTGTATTTTTAGTAGAGATGGGGTTTCTCCCTGTTGGTCAGGCTGGTCTTGAACTCCTGATCTCAGGTGATCCGCCCACCTCAGCCTCCCAAAGTGCTGGGATTATAGGCGTGAGCCACCGCACCTGGACTTTTTTTTTTTTTTTGAGAACTAGTCTTGCTCTGTCGTCCAGGCTGGAGTGCAGTGGCGCGATCTCAGCTCACTGCAACCTCTGCCTCCTGGGTTCAAGCTGCAAGGCTCTAGTATCGGTTTGAACCCCGAGAGCGCACCAACAAACAACACGAGGCGGTGTGGAGCAACATGCTATTTTAATGAGCGCCTGGGTGTCCCAAGTAAGGACAGGGCAGGAGTTTTATAGTCTCCTGTAAACAGGAAGTGTCCTAGTCTGATGTTACTGCTATGTGGTACCCAGGGCCTCTCTCCCTCCATCTTCAGGGGTATGTGTCTTCCGGCCAGCTCTCTTCCTGCTTCTGCTATCTTGCTGATGCACGTTGCTGGCACAAATGGCCTTGCATCTTGGGACTGGGCCTGAGAAGGGAGGAGTTATTTATCCCCCGAAGCTTTCAGGCCCCAGGGAGAATCTTTCACAAGGGATTCTCCTGTCTCAGCCTCCGAGTAGCTGAGATTACAGGCACGTACTGCCACGCCCAGATAATTTTTGTATTTTAGTAGAGACAGGGTTTTGCCAATGTTGGCCAGCCTGGTCTCAAACTCCTGACCTCAGGTGATCCACCTACCTCGGCCTCCCAAAATGCTGGGATTACAGGGGTGAGCCATGGCCCAATATCTTAAACACAAAGCAGGCAGGGTGGAGAGCAGCCCTTGTAAAGAGGGAGGGGACAAAGTCAGGGTGTGGCAAGTCTAGGTTGATTCCTCCTGGACTGAGGCCTTGGCCACCATGGGTCCAGCAGGAAGACGGCTGGGAGAACAAGGCTGGGTGGCTGTTCTGCCTCAGTTGCCCACCTTAGTAGGGAAGCACTTCTCAGACTAGCCACTCCTGAGTGGAAAACACTGAACCATCTGACCAGAGACAATTCACAACACCCGGGTGGCACAGGAGCCTGAGACAAAGTGACAGGACTGGAGAGGGCAGGGACCAAGACTTCATGTTGTGTGATTCCACTGATAGGAAATGTCAAGCAGACACATCCATGGACAGATTCATGGGGACAGGGGTGGGGACGCTCAGGAAATGGGCTGAGCAATCTCATGGAGGTGATGGAGATGTTCTAAAACAGGACAGTGGTGAAGGTTACACAACACAATAAACTGACTAAAAATCACTGAATTGTGCACATGGGAAATTATATGGCAGAGTTCGTGTCTGGAGGTGTGAAAGACTGTCCCCTGGGGCCATAAAACTGGAGCTGCCAAGCTTACACCTACTGTGGGTGGTGGAATTCCTCGCTCCAGGGCATCGAGGAGCAGTGGGTGCAATAGAGGAAAATTGATTAAAGGGAGAATGATTTTAACCTGGCTTCAGTGGATGTATTATCTTCTGGGATGCAGCTAGAGCTTCACTGTGTCTTTTCGGGATGGAACCAGCCAGGTGTCCCACAATAGGGGGTTGGGGCTTTCCCCTTCACCTTAGAGCTTTACTCAAAACACATTTTGTGGCCAGGTGTGGTGGGCCACAACTGTAGTCCCAGCTTCTCGGGAGACTGAGGTGGAAGGATCCCTTGAGCCTGGGAGGATGAGGCTGCAGTGAGCCGTGATCATGCTGCTGCACTCCAGGCTGGGCGACAGAGTGAAACCCTGTCTCAAAAAAATAATAATAGGCCGGGCGCGGTGGCTCACGCCTGTAATCCCAGCACTTTGGGAGGCCGAGGCGGGCGGATCACGAGGTCAGGAGATCGAGACCATCCCGGCTAAAACGGTGAAACCCCGTCTCTACTAAAAATACAAAAAATTAGCCGGGCGTAGTGGCGGGCGCCTGTAGTCCCAGCTACTTGGGAGGCTGAGGCAGGAGAATGGCGTGAACCCGGGAGGCGGAGCTTGCAGTGAGCCGAGATCCCGCCACTGCACTCCAGCCTGGGCGACAGAGCGAGACTCCATCTCAAAAAAAAAAAAAAAAAAAAAAAATAATAATAATAATAACAGCCAGGCGTGGTGGCTCACGCCTGTAATCCCAGCATTTTGGGAGGCTGAGGCAGGTGGATCACCTGAGGTCAGGAGTTTGGGATTAGCCTGGCCAACATGGTGAAACCCCGTCTCCACTAAAAATACAAAAATTAACTGGACATGGTGGCAGGCGCCTGTAATCCCAGCTACTCAGGAGGCTGAAGCAGGAGAATCACTTGAACCCGGGAGGTGGAGGTTGCAGTGAGCTGTGATTGTGCCATTGCACTCCAGCCTGGACAACAAGAGCCAAACTGCATCTCAATAATAATAATAATAATAAAGTCCAGGCACCATGGCTCATGCTTATAACCCCAGCACTTTGGGAGGTCAGGCTGGTCTGGAACTCTTGACCTCAGGTGATCTGCCAAATAGCTGGGATTATAGGCATGTGCCACCATGCCCAGCTAATTTCTGTATTTTTAGTAGAGAGGGGGTTTCATTAAGTTGGTCAGGCTGGTCTGGAACTCTTGACCTCAGGTGATCTGCCTGCCTCGGCCTCCCAAAGTGCTGGGATTACAGGCGTGAGCCACCGCGCCCAGCCTTTGGGTTTTTTAAACTCTTCAGAATTAATCCAAGGGCACAGTACAGGTCAAGGTGCTGGGACTCTGGCAAAGCGCCTGTGGCAGTTGTGTTGTTTTCAGTATTGTCTCAATTTAGGTCTCCTTCTTCCGGAGTTCTCAGGCCTCTGTCCACAGGGCTGGTAGTACCTTCTTCTTTGTATTTTACATATGAAAGCACATTAAATCTTTTCTCGGTTGTAAATTTTCCTTGCCCCCACCTGCCTTTGTTAACAGCCCTCAATACCTGTATGGATGCTGTTACTTTTCTGGTAAATCCCAACGGCAACTTGCCTGGTCCCAGCCATTGCTTCTACCACCTCCCTGGCTCCACCAGGGCCTGGGGCTGGGCCTCCCTCCAGCCTCTCTCTAAGCTGCAGCCTCAGAGGACTTTCTGGAGTATACAGGGGATCCTGCCATTGCCCCTTCACACCTCACACGGCTCCCATGTCTTCTCTGTCCCATCAGAAGGGCTCAAGTCTTCACTGCTGCTATTTGCCTTGCCAGGGACCACCCCTCAGCCTCCGCTGCTATCTGCCTTAAACCAGGAAGCATTTCTGCAGGTATATGCTTAGTGCCTGCTCCTGTGTGTACTCATTTAGTACTTGAAATGCCCCCACAACCATTGTGCATGGATCATGGGACCTGTATTCCACACCTGGCACAACCCAAACCCACTAGGATGGGGCCGGGTTTGTGGACACAAGGACTTGAGTATGACTGCCAAAGAGGGGGAGCCTGGATGAAAGGCTGGCCGGGAAGTGATGGAGGGTGGAGGGAGGTTGGGATCCTGACTGAGATGGAATCAGGCACAGCCGAGAGGTTCTGGAAGACTCCTTGGTGGGAGCTGTCTGTTCTCTGACCCATGCTGTCAGAGGGGCCCTGCCTTAGCCAGCTGAGGAGGCCCAGTCACCCTGGAGCTCAATTTCTTCTGCTCCTTTCACATCTGTGGTCACTGTGCTCTCACAGACTCTTCCCTCAATGGCCACCATTTCCCATCTCAGGCCTTGGGCTTAGCCTGGAATTGTTTTTTTGTTTTTTTTTTTTGAGACGGAGTCTCACTCTGTCGCCCAGGCTGGAGTGCAGTGGCGCAATCTCGGCTCACTGCAAGCTCCACCTCCCAGGTTCACGCCATTCTCCTGCCTCAGCCTCCTGAGTAGCTGGGACTACAGGCGCCTGCCACCACGCCCAGCTAATTTTTTGTATTTTTAGTAGAGATGGGGTTTCACCGTGTTAGCCAGGATGGTCTCGATCTCCTGACCTCGTGATCCGCCCGCCTCGGCCTCCCAAAGTGCTGGGATTACAGGTGTGAGCCACTGCACCCGGCCTAGCCTGGAGTTTTTAATATTTGCAGGCCACATCGCCCTCCTCCCTAGCTTGTCAAACCTGTGTTCTCAGGTACACATTTATTCCTTGAAATGCCCCCACAACCAGGGTTAAGGTCTTTGGGTTCATACACACACACACACACACACACACACACACACACACACATATATGAACACACACACACACACACACACATATATATACACATTCTTTTTATTATTATTATTATTATTTTGAGACGGAGTCTTGCTCTTGTCGCCCAGGCTGAAGTGCAGTGGCGCGATCTCGGCTCACTGCAACAACCGCCTCCCGGGTTCAAGGTATTCTCCTGCCTCAGCCTCCCGAGTAGCTGGGATTATAGGGGCCCACCACCACCACGCCTGGCTAATTTTTGTACTTTTAGTGGAGACGGGGTTTTGCCATGTTGGCTAGGCTGGAACTCCTGATCTCAGGTGATCTGCCCACCTCAGCCTCCCAAAGTCCTGAGATGACAGGCATAAGCCACCGTCCCAAGCCCTTTTTTTTTTTTTTTTTTTTGAGACAGAGTCTCCCAGGCTGGAGTGCAGTGGCGTGATCTTGGCTCACTGCAACCTCCACCTCCTGGGTTCAAGGGATTCTTCTGCTTCAGCCTCCCAAGTAGCTGGGACTACAGGCCCCTGCTACCACGCCCAGCTAATTTTTCTATATATATATATTTTTAAAGATGGAGTCCATATCCTGGCTAACACGGTGAAACCCCGTCTCTACTGAAAATACAAAAAAATTAGCGGGGCCTGGTGGCGGGCGCCTGTAGTCCCAGCTACTCGGGAGGCTGAGGCAGGAGAATGACGTGAACCCAGGAGGCGGAGCTTGCAGTGAGCCAGGATTGCGCCACTGCACTCCAGCCTGGGCGACAGAGTGAGACTCCATCTCAAAACAAACAAACAAACAAAAAAGATGGAGTCTTGCTCTTGTCTCCCAGGCTGGAGTGCAATGACAGCTGATCTCTGGCTCACTGCAACCTCTGCCTCCCAGGTTCAAGCTATTCTCCTGCCTCAGCCTCCAGAGAAGTTGGGATTACAGGTGCCCGCCACCATGCCCAGCTAGAGATGGGGTTTTCACCATATTGGCCAGGCTGGTCTCGAACTCCTGACCTCAGGTGATCCACCTGTCTCAGCCTCTCAAAGTGCTGGGATTACAGGCATGAGCCACCGTGCTCGGCCAATTTTTGTATTTTTAGTAGAGACCGGGTTTCACCATGTTGGCCAGGGTGGTCTCGAACTCCTGACCTCAGGTGATCCACCTGCCTAAGCCTCCCAAGGTGCTGAAATTATGAGATTACAGACGCCACCACAGACGCCACCACGCCCAGCCTTGTGAAAAGATCTTTAGAGAGAAAAGGAAAATAACCCTTGAGGCTGCAGCTCTCACCTCCCTTGGCTGCTTGAGAGAGGTCAGGGTTTGGTTTTTCTCCTTCCTGTGTTCATCCTAGCCCTTGGGCAGGGTCTTCCACCCCTATCTTGCCCTAATCCTCCAGGCCCCATCCCTTGGAGCTGAGACTTTCTCTAAAGCCACCCGTGTCCTCTCCTTCCTACCCTGAATCTGTCCCTTTCTACCCTTCACTGCTGTCAGGGCAGCTATTGTTTCCTGCTAGGACTCCTGCGTTTGCCACCCCACTAGGTGCACTGTCTTCCCTACAGCCCCTTAAACATGCTAATGGGGCTAATGGGACATGGCTTCCCCCCCTCAACACACTGCAATCCTGCCACTCAGCCCAAGGTTCACTCATTTGTCTTGCCCAAGGGAGGGCCGTCCTCCCTCCTCAGAGGCCTCATGCATGCCTTTCCCACCTACCCTTATGCTCTTCCCAAAACTCAGCCCAGTGAAAGCAGACCCAGTGGGTCCAGCAGGCCATGGTTTGAGTCTGAACAAAGACGATGATGGCAGGTTATTAGACTTGTGTGTTTTTTGTTGTTTTTTTGTTCTGAGACGGATTTTCACTCTTGTTGCCCAGGCTGGAGTGCAATGGTACGATCTCAGCTCACTATAACCTCTGCCTCCCGGGTTCAAGCGATTCTCCTGCCTCCGCCTCCCAAGTAGCTGGGATTATGGGCACCCGCCACCACGCCCAGCTAATGTTTTGTATTTTTAGTAGGGACAGGCCGGGCACAGTGGCTCATGCCTGTAATCCCAGCACTTTAGGAGGCCGAGGCAGGCAGATCACCTGAGGTCAGGAGTTTGAGACCAGCCTGGTGAACATGGTGAAACACCGTCTCTACTAAAAATACAAAAATTAGTGGGGCATGGTGGTAGGTGCCTGTAATCTCAGCTACTCAGGAGGCTGAGGCAGGAGAATCGCTTGAACCTGTGAGGCGGAGGTTGCAGTGAGCCAAGATCGCGCCATTGCGCTCCAGCCTGGGGGACAAGAGCGAGACTTTGTCTCAGAAAAAAAAAAAAAAAAAGTAGAGACGGGGTTTCACCATGTTGTCCAGGCTGGTCTCAAACTCCTGACATCAGGTGATCCACCCGCCTCGGCCTCCCAAAGTGCTGGGATTACAGGTGTGAGCCACTGTGCCCAGCCTAGACTTGTGTTTTAATGAGGTTTCCCACCTGGTACATATTTTCCTCCCCCTGACCTCCAAATACCACATCTACAACACAATCACCCAGTAGCTGTCCTGGGTGAAGGACAGGCATCCTGACCCTGTCTGTCTTCTGGAGGCTTTGTTCTAGTCATGCGTTTGGACAGTTGGTTCCCTCTTTCACTGCCGAGTCCCTCTGTCCTCTGGGATAGGGGAAGTGAGAACTGCTCCCTGAGGAATGAGATCACGAAGGGGCCTGGTAAAAGCTGGGAAGGCACAGAAATAAAGCTTTCAGTGAGGGAAATGTGAGGAATGCGTTCATCAGATGGGAAACAAATAGTGGCATTTATTGGACTCTCACTGTGTGGAGGCCCTGGATCTCACCAGATGTATTTGTTTTCTATCGTTACTATAACAAATTACCAAAACTCCATAGGTTAAAACAATATCCATTTATTAGCTCACCATTCCATAGGTCAGAAGCCCAAGTAGGTCTTCTGTGGGTCTCATAAAGGCTAAAATCAAGGTGTGGTATGGACTAAGCTGCTATCTGGAGGCTCTGGGGAAGAATTTGCTTCCAAGCTCATTCAGGTTGTGGGCGGAATCTAGCTCCACGCACTTCTAGGGCTAAGGTCTGTTTTCTTTTCTTTCTTTCTTTTTTTTTTTTTTTTTTGAGACTGAGTGTCGCTCTTTCGCCCAGGCCCGACTGCAGTGGCGCTATCTTGGCTCACTGCAAGCTCCGCCTCCCGGGTTCACGCCATTCTCCTGCCTCAGCCTCCTGAGTAGCTGGGACTACAGGCGCCTGCCACCGCGCTCGGCTAATTTTTTTTTGTATTTTTAGTAGAGACGGGGTTTCACCGTGTTAGCCAGGATGGTCTCGATCTCCTGACCTCATGATCCGCCCGCCTCGGCCTCCCACAGTGCTGGGATTACAGGCGTGAGCCACCGCGCCCGGCCTTTTTTTTTTTTTTTTTTTTTTTTTTTTTTTGAGACGGAGTCTCGTTCTGTCGCCCAGGCTGGAGTGCAGTGGCGCGATCTCAGCTCACTTCAAGCTCCGCCTCCCGGGTTCATGCCAGTCTCCTGCCTCAGTCTCCCGAGTAGCTGGGACTACAGGCGCCTGCCACCACGCCCAGCTAATTTTCTGTATTTTTAGTAGAGATGGGGTTTCACTGTGTTAGTCAGGATGGTCTCGATCTCCTGACGTGATCCACCCGCCTTGGCCTCCCAAAGTGCTGGGATTACAGGCATGAGCCACTGCGCCGGGCCATGAGGTCTGTTTTCTTGCTGGCTGTTGTTGCAGCTCTTCTCAGATTCTCAGCATGACACCTGTCCTGTTGCATTTCCTCTCATGGACCTCTCTACCTTCAAAGCCTCTGGAACCCTTCTCCTACTTCAAGTTTCTCCACCTTCCTCTTCTGCCTTTAAGGACCCTTATGATACCTTGGACCTACCAAAATAATCCAGAATCATATCCTATTTTAAGATCAGCTAATGAGTAACCTTAATTATTTCCGCAAAAACCCTTTCACCATGTAGTGTAACTATTCATAGGTGAGATAATCATATTTACAGGTTCTGGGGATTTGGGCACGGAAATCTCGGAGGGGGCCATTTTCGGAATTCTGTCCCCCATACCAGATTGACTTGCAATGTCCCAGAATCTCACAGGGTCTAGCTCAGGGGAGGCCCAGAGCAGGGTGAGGCAGTTGTCTATTCCTGTCTGCGTTGTAGTAGAAGGTGCCAAGGCCGAGATGGGGTCCTTTCCCCAGTCCCACCCACAGCGGGCGGGCCTGGAGCGTCTGCAGTAGTGGTAGCTTGCTTGCACCTCCTGGCGGCCAGGGACCGAGACCTACTTCAGCTCTCACCCGTGTCACAGGAATAAGGCCACTTCCCCGGTTCGCAGTGGGGTTTAAACTGGCCAGAACACGTTGGGCACTTGGGCCGGGAACTGCCTTCCCATTCTGCATCACAGGGAGCTTGCGGATTGATCGCGCAGGCCCGCCACACCCCTGATCTCCTGGGCGACGCCGGAAGAGTGCTCTGGTCCAGACATTCCTCGCGACGCGGCAGCCCTAGCCTCTTCGACTTTGGTTCCGACTAAGAGGAGAGCCGGAGTGCAGACTGGCGGGAGCTGATCGCCATAAAAATACCGGAAACGTGCTTCGGCCTAGGGTTTCCCCTGCGCCGCCGCGACCGCAGGCCTCCGTTCCGCCGGGGTAACGGCCCGGAAGTGCGGCCTTGTAGTCGGTCAGGAGGAAGCGGCCACGGCAGAGCCTGGTGCCTGAAGAGGAGTCGGAGGTGGGGTCGAATGGGCATCCCCCTGCCGCAGGGCGGGCGAGGAGGCTGGGGCGTGCCAGGGGAGGGGCACCTGCGCTCCGCTAGAAGCGCACGCTGAGAACGCGAGGGGGCGCTGCAGGACCGGGGTACGGCGGGGGCCAGAGTGCGGGGTGGCAGCGGCGGGTCAGAGGGGTGCTTTGGGCGTAGGGTGGGGCGCGGGCAATGGAGCAGAGTATGGGAGAACGCGCTCGGAGTAAAGCACACGGCGCGGCGAAGGCGTGGCGGGAGTGTGCGGCGCCGGACCCGGGAAGCTGGCCTGGGCGCCGGGTCTCGAGTGCAGGCCTTTGTTCTGAAGTGTCCAGGCCGGCCTTGCGGCGTCGGGACTGAGGAATGGAGCCCGTCGCGGGGCGGGGCGGGAAAGGAAGGTTCAAGTCTCTCGGGTTGATGCGCAAGTTTCCGTCCCCATCGGCCGGACAGATTAGAATCCTTTCAGGTGCTAGGTGAATACAGATGGGGCGGTGCTGCTTGCTGAGTTAGCCTTTGCGCGGGCACAGGCCTGGCTTTTTTGAGGCATTGCACAGAAGGCTCAGAACAGGGCCAGGGAGCGGGGTGGTGTATCCGGATCCGTAGTCTGGAAAAGCTCCCTCTGGCTGCCGTGTGGGGAACAGAAGGGGAGGCGAGGGGCGCAGAGACACCAGCCAGGTTTCTTCATCCGTCCAGGACAGCGGGAACGGGGCAGTGGAGGTGCTCGAAGTGGTCTGAGGGTCAAATGTGGGGCATGCAAAAAAGGGAGGCGTCTGGCTGAGCAAAGGGACGGCGGATTGGGCATAAGGAGTCGGAGGGGTTGAATCTTGAGACCCCAGTAGAGCCCGAGGGTGTAGGGGCAGCATCAAGCCGAGCCCACCCTGGGGCTTTGTGACTCCAAGGGAGAGACAGGCTGGTGGAGCCTATACGGATGTCAGAGTCCAGAGCTCCTACCCTCCTCCCTTAGACTGGAGGTGTGTGCAGTCTGGGTGCGGGATGAGCCGAGTATCTCATCCCTTGTTTGATAGAAGGGGAAACAGGCCGAAGGATCACGGTTTACCTGCTTGATGGATGGAGTAGCAGAACTCCTCAGATTCCAGAGTCCTCTGAGGACTACCCCCTCCCCTTTCTGGTGCCTGATGTTGGGCCGTGTCCCCGATTACTCCATGGGCAGCTATCCAGTCACACACCCCTGCTCAATCCACACTTCCCCTCTCTGTGCCACACCCACACCCTGGGCCCCACAGGCCCCATCGAGATGGCAAGAAGCTGGGGCTGCAGGAGCCACCTCCCTGCTCGCTATGCTAGGGGCTGCCAGGGAGCATGTACTGGTTTCCCTGGGGCATCTCCCAAGGTACTGCCCAACCTTTTACCCTCAGCCCTTAGTGACTAGGCACACCCAGAACCACCCTGCCCAGGAAGCAGGTCATGCCACCCCACTCCTGCGAGAGCCTCTGTATATACTAGTTAAGGTGACCTGGTTCTGAGGCAGCAATCCTGCCTATGCACAGGGTCTCATACTGGGGGGATGTGGCTAAAGGAAACCAAAAGGAGCTGTCAGCAGGGGTGGAGGAGGAGTGGAAGCTAGCTGGGTAGAGAGCAAGGTCTACTCGGGGTGAGGCAGGTTAGCCAGTTGGGATGGGGGTCCCTGGCCTCTTCTACACACCGGGCTGCCCTCTTGGAGGGGCACATGGGGAGGCTTAGGGTTATTGGAGTTGGGGTGGGGTGGGTGGGTGAGTCAACATAGAGTAGGCCAAGGCCTGAACCTTTTCGGGAGCAGTGATTGAGGCCAACACCCTCTCCTAGGGGTGTGCTAGGGTTTGCAGCGTTAATGGGGGGCTGTAGACGGCCTGGCCAGGTCTGAGGTAGGGGGAGGAGGGAGTGCTGGAGTGTCCTGTGTTGGGAATGGGGACTGTGAAGGGCAGCTGGGGAGGGATGGGTTAGCGCGCCTTGGAGTGTGGTGCACTCGAGCCCTGTCCTGCAACAAGGGGTGAGGGGACAGGGACGTTGGGACAGATGGGGGTCCTCAGTTGACCTCTCCCTGCCCTCCTCTTGTTCTGTGCAGATGGCGGCTGCAGAGGCTGTGCATCACATACACCTGCAGAACTTCTCACGCTCTCTGCTTGAGACCCTCAATGGGCAGAGGCTTGGGGGACACTTCTGTGACGTGACTGTGCGCATTCGTGAAGCTTCGCTGCGTGCCCACCGCTGCGTGCTGGCGGCCGGCTCACCCTTCTTCCAAGACAAGCTGCTGCTCGGCCACTCTGAGATCCGTGTGCCTCCGGTGGTGCCCGCGCAGACAGTGCGACAGCTGGTAGAGTTCCTGTACAGCGGTTCGCTCGTTGTGGCGCAGGGTGAAGCCCTGCAGGTGCTCACGGCCGCGTCAGTGCTTCGCATACAGACAGTTATCGACGAATGCACGCAGATTATCGCCCGCGCTCGAGCCCCGGGCACCTCTGCGCCCACGCCCCTGCCCACCCCTGTGCCCCCGCCACTCGCACCTGCGCAGCTGCGTCACCGCCTGCGCCACCTGCTGGCTGCACGTCCCCCGGGGCACCCCGGTGCTGCACACAGCCGTAAGCAGCGCCAGCCCGCGCGTTTGCAGCTGCCAGCGCCCCCAACACCTGCCAAGGCTGAGGGGCCTGATGCTGACCCCTCACTGTCCGCGGCCCCTGATGACCGAGGTGACGAGGATGACGAGGAAAGTGACGATGAGACCGATGGCGAGGATGGCGAAGGTGGCGGCCCAGGCGAGGGCCAGGCACCTCCTTCCTTCCCAGACTGTGCTGCTGGCTTCCTCACTGCTGCTGCTGACAGCGCGTGCGAGGAGCCCCCTGCACCCACTGGCCTCGCTGACTACAGTGGTGCCGGGAGAGATTTTCTTCGGGGAGCTGGGTCAGCTGAGGACGTATTTCCAGACAGCTATGTATCCACTTGGCACGACGAGGATGGCGCTGTCCCCGAAGGCTGTCCCACTGAGACCCCTGTCCAGCCCGACTGCATACTGTCTGGATCCCGCCCGCCTGGTGTGAAGACCCCAGGGCCGCCCGTTGCACTCTTCCCCTTTCACTTGGGTGCCCCTGGGCCACCCGCACCACCCCCTTCAGCACCATCGGGGCCAGCCCCTGCGCCCCCACCCGCCTTCTACCCCACACTCCAGCCCGAGGCAGCCCCCAGTACTCAGCTGGGGGAGGTCCCGGCTCCCTCTGCTGCTCCCACCACGGCCCCCTCAGGCACCCCTGCTCGCACCCCAGGTGCTGAGCCACCTACGTATGAGTGCAGCCACTGTCGCAAGACGTTCAGCTCCCGGAAAAACTACACCAAGCACATGTTCATCCACTCGGGTGAGCCAGGGCGGGGGAGGAGAGGGAGCAATCTCTCATCGGAGAGTTAAACCTGAGGGGGAATTGAGCACTAGTTACAGGGCACTGGCACTGTTCTGTTACTTTTGGTTAGCAGGGGGCCTAGAAATTGAGCCTTCCCCCAAGTGCAAGGTATGTGGGGGAGGGGAAAGCCCCACTCTGTGGAGCAGCAGGCACTGGCTTCTGTGGAGGGGGATCCTGAGGCTGGGTAGGGAAGCAGGAGCCTGTCCTGGCCTTTGGAAGGGTGGTGGTGGAAACTTGAGCAGCCTGGGATGCACATGATGGGTATGGAGCCTTGGCAGGAGGTCCTGGCAGGTTGGGAAACTATGCTCCAGGGAGCCTCCTGTGTCTCTCTGGTTTCCAGCTGTCCCGTTATAGGCTGGCAGCAAGGGAGGATGGGTTTACAGGCCCAGGGGTAGAAAGCCCTCAGAGGTGGTGGGATGAAGGCCCCAGGAACTCCTGAGACTGGGGCATGAGTAGGAAAACATAGGTAGTGTGGGGACTCCACAGCTGCAGAGGACCCCGAAAAGCTGTGGGGAGGTTCCCTCGGACCTTGGCCGTGTCAGGGAGGCGGCTCTGCAGTGCTGCAGGAGAGGTAAAGAGTGGGAGGGTGGTACTGGGGAATGTGGTGAGGATGCTCCCTGGGGGCTCTGAGATGGAGGACAAAGGAATGGAAAGCAGAAGCCTGCTGAGCATTGTCAGAAAAAGCAAAAATTTGGCTGGAAGGCCACAGTGATAGTGAGGGGGTTTCTGCAGGGGCTGGAACTTGGGATTTGACTGTGAGTGGTGGGGAAGCCATGGTGTTCTAAGCTGGGGAGTGACTGAGATGTCAGTTTAAAATCACCTCTGGCTGCCCTGGGAGAAGCCAGGGGCCTGGGAATAAGGGAGTTGGGTGATTAGTCTCCAGGGAACTGCCAGAGGCCCCAGGGTAGTGCTGGCTGTGTGAAGTGTGTGATCTGAGCCAGGTGCCTGGGCCAGGTTATTCTGGGGTACCCTCTGGCAGGCACTGCCTTTCAGTCCACTGCCACTGAGATAGGGTTTTTTTTTTTTTAATTTTTTTTGAGACCGAGTCTCCCTCTGTTGCCCAGGCTGGAGTGCAGTGGTGTGATCTCGGCTCACTGCAACCTCTGCCTCCTGGGTTCAAGTGATTCTTGTGCCTCAGTCTCCCAAGTAGCTGGGATTACAGGCGTGCACCACCACACCCGGCTATTTTTTGTATTTTTAGTAGAGATGGGGTTTCACCACGTTGGTCTCGAACTCCTGGCCTCAAGCGATCTGCCTGCCTTGGCCTCCCAAAGTGCTGGGATTACAGGTGTGAGCCACCACGCCTGGCTGAGACAGGCATTTTGTTAACATCTGATGAATCTAGGGGTGGACTCAGACTGCCTCCCCTCCCCTAACCCAGAATGAGGAGCTCTCTCTATCACACCAAGGACATTATAGTGGCCAGCGGGCAGGGGTTCTGGGCAACTGGGGCTTCCTGCAGGAAGGTGGCAGATGTGCCCAGGTCCCTCCTTATGAAAGGGCACTGGCCTTGTCAGACTGAGTTTAGGGGACTCTATGGGCATAGGCGAGGGGGGCCAGGACCCAGTGTCTCCCTGTGCCGGGTGGGTAGGGGTTGAGGGGGAGGGTACCTGAGGGTAGAGGGAGATCCCAGTGGGCAGTCCAGATGGCCAACAGATGTTCCAGACAGGCTGGGTTCCTTGCAGACAGGGTGCTTGCTGGATTTAGGGGTGCCCTGTCACAGTGATATCCCAGGATAACAGAAAGGGGGTCCCTGCCAGGAAGGGATGGGAGAGGGGTACCTCACAGTGTATGAGGATCCCTGTTGGGCAGGAAAGTCCCAACGTGAAGGGAGGTCCTGGAGAGGAGGGGGTGTCCCTGCTGGGCAGGAAGATCCCATAGTGAGGGGAGGGTTCTCTGATAGGCAAGGGATCCCGGGGTGGTGGTTCGGGAGGGGAGGGGAGCCCCTGCTAGGTCCAGGAGCCCAGGTGGGGGTGGGGTGGGGTGGGGGCGGGGAGCTGTAGAGTCTGACTTGCGTTCGCGGCCCGCCCTGTCTTCCGCAGGGGAGAAGCCGCACCAGTGCGCCGTGTGCTGGCGATCCTTCTCTCTACGCGACTACCTGCTCAAACACATGGTCACGCACACCGGCGTGCGCGCCTTCCAGTGCGCCGTCTGCGCCAAGCGCTTCACGCAGAAGAGCTCGCTCAACGTGCACATGCGCACTCACCGGCCCGAGCGCGCGCCCTGCCCCGCCTGCGGCAAGGTCTTCTCGCACCGCGCGCTGCTGGAGCGCCACCTGGCGGCGCACCCTGCGCCCTGATGGCGCTGGGGCCTGGCCTCGCCCACGGTGGATCCGGGGCCTCCCGCACAGTCGGCCACGCCCGCTGCGGGACCCGTGGTTCCCGCCACTAGACCACGCTCCCTCCTGAGCGCAGGTCCTCTCTCTCCCTTCACCCTTTCTCCATACCAGGGCCTAAGTCCGCCTTACTCCTCTCCTCCATGTACTTGAACCCTCCAGGTGGTGCCGGGCTGGGGCTGGGGCTGGTTAGACCACTTCTGAGAACTGGACTATTTCCTGCGTAAACCGGGCGCTCAGGCGCTTGGACCCGGCCCAAGATTTGACTCCGGTTCTCACCCCGCCCTCTCCTGGGGTGGTGGTGGGGGCTGGGGGGCCGCTTGCCTGCCCCAGGGTCAGGCTGGGCAAGGTCCCTAGCTCTCTACCCAAGCTGTTACTCCCTCATGGGGCGCCTAAGGAGACTCAAGTGGACCCATCATATATGGGGGCTGGGCCTCGGGACTCTCGCTCTAATAAAGGACTGTAGGCCATGGGGCCTAAACCACGAAGCTGTGAGCACCTGGATCAGTGCGTGCCTTGCCCTCATAGACAAGATGTGAGTGTCAGGGTTCAGCGTCCCTGTTCTTGGGTGGCATCCATGCGGCCCACAGGCTGTCCTGGGCAGGAACAGGATGGTCCACTTTGCCATCTAGGACCTCTATTCTGTAGGGGCTAAGGTGGGCTGCATATATAACCAGCACTTGGTTCTCTTGGATCCCTCAGTCCTGTGGGGAGTAGGATAGGCAGGCCACATCTGAGGTGGGTCTCCGAGAGGGAGGCCACGTGAAAGCCCCATCATACTCCTGGTTGCTGCTGTCCACGACCTTTAAGGCCCCTCCCATAGATCTTCCAGTCAGGCTCTAAGGGTCTTTTGGACTTAAGACTTCCCCTCCCCGACCTTGATGGACATGGCTGAGCACCTTACTTGTGGGGAGCCCAGGGGGATCTTTGGGGCCAGGTTGCACTGAGGGTATATAAGCCCCCATATATCTGCCCTTGGTGCTGGGGGCAAAGTTCAGGGAGGGCTCCGATGGCCGTGTTGGGGGCAGGAAACAGTGAGGGGTGGGATCCTGGGGCTGACTGCTGGGCGGTTGGGGACACCACCCCTACTGGCCAGCCAGTGTCCCAGGCCCCTGCATCCAGCGGAGAGAGCAGCCACTCTTTGCCCCTCTCCTCTTCAGCACAATAGTGGCTCCTAGCCTAGGTGCCCTGCCATAAGGATTTGGAGCTGGTGGAGTGGGGTATGGCCCCAGGCCATACCCCAGCCTGACCTGCCAGGCTCCTAGGCCAATGGCAGCTCCTCTGGGTTCACCTTCTGAGACTGCTTCCTCAAGGTGAGAGGCCAGGGCTTTCATGATCCAACTGTGTGCATCATGGGCTGACTTCAGTCTCCTGAACCCCAGGACTCCATCGTCGTCAAAGCCAGAGGTGGAGCAGAGAGTCAGAGCAAGCACATGGGTGGGGGGCAGAGCTGGGTTTGAATCCAGGCGATGCCAGTGTTCCTGTATTTACTGAGCACTTGCTGTATGCCTGGCAGGAGGGTACGATTCCTCGGATCATGGGACAAGGGGCTTAGCCTGGCTGAGCCCCTCTCCTCAGGGTTTCAGTGGGTGTCACAGGAGGACCTCCCAATGAGGTCCACCTTGCTGTCCTGTTGCTTTTCTGTTTGGCCTGATTGGAGTGTTCCCAAGGGCAGGGATTTCTGTGCTCTGAGTGTCTGGTACCCAGCAGGGATGGGAGGGGAGGCAAGGGAGTTAGATGCCAGCCCTGGAGGGTGGATGGGGCAAGCAGGACAGCAGGAAGGAGGCTAGTGGTGCCCAAGGGGCAGAGACCTGGGAACCCAGAGGCCAGTGATGGAAAGGGTTAGCGCCAGGCAGAGAGGGGCTGGACCCACACACAAGACCAGGCAGAGCAAACAAACGTAGAGGAGAAGGGCTGGGGGCAAAGTCCTGGGGAGAGGACCAGCCACTGTCAGCAGTGCCAGGGCCACCACCCCTGGGGAGGAGCCATTGGGCTACTCTTGAGGGGCCAGAGGTGAGCCTGAACACTCCACAGCTGCTGCTCCTAGGGAGGAGCTGGTACCATGGGTGTCAGGCAACAGTTGGCCTTGCTGCTGCTGCTGCTGCTCCTGCTCTGGGGCCTGGGGCAGCCAGTGTGGCCAGTCGCTGTGGCCTTGACCCTGCGCTGGCTCCTGGGGGATCCCACATGTTGCGTGCTACTTGGGCTGGCCATGTTAGCACGGCCCTGGCTCGGCCCCTGGGTGCCCCATGGGCTGAGCCTGGCAGCTGCGGCCCTGGCACTAACCCTCCTGCCAGCACGGCTGCCCCCAGGACTACGCTGGCTGCCGGCTGATGTGATCTTCTTGGCCAAGATCCTCCACCTGGGCCTGAAGATCAGGGGATGCTTGAGCCGGCAGCCGCCTGACACCTTTGTAGATGCCTTCGAGCGGCGAGCACGAGCGCAGCCTGGCAGGGCACTCTTGGTGTGGACGGGGCCTGGGGCCGGCTCAGTCACCTTTGGTGAGCTGGATGCCCGGGCCTGCCAGGCGGCATGGGCCCTGAAGGCTGAGCTGGGTGACCCTGCGAGCCTGTGTGCCGGGGAGCCTACTGCCCTCCTTGTGCTGGCTTCCCAGGCCGTTCCAGCCCTGTGTATGTGGCTGGGGCTGGCCAAGCTGGGCTGCCCAACAGCCTGGATCAACCCGCATGGCCGGGGGATGCCCCTGGCGCACTCTGTGCTGAGCTCTGGGGCCCGGGTGCTGGTGGTGGACCCAGGTGAGGGCCTTGGAGCCAGTGGAGAATGGAAGGGGGCAAGGGCAGGGACTATAGGACAGGGGTTCTGCTGGGACTGGCAGAGGCCCTTGGTCCCCACCTGCCTACTTTCACAGGCAATTATAATCAAGACTTATGAGCAGAAAGTAGTTCTCAGGTCATCAGAGTTTAATTTTCCCACAATTTGACCAAAAATACTAATGATGGGATTCTTTACCAAACAACATGGATGCTTTTCTCTACTAGCTGCTCCTCTGCCTGCATCTGTGGGTCTCAGATCCCGCCTCGCAACCTCAAAGGTGAGCCTTGCCTCTGTTTCTCCTCTGACCCATCTCTGCAGACCTCCGGGAGAGCCTGGAGGAGATCCTTCCCAAGCTGCAGGCTGAGAACATCCGCTGCTTCTACCTCAGCCATACCTCCCCTACACCAGGGGTGGGGGCTCTGGGGGCTGCCCTGGATGCAGCGCCCTCCCACCCAGTGCCTGCTGACCTGCGTGCTGGGATCACATGGAGAAGCCCTGCCCTCTTCATCTATACCTCGGGGACCACTGGTGAGGGTGCCCATTAGCCCTAGCACCAGCCTCTGAACTCTCAGGCTGACCTGACCCCACACTTGACTTGTGACTCAGTGTTGACCTCTGAAACCACTTTACCCTCTGATTTTGACATTTGTTTTTTGTTTGGCTGTTTTTTTTTTCGAGGCAGAGTCTCGCTCTGTCGCCTAGGCTGGACTGCAGTGGTGCAATCTCGGCTCACTGCAACCTCCACCTCCTGGGTTCAAGCAATTCTCTTGCCTCAGCCTCCTGAGTAGCTGGGATTACAGGCACACACCACTATGCCCAGCTAATTTTTGTATTTTTGGTAGAGACAGGGTTTCCCCAAGTTAGCCAGGCTGGTCTCTAACCCCTGACCTCAGGGGACCTGCCCAACTCAGCCTCTCAAAATGCTGGGATTACAGGCGTGAGCCACTGCTCCCAGACTTGATTTTGATATTTGGCCTGAACTCTGACCCCCAATGTAATTTGAGAGGTCAATGCCAGAATTCTTCCTGTGTCCAGTAAACAGCCACTGAAACCTTTGATCTTGACATATTACTTTCAGTCCAAATTCAGCCTGTGAACCCAACCACAAATCCCTATACTTGACTGTTCTCTGAGAGCCTCAAACCCCAATGTAGGCCTGGCTGTTGGAGATCTATCCCTCTGGTCAGGCCCCTCTCTGTGCTGTCATGTCACCACCCTGCCCTTGCCATGCCTTCATCCCAAGGCCTCCCGAAGCCAGCCATCCTCACGCATGAGCGGGTACTGCAGATGAGCAAGATGCTGTCCTTATCTGGGGCCACAGCTGATGATGTGGTTTACACGGTCCTGCCTCTGTACCACGTGATGGGACTTGTCGTTGGGATCCTCGGCTGCTTAGATCTCGGTAAGCCCACTTCTGAGGATCCCTCCAGTCTACAGGACCACGGGAGTAAGTGTCGGCGTGGGGCTGTCAAGGCAAAAAGACACCATAGGTTACCCAGCACCCTGTGTTCTCACTTTTGAGAAGGGACACCCACCAATGACTACCAGGGCCGCATGGACAGAAGCTTGGACACCCACACAGTCCCTGATGGCCATGCTTTGGTCAGGAGGTGACAAGACCTGATACGAGTGATGGTCACAGGCATCCAAGGAAGGTGTGGTGCTCAGGAGATGATGGGGATGCTGGCCCAGATTTGTGACATGGCCCCAAGGGCAGCTGGAGTAGGAGTGCTCTCAAGCACTCCACAGGGCTGTCTCTCTGGACTCTTGATTCAGAGTCTAGATGGGGACCTCTCCATAGCTTGTTCTTTTTGTTTTCTCTCTTTTTTTTTTATTTTAATTTTTATTTATTTATTTTTTTTCGAGACAGAGTCTTGCTTTGTCACCCAGGCTGGAGTGCAGAGGCATGATCTTGGCTCACTGCAACCTCTGCCTCCTGGGTTCAAGCAATTCTCCTGCCTCATCCTCCTGAGTAACTGGGATTACAGGCGCCCACCACCACGCCCGGCTAATTTTTGTAGTTTTAGTAGAGACGGGATTTCACCATCTTGGCCAGGCTGGTCTTGAACTCCTGACCTCGTGATCCACCTGCCTTGGCCTCCCAAAGTGCTGAGATTACAGGTGTGAGCCACCGCACCTGGCTATTTTCTCTCTCTCTCTCTTTTTTTTTTTGAGACAGAGTCTCGCTCTGTCGCCCAGGCTGGAGTGCGGTGGCATGATCTCGGCTCACTGCAAGCTCCGCCTTCCAGGTTCAAGCGATTTTCCTGCCTCAGCCTCCTGAGTAGCTGGGATTACAGGCACGCACCACCACGCCCAGCTAATTTTTGTATTTTTACTAGAGACTAGGTTTCACCATGTTGGTCAGGCTGGTCTCAAACTCCTGACCTTGTGATCTGCCCACATTTGCGGGCATTTGCCTCCCAAAGCGCTGGGATTACAGGTGTGACCCACCACGCCCGGCCTTTTTGTGTTTTCCAGCTATTATCATGGCCATGTGTGGTTGCTCATGCCTATAATCCCTGCACTTTGGGTGCCAAGGCAGGAGGATCACTTGAGTCCAGGAGTTCAACACCAGCGTGGGCAACATAGTAAGAGGCCATCTGTTAAAAAAAAATTTTAAAAAGCCACGCATGGTGGTATCGGGGGAACCTGCCCCTAATATTTCAATGTAGGTTCTTTTTTTTTTTTTTTTTGAGATGGAGTCTCGCTCTGTCGCCCAGGCTGGAGTGCAGTGGTGCGATCTCAGCTCACTGCAAGCTCTGCCTCCTGGGTTCATGCCATTCTCCTGCCTCAGCCTCCCCAGTAGCTGGGACTACAGGCGCCTGCCACCGCGCCCGGCTAATTTTTTGTATTTTTAGTAGAGATGGGGTTTCACATTTAGCCAGGATGGTCTCAATCTCCTGACCTCATGATCCTCCCACCTCGGCCTCCCAAAGTGCTGGGATTACAGGTGTGAGCCACTGTGCCCGGCCTCGATGTAGGTTCTTTCTATTTTCCGTAAGTGCTGGCCAGCTGAGAAATAAAGAGAAAGAGTACAAAGAGAGGAATTTGACAGCTGGGCCTCCGGGGGTGACATCACATATCGGTAGGACCATGATGCCCACCTGAGCTCAAAGCCAGCAAGTTTTATTAAGGATTTCAGAAGGGAAGGGGGTGTAAGAACCGAGAATAGGTACAAAGATCACATGCTTCAAAGGGCAAAAAACGGAACTACTGATCAGGGTCCAACAAAGATCACAAGGCAAAGGGCAAAAGCAGAACTGATAAGGGTCTATGTTCAGTGGTGCACATATTGTCTTGATAAACATCTTAAACAACAGAAAACAGGGTTCAAGAGCAGAGAACTGGTCTGACCTCAAATTTACCAGGGCGGGGTTTTTCCCCACCCTAGTAAGCCTGAGGGTACTGCAGGAGACCAGGGTGCATCTCAGTCCTTATCTCAACTGCATAGGACAGACATTCCCAGAGCGGCCATTTATAGACCTCCCCCCAGGAATGAATTCCTTTCCCAGGGTCTTAATGTTAATATTCCTTGCTAGGAAAATAATTTAGCAATATCTCTCCTACTTGCACGTCCACTTATAGGCTCTCTGCAAGAAGAAAAATATGGCTCTTTTTGCCCAGCCCCGCAGGCAGTCAGACCTTAGGGTTGTCTTCCCTTGTTCCCTAAAATCACTCTCATTCTGTTCTTTTTCAATGTGCGCTGATTTCACATTGTTCAAACACACATTTTACAATCAATTTGTACAGTTAACACAATTATCACAGGGTCCTGAGGTGACGTACATCCTCAGCTTATGAAGATAACAGGATTAAGAGATGAAAGTAAGACAGGCGTAAGAAATTATAAGAGTATTATTTGGGAAGTGATAAATGTCCATGTTATCTTCACAATTTATGTTCCTCTGCCGTGGCTCCAGCCGGTCCGTCTGTTAGGGGTCCCTGACTTCCCGCAACAGTGGTGAGCACTTGTGAGCGATTCTTCTGCCTCAGCATCCCGAGTAGCTGTTATTACAGGTGCCCACCACTATGCCCGGCTAATTTTTGAATTTTTAGTATAGGTGGGGTCTCACCATGTTGGCCAGGCTGGTCTCCAACACCTGACCTCATGATCCACCCACCTCAGCCTCCCAAAGTGCTGGGATTACAGGCATGAGCCACCGCGCCCGGCCAAATTTTTCTTTTTTTTTTAATTATGAAAAGTTTAGCTGTGCCCGGTGGTTCACGCCTGTAATCCCAGCACTTTGGGAGGCTGAGGCGGGTGGATCACCTGAGGTCAGGAGTTCAAGACAAGCCTGGTCAACATAGTGAAATCTGTCTCTACTTAAAATACAAAAATTAGCCAGTCATGGTGGCTCACGCCTGTAATCCCAGCACTTTGGGAAGCTGAGGCCACTGGATCACCTGAAATCAGGAGTTTGAGACCAGCCTGGCCAACATGGTAAAACCCTGTCTGTACTGAAAATACAAAATTAGCTGGGCGTGGTGATGCGAGCCTGTGTTTCCAGCTACTCGGGAGGCTGAGGCAGGAAAATCGCTTCAACCTGGGAGGCGGGGGTTGCAAAAAGAGTGAAACTCCCTTGCAAAAAAAAAAAAAAAGTGAAAATAGTTTGATGACATCTCATGTATCTTCGCCCAGCATCAATAATTGTTAACATGTTGCCAGTTTAATTTCGCATATACTTCTCTGTTTCTTTTTTGTTTGTTTTTGAGACACAGTCTCGCTCTGTCACCCAGGCTGGAGTGCAGTGGCACCATCTCAGATCACCACAACCTCTGCCTCCCGGGTTCAAGCAATTCTCTGCTGAGGCTGAGCCTCCTGAGTAGCTGGGATTACAGGCATGCGCCTCCACACCTGGCTAATGTTTGTATTCTTAGTAGAGACGGGGTTTTGCCATGTTGGCCAGGCTGGTCTCGAACTCCTGACCTCAGGTGATCCACCTACCTCGGCCTCCCAAAGTGCTGGGATTACAGGCGTGAACCACCGCGCCTGGCGTCTGTTTGTTTTCAAACTTTTATCATGGCCAGGTGTGGTTCCTCATGCCTATAATCCCTGCACTTTGGGGTACCAAGGCAGGAGGATCACTTGAGCCCAGGAGTTCAACACCAGCCTGGGCAACATAGTGAGAGTCCATCTGTTAAAAAAAAAAAAAAGCCAGGCATGGTGGTGAGCACTTGTGAGCGATTCTCCTGCCTCAGCCTCCCTAGTAGCTGTTATTACAGGCTCCCACCACCGTGCCTGGCTAACTTTTGTATTTTTAGTAGAGACAGGGTTTAACCATGTTGGCCAGGCTGGTCTCGAACTCCTGACCTCGTGATCCGCCCGCCTCGGCCTCCCAAAGTGCTGGGATTACAGGTGTGAACTACCGTGCCCGGCCAAATGTTTTTTTTTTTTTTTTTGAGTCGGGGTTTCACTATTGTTGCCCAGGATGGAATGCAATGGCGCGATGTCGGCTCACTGCAACCTCTGCCTCCTGGGTTCAAGCGATTCTCCTGCCTCAGCATCCCAAGTAGCTGGGATTACAGGCATGTGCCCTCACGACCGGCTAATTTTTTTTTATGTTTTTAGTAGAGATGGGGTTTCTCCATGTTGGTCAGGCTTGTCTCAAACTCCCGACCTCAGGTGATCCGCCCACCTCAGCCTCGCAAAGTGCTGGGATTACAGGCGTGAGCCACTGCGCCCGGCCAAATTGTTTTTTTAATTATGAAAAGTTTAGGCTGTGCCCAGTGGTTTACGCCTGTAATCCCAGCACTTTGGGAGGATGAGTCTGGTGGATCACCTGAGGTCAGGAGTTCAAGATCAGCCTGGCTAACATGGCAAAATCCGTCTCTACCTAAAATACAAAAATTACCGGGGCATGGTGGCTCACGCCTGTAATCCCAGCACTTTGGGAGGCTGAGGCCGGCGGAACACCTGAAGTCAGGAGTTTGAGACCAGCCTGGCCAACATGGTGAAACCCTGTCTCTACTGAAAATACAAAATTAGCTGGGTATGGTGGTGGGCGCCTGTATTTCCAGCTACCAGGGAGGCTGAGGCAGGAGAATCGCTTGAACCCGGGGCGCAGGGGTTGCAGTGAGCCGAGATCTAGCCATTGCATTCCAGCCTGTGCAAAAAGCGAGACTCTGTCTCAAAAAAAAAAAAAAAAAAAAGTGAAAATAGTTTGATGACATCTCAGGTATCTTCACCCAGCTTCAATAATTGTTAACATGCTGCCAGTTTAATTTCTTTTTTTTTTTTTCTTTGAGATGGAGTCTCGCTCTGTCGCCCAGGCTGGAGTGCAGTGGCGCAATCTCTGCTCACGGCAAGCTCCGCCTCCTGGGTTCATGCCATTCTCCTGCCTAAGTCTCCGGAGTAGCTGGGACTACAAGTGACCGCCACCACGCCTGGCTATTTTTTTTGTATTTTTAGTAGAGACAGGGTTTCACGGTGTTCACCAGGATGGTCTCAATCTCCTGACCTCGTGATCCGCCCGCCTCGGCCTCCCAAAGTGCTGGGATTACAGGCATGAGCCACCGCGCCCAGGGCCAGTTTAATTTCACATGTACTTCCCTGTTTCTTTTTTGTTTGTTTGTTTGTTTTTGAGACAGAGTCTCGCTCTGTCGCCCAGGCTGGAGTGCAGTGGCACCATCTTGGGTCACCGCAAGCTCCGCCCCGCCCGCCCCCCCCCCCCCCCCAGGGTTCAATCAGTTTTCTGCCTCAGCCTCCTGAATAGCTGGGATTACAGGCACGCACCGCCACAAGCGGCTAATTTTTGTATTTTTAGTAGAGACAGGGTTTCGCCATGTTGGCCAGGCTGGTCTCAAACTCCTGACCTCAGGTGATCCACCTGCCTCGGCCTCCCAAAGTGCTGGGATTACAGGCGTGAGCCACCGTGCCCAGCCACTTCCCTATTTTTTTCCAGAATATATCAGAGCAAATCCTAGACACTGCATCTTTATGCTTGTAAATATTGCAGTACATATCTCTAACATATAAGCACTGAAGAAACTGTAACCAAAGTGATTATTACACGTAACAACATTAATATCATATGATGTCCTTAATATCATATGATGTAACCCCTTAATATCATATGATGTCCAGTCTATGTTCAGATTTCTCCAATGGGCTGTTTTGGTTTGGTTTTGTTTTTAGAGACAGAGTCTTGCTTTGTCACCCAGGCTGGAGTACAGTTGTGTGATGTTGGCTCACTACAACCTCTGCCTCCTGGGTTCAAACGATTCTCATGCCTCATCCTCCTGAGCAGTTGTGATTACAGGTGTGGACCACCATGCCCAGCTAATTTTTTTGTATTTTTAGTAAAGACAGGGTTTCGCCCTGTTGGCCAGTCTGGTCTTGAACTTCTGGCCTCAAGTGATCTGAACACGTTGGCCTCCCAAAGTGCTGAGATTACAGGTGTGAGCTACTGTGCCCAGCCAATTGGCTGTTTTTTTGTTTGTTTGTTTGTTTGTTTGTTTTTAACAATTAAACAGTCTCCCCATTGTATTTGCTTGTAGGTCTCTGTTCCCCTTTCATCTGCATTTCTTGTTAAATTGGAAACTTTAACTAGAGGTGTTGTTAGATTCAGTTTTTTTCTTTTTCTTTTGAGACAGGGTCTCACTCTGTCACCCAGGCTGGAGTGCAGTGGTGTAAGCTCGGCTCACTACAGCCTCCCCCTCCTGGGTTCAAGCGATTCTTCCACCTCAGCCTCCCGAGTAGCTGGGACTACAGGTGTGCGCCACCACGCCTGGCTAATTTTTGCATTTTTTGGTAGAGATAGGGTTTCACCATGTTGGCTAGGCTGGTCTCAAACTCCTGATCTTTCAGGTGATCCACCCCCCTCAGCCTCCCAAAGTGTTGGGATAACAGGTGTGAGCCACCACGCCCAGCCCCCTATATCTTATTAATCCATGTGTCCATACGTCAATACAACCATACAAACATTCACCAACCCACCCATCTACCTACTCACCTACTTCCTCACTCATTCATTCATTCATCCACCCACCCATCTATCCATCCTTACACCTATCCATCTTTCTCTTTTTCTTTTTTTTTTTTTTTAAGACAGAGTCTCACTCTGTCGCCCAGGCTGGAGTGCAGTGGCGCTATCTCGGCTCACTGCAAGCTCCGCCTCCCAGGTTCACGCCATTCTCCTGCCTCAGCCTCCCGAGTAGCTGGGACTACAGGCGCCCGCTACCACGCCCAGCTAATTTTTTGTATTTTCAGTAGAGACGGGTTTCACCGTGTTAGCCAGGATGGTCTTGATCTCCTGACCTCGTGATCCGCCCACCTCGGCCTCCCTAAGTCCTGGGATTACAGGCGTGACGATCCTCACCCAGCCACCTATCCATCTTTCTACCCCCCTGCCTCTGCATGTCACTGTCCAGCCATCCATCTACTCACTCACTACTCTAACTGTCCACCCATCCATCTACTCACTCACTACTCTAACTGTCCAGCCATCCATCTACTCACTCACTACTCTAACTGTCCACCCATCCATCTACTCACTCACTACTCTAACTGTCCACCCATCCATCTACTCACTCACTACTCTAACTGTCCACCCATCCATCTACTCACTCACTACTCTAACTGTTCACCCATCCATCTTCTCACTCACTACTCTGTCCACACATCCATCTTCTCACTCACTACTCTGTCCACCCATCCATCTACTCACTCACTACTCTAACTGTCCACCCATCCATCCACTCACTCACTACTCTAACTGTTCACCCATCCATCTTCTCACTCACTACTGTAACTGTTCACCCATCCATCTACTCACTCACTACTCTGTTCACCCATCCATCTTCTCACTCACTACTCTAACTGTCCACACATCCATCTTCTCACTCACTACTCTGTCCACCCATCCATCTACTCACTCACTACTCTAACTGTCCACCCATCCATCCACTCACTCACTACTCTAACTGTTCACCCATCCATCTTCTCACTCACTACTCTAACTGTTCACCCATCCATCTACTCACTCACTACTCTGTCACCCATCCATCTACTCACTCACTACTCTAACTGTCCACCCATCCATCTACTCACTCACTACTCTAACTGTTCACCCATCCATCTACTCACTCACTACTCTGTCCACCCACCCATCTACTCACTCACTACTCTAACTGTCCATCCATTCATCTTTCCATCCATCCACCATATCCATCCACCTGCCCACCCATCTGCTTAGCTGGGCATTCATTTATCGTAATCAAGAGTGATTTGAGCTTCGAGTCAGTGACAAGCCAAAATAAAAATTAAAAATGTGGCTGGGCACAGAGGCTCATGCCTGTAATCAC
This sequence comes from Homo sapiens, assembly GCF_000001405.40. NCBI lineage: Eukaryota > Metazoa > Chordata > Mammalia > Primates > Hominidae > Homo > Homo sapiens. The sequence continues at coordinate 58,501,945 of NC_000019.10, read as the reverse complement.
AGCACTTTGGAGGCCGAGGCGGGTGGATCACCTGAAAGGTCAGGAGTTCAAGACCAGCCTGGCCAACATGGTGAAACCCCGTCTGTACTTAAAAAAGTACAAAAATTAGCCAGCTGTGGTGGCGGGTGCTTGTAATCCCAGCAACTCAGAAAGCTGAGGCAGGAGAATCGCTTGAACCCGGGAGGGAGAGGTTGCAGTGAGCGGAGATTGCACCACTGCACTCCAGCCTGGGCAACAGAGCGAGACTCCGTCTCAAAAATAAAAATAAAAAATTTAATATTTACAGCCCTTATTTAGCATTGCTCACTTTATAACAGGCACGGAGCTTTCCCGGCATCCTGGAGACAGGATTTGAACCCAGGCCTGCCTATGCTCTTCTAGTGAGAGCAGTCCTGGCTGGGCCAAGGACACAAAGATGAACTCAGTATTGTCCTGTATTTCAGGGTGTGGGGGTGGGTGAGCACAGGTGCTAAAAGCAGCTTCTTACAACAATTTGGAAGCATGACCTGAAACCCCCTCTCCTGTCATCTCCCAGGAGCCACCTGTGTTCTGGCCCCCAAGTTCTCTACTTCCTGCTTCTGGGATGACTGTCGGCAGCATGGCGTGACAGTGATCCTGTATGTGGGCGAGCTCCTGCGGTACTTGTGTAACATTCCCCAGGTGAGGCTCTAAGATTAGGGCTCCATGGTGAACACCCAAGTATGAAATCCCAGGTAAAGGTCTCAGGTAAAGATTCAGGTACTGAACTCAAGTCCCTCAGATAATACACCTCATGCAAGAACCCCAGATAATGAGTTTCAGACAAGGCTTCCAATAATGGTTTCTTTGATAGCTGTGCTACCTTGAGCCTCAGTGTCCTCATTTGGAAAACAGGGATAATAGCCCCTACCCCTATCATGAGAATTTCCATTAAAAATTAATTAATTAAAATTAAATTTCCATTAAATTAAAGTTCTAGGTAACTACTCTTAGGTGAGACCCCAGATGAGGCCTCCAGTCACCTCTGGTAACGTCCCCCAGGCAAAGCTCTGAGGTCGCCCCTGCAGGTAACCCTCTATTTAAGACTCCAGTAACTACTCTCATGTAAGTAACCCAGGTAGATCCCTTAGGTAGAGGTCCCCCATCACCTTCCAGGTAACTCCCAAGGTAAGGACCCAGGATAACACCCCCTCTAGGTAAAGGTTCCAAGGCATGCCCCAAGAGCACCTCCTCCTCACCCTTCTGGGGACATTCCTGTAGCAACCAGAGGACCGGACACATACAGTCCGCCTGGCAATGGGCAATGGACTACGGGCTGATGTGTGGGAGACCTTCCAGCAGCGCTTCGGTCCTATTCGGATCTGGGAAGTCTACGGCTCCACAGAAGGCAACATGGGCTTAGTCAACTATGTGGGGCGCTGCGGGGCCCTGGGCAAGATGAGCTGCCTCCTCCGAGTGAGTGTGCGGGTACCTGGTGTGCAGCTGCCCTGAGGCTGAGCCCACAGGACCTATGTCAACACTCCACCCTCCACCCCAGATGCTGTCCCCCTTTGAGCTGGTGCAGTTCGACATGGAGGCGGCGGAGCCTGTGAGGGACAATCAGGGCTTCTGCATCCCTGTAGGGCTAGGTATGGGGGTTGAGGAGCCTTTCCTGGGTGGCAGGGGTGGCGACCCTCAGTCTTCTGCTTGGCTGGAACGAGCTGCTCAAAAGCTTGACGTTGGTGCTCACTAGAGGGGTCTGCAGCCTTCATCTGGACCCTGAGCCAGTGGCCTGCCTTACCACCATCTGGGGCCTCCGCCTCAGCTTCTCGGCTCTGTCCAGCTCCCCTGCCTTGATCTCTTGCTCTGATTTACTGGGTCTCTGGGTGTCCATCTGATTTGTTCTCTTGAGCTTTCTGTGGAAGACGGCATTCCAGCCATTGGTCCCTTGTCCTGTACCTTCTGTTAGTGTCTTCTCCCAGGGCCTTGCAAGGTCCTGGTCATATCTATTCTCACTGCCATTTGTCTGTCCGTCTTCCATCCCTTGTTATCCTTTTCCTGTTTCTCATGGGCTCCCCATACCGCCTTCTCTATACTTCTCTCTCATTTTCTGTGTCGCTTGTCGCAGTCTCTCAAGGTCTCTGAATGTCTCTCTCATCTCTGGATCTCCCTGTCTGTGTCTTTGGGTCTGTCCTTGGCAGGGTGCTGGGTGATGAAGAGTCCACCGTTGTTGAAAACCTCCAGCAGGGGGCTTGGCTGGTGGGCTCCAGGGGTTCTTGTTCCTGCTCCTACCCCAGGGGAGCCGGGGCTGCTGCTGACCAAGGTGGTAAGCCAGCAACCCTTCGTGGGCTACCGCGGCCCCCGAGAGCTGTCGGAACGGAAGCTGGTGCGCAACGTGCGGCAATCGGGCGACGTTTACTACAACACCGGGGACGTACTGGCCATGGACCGCGAAGGCTTCCTCTACTTCCGCGACCGCCTCGGGGACACCTTCCGGTCCGAGGCAGGGTTTCTCGGGGCGGGGCTGGCGCGGGGCCACGGACGCTTTCAGATCCTAGAGGGAGTCAGGCTGAAGAGGCGGGACTTTCCTGTCGTAAGAGGGCGGAACTTGGAGTCAGGACTTCTCACGCGAAGGCGGGGCTTCTCGATTTTCGAGGGGGCGGGGCTGACTGGGCCTCCTGATCCCCAAAAGGGGCGGGGCGGGGGCAAGAGGCGGGGCCTCTCCTTCCCGGGGGCGTGGTCACAAGCGCCGGCTCCCTCCTTGCAGATGGAAGGGCGAGAACGTGTCCACGCACGAGGTGGAGGGCGTGTTGTCGCAGGTGGACTTCTTGCAACAGGTTAACGTGTATGGCGTGTGCGTGCCAGGTGCGGAGGGTTCTCATTTTAAACTTCCAACAGCTTTGTGGGTGGAGGGGTCGTTATTCTGATTTTACAGGTGGGGAAGTGCTAGGGCCCAGAGAGGTTTAGAGACTTGCTGGCTCTCACAGCCAGTGAGCAGAGCTGGGCGAGGCTGGAGGGTCAGCTATGGGCCCTCGAGATGGGTCAGCCGAGAGTGACCAGACTGCTCTCTAGGTTGTGAGGGTAAGGTGGGCATGGCTGCTGTGCAGCTAGCCCCCGGCCAGACTTTCGACGGGGAGAAGTTGTACCAGCACGTTCGCGCTTGGCTCCCTGCCTACGCTACCCCCCATTTCATCCGCATCCAGGTGAGCCCAGGGTGGCCTGGTGGGTGGGTGGAAGATCATAGCCAGGGGGCGGGTGGATGTCACAGTGATTGGACCATGGTCACTGCCCTGCAGGACGCCATGGAGGTCACCAGCACGTTCAAACTGATGAAGACCCGGTTGGTGCGTGAGGGCTTCAATGTGGGGATCGTGGTTGACCCTCTGTTTGTACTGGACAACCGGGCCCAGTCCTTCCGGCCCCTGACGGCAGAAATGTACCAGGCTGTGTGTGAGGGAACCTGGAGGCTCTGATCACCTGGCCAACCCACTGGGGTAGGGATCAAAGCCAGCCACCCCCACCCCAACACACTCGGTGTCCCTTTCATCCTGGGCCTGTGTGAATCCCAGCCTGGCCATACCCTCAACCTCAGTGGGCTGGAAATGACAGTGGGCCCTGTAGCAGTGGCAGAATAAACTCAGATGTGTTCACAGAAGTCTGTATGTCTGCGTGGATGAAGGAGCAATGGAGGAGTGCAGGGGCTAGTGCCCTGAAGACCTTATTTTAGGGTCTTCCCTGTCTCCCAGCAAAGAACCTCAGCCATCCCTGTGGGATGACCCTGTCTGTGTAACGCCAAGGGTGTGGGAGGAGCTGGCCAGCCTCGCAGCTGCTCTGAGGTAGAGAGATGAGAACTCTGATTCTCATCTGTGGGTCTTTGGTGGGCCACTGAGGCGGTGGCTGGGCCAGTGGATGTGGATAACTCCCCTGTGAAGTGCTGTGGATACACAATCTGACAAAGCCTGGAGGTTGCTGGACTGAGGCTAGAAGGGCAAGCAGGAGGTAACTGGGGGAGGAGTGTCCCTGGCACTGTGAACGGCACGTGTAGAGGCCCTGGGGCAAGCTTTGTAGGTGGGGAGCAGTGGGAGCAGAGGCCTCTGGAAAATGGGAGTCTGCACAGTCTCAGGAGTTGGACCTGCTACCCGAAGCCTAGTGGAGATGTAGGTGGGGGTGTGTGGGTGCTGAGCCTCTGCCTCCAAGGCTTCTCGGCCCAGTAGGAACTGAAGGTGAGGCTACAGACACTGGAACAGTTGTGGTGGTGCCAGGCCGGTGGTCCATGGGTTAACTTTGGGAGCACAGCTGGGGTGATGATGGTGAGAAAAGGAACCCCACAGCAGTAAACGCCATATGCAAAGGGCTGTCCGTGGGCAGTGCTGCAGACTGCGACCCTGCCCATCCCTTCTCGTGTGCATAGTAAACACACCCCACAGCAATGCTTAAGCACACCTGAGAATGGCCCTGTGTGGCAGACGCACCTGAGTGTGGTTCAGAGTTCCCAGCTAAGGAATCTCAGAGATTCATTCCTTATTTTTGAGGAACATCTGGGTCCTTAGCCCTGTCCCATGGAATGCTGGTGGTATAAGGGATCCTGGCCTTTTGCTTTCAGTTAAATGAAGGTTGCCAGGGGGAGGATGTTAAGTGAAAATGCCATATAAACTGCATGCTTTTTGCAAGTGGTTCTCCTGCCCAGCCCACCGCCCCTGGACTCTCCCCGGTATGTAAGCCCCCAGTAAAACCCTACATCTTGTTTGCTGGCTCTTAGTCTCTTCTTCGGCCTCTTGAACCTGGTGCCGTCCCCATTGGAGTCAGTAGGGGTTTGGCACAATACTGTGCTCTCCCGTGCCTCAGCCTCCTCATCAGGCTATGGGCCACTTTGAGACAGAACTAGCCTTCGAAGGGAGCAGTGCAGGCAGCACCCCACGTGGGCTGTGAGGCAGCTGGGCTTCACAGAGTTCCTGGTAGCATTCGAGGCTCTTCCTGTCAGCCCTGCAGCCTGGAGCTGAGACAGTATCCTTTTCAGTTGGGGTCCCACTATGAGCATCTGTTTGTCATTGGTGGTGGCCGTGCACTGTAATTCTCTTCTGCGAAGTGATAGTTGTTGTGACTTGCTATTTCTGTGCCCTGTGTGGCCAGTGGAGCCCCACATGTTCCCTGAAGAGCCCTGGCCCTTTCATACAACTGGACTTGGATCCTCCCACGCACACAGTAGGTTGTCCAGTTCCTTCATACTCCTCCAGCCTGGGTGACAGAGTGAGACTCCGTCTCAAAAAAAAAAAAAAAAAAAAAAAAGAACCCTCACGTCCTTGTTAGTATAGTGGGAAAAAAAGAAGAATAACCCTTGTGGACTCACCTGGGGCCAGGCTAGAGCTGATACTTTTTTTTTTTTTGAGACAGAGTCTCGCTCTATCACCGAGGCTGTGGTGCAATGGTGCAATCTCAGCTCACTGCAAGCTCCGCCTCCCGGGTTCATGCCACTCTCCTGCCTCAGCCTCCTGAGTAGCTGGGACTACAGGTGCCCGCCACCACGCCCGGCTTTCTTTTTGTATTTTTAGTAGAGAGGGGGTTTCACCGTGTTAGCCAGGATGGTCTAGATCTCCTGACCTCATGATCCTCCCACCTCGGCCTCCCAGAGTGCTGGGATTACAGGTGTGAGCCACTGTGCCTGGCCTAGAGCTGATATCTTCACCACATCTCATGGGATGAGTTGTGTTGTGTTGCTCCCACCATAGTTGAGGAAGCCCCAGCCAAGAGAGGTGCTTTCCCCATGAGTTACTTGCCAAGCCCATTGTTGCAGGTGTTGGATCAGAGGGTGTGGATGTTGTAGAAATATCTCACTGTGGATCCTCAGCTTTACAAGTTCACCAGCACTTTATACAAATCCGTGCCTCCCTAAGCCCTAGCTAGCTTGGGGCATTCATAGTTTTTGCTATTACATTTGCAAGGATTAAAAAATAATATTTGATTAGCTGGGTGTGGTGGTATGCACCTGTAATCCCAGCTACTCAGGAGGCTGAAGCAGGAGAATCGCTTGAACTTGGGAGGTGGAGGTTGTAGTGAGCCAAGATTGCACCACTGCACTCCACTTTAGGCAACAGAGCTGAGAGTCTGTCTCAAAATAATAATAATAATTTTTGAGGCTGGGTGCAGTGGCTGACGCCTGTAATCCCAGCACTTTGGGAAGCCGAGGTGAGTGGATCATGAGGTCAGGAGTTTGAGACCAGCCTGGCCAACATAGTGAAACCCCGTCTCTACTAAAAATACAAAAAATTAGCCAGGTGTGGTGGTGCATGCCTGTAATCCCAGCTACTCAGGAGGCTGAGGCAGGAGAATCACTTGAACTCAGAAGGTAAAAGTTGCAGTGAGCTGAGATGGCGCCATTGCACTGCAGCCTGGGTGACAGGGCAAGACTCCGTCTCAGAAAAAATAAATAGGCGGGCGCGGTGGCTCAGGCCTGAAATCCCAGCACTTTGGGAGGCCAAGGTGGGTGGATCATGAGGTCAAGAGATCGAGACCAGCCTGGCCAACATGGTGAAACCCCGTCTCTACTAAAAATACAAAAAATTAGCTGGGTGTGGTGGCGGATGCCTGTAGTCCCAGCTACTCGGGAGGGTGAGGCAGGAGAATCTCTTGAGCTGGGGAGGCAGAGGTTGCAGTGAGCTGAGATTGCACCACTACACTCCAGCCTGGCGACAGAGCGAGACTCCGTCTCAAAAAATAAAATAAAAATAAATAAATAAATAAATTTAAATAATAATATAATTTTTGGCTGGGTGCAGTGGCTCATGCTTGTAATCCTAGCACTTTGGGAGGCCAGGGTCGGAGGACCACTTCACCCTAGGAGGTCAAGATCAGCCTGGGCAACATAGTGAGACCACGTCTCTAGAAAAAAAATTAAAAGTAAAAAAATTAGCCAGGAGTGGTATTGTGCACCTTTAGTCCTAGCTACTGGGCAGGCTGAGGCAGGAGGATGGCTTAAGCCCAGGAGTTTGAGGTAACAGTGAGCTATCATTGTGCTGCTGCACTCCATCCAGCCTGGGCAACAGAGGCAGGACCCTGTCTCTAAAATAAATAAAAATTTTAAAACTTTTTCTTATTCCCCCACTAGACTACAGATCTATGAAGTGTTTTTTATTCAATATATCACACACGTTATTCCTTTTCTCTTTTACTTTCCAAACAATTTTATTTAAAAAAAACCTGCAGTACAGTATTAAAAAGCAATACATTCAGCAGGAGTGACAACCAACAGAAACAAAGGGAGGAGGGTACGGAATACCAGGGACCCTACCTCAACTGATCCTCAGGGCTGGAGGCCAGGGGCAGACTGGGAGGAGCACGGGTGGTGGGGAAGGGAGAAAAGGGCACCCACCAAAATGAACAGGCAGAACAAAACATTTATATAGGAAATGTCTAGTTGAACTTGAGGATCTTGGGGAGACGGAAAAGCACCTTTTTTTTTTTTTTCCAAAAATATCCTGGACTATCAGGGAGGGTTGGCCTCCTGGGGCGAAATGAGCAGGCAGAGCCCTACCCTACACTCTACTATTGTGGAGGGGATGTGCTGGGGGCTGGTGACACACATTTTATTCTTCTTTTTTTTTTTTTTTTTTTTTGAGATGGAGTCTCACTCTTGTTGCCTAGGCTGGAGTGCAGTGGCACTATCTTGGCTCACTGCAAACTCCGCCTCCCGGAACCAAGTGATTCTCCTGCCTCAGCCTCCTGAGTAGCTGGGATTACAGGCACACACTACCACACCTGACTAATTTTTGTATTTTTAGTAGAGACGGGGTTTCACCATCTTGACCAGGCTGGTCTTGAACTCTTGACCTCGTGATCCACCCACGTCGGCCTCCCAAAGTGCTGGGGTTACAGGTGTGAGCCACTGCACCCTTTTTTTTTTTTTTTTTTGAGACGTAGTCTCACTCTGTCACCCAGGCTGGAGTACAGTTGCACAATCTGGGCTCACTGCAACCTCTGCCTCCCAGGTTCAAGTGATGCTCCTGTCTCAGCCTCCTGAGTAGGTGGGATTACAGGCATGTGCCACCAGGCTCAGCTAATTTTTGCATTTTTTTGGTAGAGATGGGGTTTCACTATGTTGGCCAGGCTGGTCTCGAACTCCTGACCTCAGGTGATCTGCCCGCCTTGGCCTCCCAACGTGCTGGGATGACAGGCGTGAGCCACCACACCCAGCGTATTCTTAATTTCATTCTATAAGTCTTTCTGTTTCTCCTGTCCCAAGCTGCTGTAATTAGCATAGGCTTGTAATATATATATATATATATATATATATATATATATATATTTTTTTTTTTTTTTTTTTTTTCTTTTTCTTTCTCTCTTTTTTTTTTTTTTTTTTTTTTTTTGAGAAGGAGTCTCTCTCTGTTGTCCAAGCTGGAGTGCAGTGGCTTGATCTCAGTTCACCGCAACCTCTGCCTCCCAAGTTGAAGCGATTCCCCCACCTCAGCCTCCTGAGTAGCTGGGATTATAGGTGTATGCCGCCACTCCTGGCTAATTTTTGTATTTTTAGTAGAGATGGAGTTTCACCATGTTGGCCGGGCTGGTCTCGAACCCCTGACCTCAGGTGATCCACCTGCCTCGGCCTCCCAAAGTGCTGGGATTACAGGTGTGAGCCACTGCACCTGGCGGAATTCCTACTCTTTACTTTTATTTCAAAACCTTCTTAGCTAGTCATGTGTCAGAACTCTTTCCCATTTATGTCTTTTCCCCCCAAAATTGCTGGTTAGGTATAGAAGTAAAAGGTGGTGGAGGGCACCATGCTTTCTTTATATTCTTATGGGTGGCTGCTAGTGTGGGGACTGGTTTTTTTGTTTTTTTTTTTCTTTTTTGAGATAGGGTCTCGCTCTGTCACCCAGGCTGGAGTGCAGTGGCACCATCATCGCTCACTGCACCCTTGACCTCCTAGGCTCAAGTGATCCCCCCCAGTAGCTGGGGCTGCAGGCATGCACCATCATGCCTTGCTAATTAAAAAAAACATATTTTCTTTTGTAGAGTTGGGATCTTACTGTGTTACCCAGGCTGGTCTCGAACTCCTGGGCTTAAGCGATCGTCTTGCTTCAGCTTCCCAAAGTGCTGGGATTATAGGAGTGATTCACTGTCCTAGGAAGGATTGTTTCTTTCTTTCTTTCTTCCTTTTTTTTTTTTTTTTTTTTTTTTTTTGAGATGGAGTCTAGCTCTGTCTCCCAGGCTGGAGTGCAGTGGCGCAATCTCGGCTCACTGCAAGCTCCGCCTCCCAGGTTCACGCCATTCTCCTGCCTCAGCCTCCTGAGTAGCTGGGACTACAGGCGCCCGCCACCACGCCTGGCTAATTTTTTTTTTTTTGTATTTTTTAGTACAGACGAGGTTTCACCGTGTTACCCAGGATGGTCTCGATCTCTTGACCTCGTGATCCGCCCCCCCCTTAGCCTCCCAGAGTGCTGGGATTACAGGCGTGAGCCACTGTGCCCGGCCCCAGGAAGGATTCTTGAAGTATCGGTGGATGCCCTCATGGGAGGACCAGTGACTCTCACGAAAAGCAGCCTTTGTTGTCCAAGTGAATAAATAATGCCTTTCATGTAAGCATGTGAGAAATACAGGCAGATGCTGTAGCGATGGCTCAGATGGTGACGTTTCTTACAGACTTTACCAAGTCCACGGTTTCTTCTCATCCTGCCTTTTCCTGGATGCCCGTGTTAAGTTCCCCGCTCCCACCCCTAATGACAGATGACTTCTCCCACCGACTTTCCGTATCCGACATTATGCTCTCGGGTTTGATGGTTCAAGATGACTTTTTCTCTATGAATGAATAAGTCAATGATGATTAACAGTGGTGGTAATGAGAGGTACCTCCTCACACAGATCCCTCTCTGCCTTGCTAGAACTTGCCTTACCCTGGTGAGGGTGCTCTGAAAAGGCATGGACGTGGCTGCTGGTCCTGCCTCTGGACCCACAGTGACTAGGGTCTCTCTGTTTTCTGACATGTCCAGGGAGGGCTGGGCAGAGCCTCATGGGTTAGAGGTGTGGGTCACGTCTCTGCTGTCCATGCTGGGAGTGAGTCATTGACAAGAGGGCCATGGAGAGGGCCTTTTCGGAAGGGCGGTTGGAAGGAACCTTCTGGAAGGGTGGCGTGGTGATCGTAGCCTGAGAGGCTGGATATGAGGAAATAGCAGGTGTGGCAGGAGGGGGATTCTTAGGGCCCATCTGGTGCTGGGGAGTAGGACTGACAGACCTGGTCCAGACAGGCCAGCAGGAAGTCAAGACTGAAGAGAGGGTTCCAGAGACCTGGGGAGGGGTCAAAAAGTGAGATAAGTGGGGCACCCACAGAAGGAGAGATGGTCTTGGAGCTCACAAGCAGCGGCGGGCACCAATGTCTGTGCAGTCATGTTCAGACACTGTTGGTGTTGCCGAGACCACGGAAAACACAAGCCCTGTGTGAAAGTGAACTGACCCCCACACCATGCCCAGTGCCCTTTGGCATCTGCTGTAGTAGGAGGAGGCTGCAGCCTGTGCAAACCCCAGGAAGGGGCTCGATTCTTGCAGATGGCACCAACTACAGAGGAATGGAGCTGGTGATGGACACTGGTAGGCAGGACTTCTCAAGTATGGTTCCAGGTGATAAACGGGGCTGTGTGGATGAACATCTATTAATGTAGACATTATCTATTTTAAGGTGACTTGAAATACTGTTTATTTTATTATTGCAAGATGTGGAAATTTACTTTAAAATAAATGTATGGGGCCGGGAGTGGTGGCTCACGCCTGTAATCCCAACACTTTGGTAAGGTGAGGCAGACAGATCCCTTGAGGCCAGGAGTTTGAGACCAGCCCGGCCAACAGGGCAAAACCCCATCTCTACTAAAAATATAAAAATTAGCCGGGCGTGGTGGCCTGTGCTTGTAATCCCAGCTACTTGGGAGTCTGAGGCAGGAGAATTGCTTGAATCTGGGAGGTGGAAGTCGCGCTGAGCCAAGATCATGCCACTGCACTCCAGCCTGGGCGACACAGCAAGACTCTGTCTCAAAAAAAATAAAAATAGGCATTTCTCTTTTTTTGAGACAGAGTCTTGCTCTGTTGCTCAGGATGGAGTGCAGTGGCATGATCTCAGCTCACTGCAACCTCCACCTCCCAGGTTCAAGCGATTCTCCTGCCTCAGCCTCCTGAGTAGCTGGGATTGCAGGCGTCCACCACCACGCCTGGCTAATTTTTTTATTTTTAGTAGAGATGGGGTTTCACCATGTTGGCCAGGATGGTCTCGATCTCCTGACCTCGTGATCCACCCGCCTCGACCTCCCAAAGTGCTGGGATTACAGGCGTGAGCCACTGCGCTTGGCCTAATTTTTGTATTTTTTTTTTCCAAGATGGAGTCTTGCTCTGTCACGCAGGCTAGGGTGCAGTGGCATGATCTCGGCTCACTGCAACTTCCGCCTCCCGGGTTCAAGCAATTCTCCTGCCTCAGCCTCCCAAGTAGCTGGGATTACAGGCACGTGCCACCATGCCCGGCTAATTTTTGTATTTTTAGCGGAAATGAGTTTTTGCCCTGTTGGCCAGGCTGGTCTCAAATTATAGATCTTGGGTGATCCGACCACCTCGGGTGATCCGACTGCCTCGGCCTTTCAAAGTGCTGGGATTACAGGTGTGAGCCACTATGCCCGCCAAGAGCTCCATGTTTTAAAAGGGATCATGTAGCTAGATCAGCCCCCCCACACCCCCAGATAATCATATAGTCTATTTTAAGTTCAACTATGGGGCCAGGTATGGTGGCTCATGCCTATAATCTGAGAGCTTTGGAAGGCTGAGGCAGGAGGATGACTTGAGGCCAGAAATTTGAGACCATCCTGGACAGCACAGCAAGACTCTGTCTCAAAAAAAAAAAAAAAAAAAAAAGGCGAGGTCTGGTGGCACGTGCCTGTTGTCCTAGCTACTGGGGAGGCTGAAGTGGGAGGGTCACTTGAGCCCAGGAGTTCTAGGTTGCAGGGAGCTATGACTCTACCACTTTGCTCCAGCCTGGGTGACAGAGTGAGATTGTCTCAAGAAAACAAAACTACGGCTGGTGCGGTGGCTCATGCCTGTAATCCCAGCACTTTGAGAGGCCAAGGCCAGGAGTTCAAGACCAGCCTGGCCAACATGGTGAAACCCCACCTCTGCTAAAAATACAAAAATTAGCCAGGCGTGGTGGCGTGGGCCTGTACTCCAGCTTCTTGGGAGGCTGAGGCACAAGAATTGCTTGAACCTGGGAGGCGGAGGTTGCAGTCAGCCGAGATCGCGCCACCACACTCCAGTTTGAGTGACAGCAAGACTGTCAAAAAGAAAAAAGGGCAACCATGCCATGTGACACAATCATATCACAGGATTGGTAGCGTAACTGCCCAGTGGGTTCACCTTTCCTGCTGCCTGGACACAGCTGATTTCTCAAGACGGGGGAATTACAGTAGAGAAAGGGTAATTCACGCAGAGCCAGCTGTGCGGGAGACAAGGGTTTTGTTATCACTCAGATCAGTCTCCCTGAGCATTCAGGGAGCAGAGTTTTTAAGGACAACTTGGTGGGTTGGGGGAAGCCAGTGAGCCAGGAGTGCTGATTGGTCAGGGATGAGATCATACAGAGTCGAAGCTGTCGTCTTGCGCGGAGTCAGTTCCTGGGGGCCACAAGATCAGATGAGCCATTTTATGGATCTGGGTGGGGCCAGCTGATCCATCAAGTGCAGAGTCTGCAAAATATCCCAAGCGCTGATCTTAGGAGCAGTTGAGGGAGGGTCAGAATCTTCTAGCCTCCAGCTGCGTGACTCCTAAACCAGAGTTTCTAATCTTGGGGCTAATGTTAGTCCTACAAAGGCCATCTGGTCCCCAGGCAAGAAGGAGGTCTGCTTTGGGAAAGGGCTGTTATCCTCTGTGTTTTAAACTATAAACCATAAGGTTATGAACTATAAGTTTCTCTCAAAGTTACTTCAGCCTATGCCCAAGAATGAACTAGGACAGCTTAGAGGTTAGAAGCAAGATGGAATTGATTTAGTCAGATCTCTTTCACTGTCTTAGTCATAATTTTGCAAAGGCAGTTTCAGTAGCTCATCATATGCACAGGTCCTGGTATTCATTTCCTCACCAATACCTGCTATTGGCACTTTGTATTTTTTTGTTTTTTTTTTTTTTTTGACGGAGTCTTGCTCTGTCACCCAGGCTGGAGTGCAGTGGCGTGATCTTGGCTCACCGCAAGCTCCACCTCCTGGGTTCACGCCATTCTCCTGCCTCAGCCTCCCAAGTAGCTGGGACTACAGGTGCCTGCTACCAAGCTCGGCTAATTTTTTGTATTTTTAGTAGAGACGGGGTTCCACCATGTTAGCCAGGATGGTCTCAATCTCCTGACCTCATGATCCACCTGCCTCGGCCTCCCAAAGTGCTGGGATTACAGGTGTGAGCCACCGCACCCAGCCTTTTTTTTTTTTTTTTTATCATAGTCATGTTTATGCCTTTTCTTTTAATTGGCAGGGTTTTTAACTTGCTATTTTGAAGGCTGAGAAATCCATCACGTTATATTGATGTGTATCTGGTTTGTTGACAATGCTACGAATACCAACCAGTGCTATGAACAGGGTGTGTGGCCACGAGCAAGGCAGGTGAAGCCCTGTCCTCACAGTGCCATGAACAAGGTGTGTGGCCACGAGCAAGGCAGGTGAAGCCCTGCCCTCACAGTGCCATGAACAGGGTGTGTGGCCACGAGCAAGGCAGGTGAAGCCCTGTCCTCACAGTGCCATGAACAGGGTGTGTGGCCACGAGCAAGGCAGGTGAAGACCTGTCCTCACAGTGCCATGAACAGGGTGTGTGGTCACGGGCAAGGCAGGTGAAGTCCTGCCCTCACAGTGCCATGAACAGGGTGTGTGGTCACGGGCAAGGCAGGTGAAGTCCTGCCCTCACAGTGCCATGAACAGGGTGTGTGGTCACGGGCAAGGCAGGTGAAGTCCTGCCCTCACAGTGCCATGAACAGGGTGTGTGGCCATGAGCAAGGCAGGTGAAGCCCTGTCCTCACAGTGCTGGGGTTTCTCTGATTACTGCTAGGCATGTAATGCTAAGCATATTTTCTTTCTGGTCTATCAGCCTAGTTTCTTCTGATGTGTATTCCTGCCTTATGGCCTTTCTCCATGTTTCTATCATATTTTAGTCCTATTCATATTTATTTGTAGTTAATTTGTTTTTTGAGATAGAGTCTTGCTCTGTTGCCCAGGCTGGAGTACAGTGGCGTGATCTCGGCTCACTGCAACCTCCACCTCCTGGGTTGATGAGATTCTCCTGTCTCAGCCTCCTGAGTAGCTGGGATTACAGGCGCCCACCATCACGGCTGGCTAATTTTTATATTTTTAGTAGAGACGGGGTTTTACCATGTTGGCCAGGCTGGTCTTGAACTCCTGACCTCAAGTGATCCCCCTGCCTCGACCTCCCAAAGTGCTGGGATTACAGGCGTGAGCCACCGCGCCTGGACTTATTTGGAGTTTAAAAATACCTTCTGGGTTTGTCGAGGGTTTTTTTGGTTTATGTTTTCCTCCAATATTTTGCTTATCTTTTATTTATGTTTACAGTGTCTTTTCAGAGATTTAAGTTCGATTTATTAAACTTGCCAGTTGTTTCTTTAGTCGTGAGGCAGAGATGGACAGATTGCTCGAGACTAGGAGTTCCGGGTTGCAGTGACCTATGGTTTCACCACTGCACTGCAGCCTGGGCAACAAATGAGACCCTGTCTCAACAAAACAAAGCAAAACAAAACAAGGGCAACTATGCCATATGACATCATCAAATCACAGGAGTGATAACTCATCAAATTCACAGGTCCTGTTCTGTGCTGCCTAACCAATACTTGTTATTGGCAGGGTTTTAGGGGTCTGTATACTTTTTGTGTTATTATTTAAGAAATCATTTTCGGCCAGGCGCAGTGGCTCACGCCTGTAATCCCAGCACTTTGGGAGGCCGAGGTGGACGGATCACAAGGTCAGACCATCCTGGCTAACACGGTGAAACCCCGTCTCTACTAAAATACAAAAATTAGCTGGGTGTGGTGGCGGGCACCTGTAGTCCCAGCTACTCAGGAGGCTGAGGCAGGAGAATGGCGTGAACCCAGGAGGCGGAGCTTGCAGTGAGCCAAGATCGCACCACTGCACTCTAGCCCGGGCGACAGAGTGAGACTCCGTCTCAAAAAAATAAAAAGAAGAAATCATTTTCAACTCTTGAGGTCATAAAATTTTTACTTTCAGCCTGGGCAACATGGCGAGACCTCATCTCTCCCCGCCCCCCCCCAAAAAAAAAAGCTGGGTGCGGTGGCTCACGCCTGTAATCCCAGCACTTTGGGGAGGCCGAGGTGGGCGGATCACCTGAGGTCAGGAGTTTGAGACCAGCCTGGCCAACATGGTGAAACCCCGCCTCTACTAAAAATACAAAAATTAGCCGGGTGCGGTGGCGGGGGCCTGTAATCCCAGCTACTCGGGAGGCTGAGGCAGGAGAATCGCTTGAACCCAGGAGGCGGAGGTTGCAGTGAGCCGAGATTACCCCATTGCACTCCAGCTTGGGGAATAAGAGCGAGACTTCGTCTCAAAAAACAAACAAACAAAAACTGAAAGTTAGCTGAGTGTGGGCCAGGAATGGTGGGTCATGCCTGCAATCCCAGCACTTTGGGAGGCCGAGGTGGATCACGAGGTCAGGAGATTGAGACCATCCTGGCTAACATGGTGAAACCCCATCTACTAAAAATACAAAAAGTAGCCAGGCGTGGTGGCACGTGCCTGTAGTCTCAGCTATCGGGAGGCTGATGCAGGAGAATCACTTGAACCCATGAGTCGGAGGTTGCAGTGAGCCGAGATCACACCACTGCATTCCAGCCTGGGTGACAGAGTAAGACTCCATCTCAAAAAAAAAAAAAAAAAAAAAAAGAAAGTTAGCTGAGTGTGGTGGCATGTGCCTGTGGTCCCAGCTACTCAGGAGGCTGAGGTGAGAGGACTGCTTGTGCCCAGGAGGTCAAGGCTGCAGTGAGCCATGTTCACACTACACTTCACCCCGGGTGACAGAGCGAGACTCTGTCTCAAAACAAACAAAAACAAAACAAAGTTTTACATTTTCCTGATATTTAAAAATAAATATCAGGCTGGGTGTGGTGGCTCAGCCTGTAATCCCAGCAATTTGAGAAGTAGAGAAGGGAGGATTGCTTGAGGCTAGGAGTTTGACACTAGGCTGAGCAACATATTGAGACCCTGTCTCTACCAAAAAAAAATTTAATAAATCATTAAAAATATCCTAGTATTTAATCTGGAATTTAATTTTGAGTGTGTGTAAAGTGGAAATCTGTTTTCTTTTGTATGGGGGAGTTCAGTTTTCTCCAATATTCAGTGAACATCCACCCTGTCTTCACTGATTGGTTGAGTCATTTCATGTATATCAAGTTCCAAAAGGTCTGTTCCTAGATTGACCTAGTTGTCCACTCCTGTGCCAATACCACAATATTTTATTTTTTTGAGATGGAGTCTCACTCTGTCACCCAGGCTGGAGTGCAGTGGCATGATCTCAGCTCACTGCAATCTCTGCCTTCTGGGTTCAAGTGATTCTCTTGTCTCAGCCTCCCGAGTAGCTGGGATTACAGGCGTGTGCCACTATACCCGGCTAATTTTTTTTTTTTTTTGTATTTTTAGTAGAGACGGGCTTTCACCATGTTGGCCAGGCTAGTCTTGAACTCCAACCTCAGGTGATCCACCCGCCTCGGCCTCCCAAAGTGCTGGGATTATACACATGAGCCACCGTGCCCAGCCACCACACTATTTTAATATTATATAACTTAACAGTGTTTTTATTTACAATATGACAATTCTTCCCTACTTGTCGTTTTTTCCAAATTGTCTTAGCAATTCTTGGACTTTTCCACATGCATTTTAGAATCTTTTTGTTGGATCATATAAAATGTGCTTCTTTTTATTTTTCTGAGACAGGGTCTCACTCTGTTGCTCCGGCTGGCACGATCATGGCTCACTGCAGCCTCTGCCTCCCAAGGCTCAGGTGATCCTCCTGCCTCAGCCTCCCGAGTAGTTGGGACAACAGGCGTGCACCACCACACCTGGCTAATTTTTGTATTTTTACTAGAGATGGAGTTTCACCATGTTGCCCAAGCTGGTCTTGAATTCCTGGGCTCAAGCAATCTCCCTGCCTTGGCCTCCCAAAGTGCTGGAATTACAGGAGTGAACCACTGCACCCGGCTGAAATGTGGTATATTTTATTTGCATTTCATTTACTTTATAGATTAACTTGGGGAAAATTGGCTGATTGGTTTTTAAAATTTTTTAAAAAAAATTTTATCGAAAAAAAGTAGAGACATGGTCTTGCTATGTTGCCCAGGCTGGTCTTGAACTCTTGGGCTCAAGCAGTCCGCCCGCCTTTGCCTCCCAAAGTGCTGGGCTTACAGGTGTGAGCCACCACATGGGGGAAGGGGCCATGAGCTACAGAACAATTTTCCCCCTAGTGTTTACAGAAGGAATGCAGCCCTGCCAACACTTTTTTTTTTTTTTTTTGAGATGGAGTCTCGCCCTGTTGCCCAGGCTGGAGTGCAGTCGTGAGATCTTGGCTCACTGTAGCCTCAACCTCCTGGACTCAAGTGATCCTCCTGCCTCAGCCTTCCAAGTAGCTGGGACTACAGGTGTGCACTACCACACCCAGCTAAAAAAATTTTTTTTAATTGTGTGTTTTTTTTTTTTTTTTTTTTTTTAGAGATGGGGTCTCACTCTGTTGCCCAGGCTGGTCTCAAAGTCTTGGCCTCAAGTGATCCTCCTGCCTCAGCCTCTCAAAGTGCTGGGATTACAGGAGTGAACCACTGTGCCCAGCCATTGCCAACACTCTAGTATTAGCTTGGTGAGATGGTGTCTAACTTCCGGTCTCCAGAATTGTACAATAAGTTTTTGCTGTTTTAAGGCAAAAATAAATCTCATGTTCCCTGTAACTCACCAATCCCATTTTGAGAAATTTATACTACAGAAATAGCCACAGTAGTATCCAAGTGTTTACTCAAGAGAATTAATCATAGCACTGGGTACTGCAGGGTGAGGAGGGAACAAGAAATTCTTTGGTCTTGGTAGAAATGATGGTGCCAGCCAGAAAATAGATTCATCCAGGCATGAAAAGAAAAAAGTTAACTGCTCGCTCACTTCTATAGTACATACACTAAAATTGGAATGATTAGAATGGCCCCTGTGCAAGGGTAAACACAAATTTGTGAAGCATTCCATATGGTGGGGTCATCCCTCTCCTATTGTGAATATTTGCAGTTATTTCATCCATCATCCCTCTCTCTGACCTACCCTTCCGTCTCCCATTTCCGTATTTTTTTTTTCCAGACAGGGTCTCATCCTGTTGCCCAGGCTGGAGTGCAATGGTGTTATCAGAGCTCACTGCAGCCTTAACCTCCTGGGCTCAAGTGATTCTCCCACCTCAGTCTCCCTGGGACTACAGGTATGCGCCACTATGCCTGGCTAATTAGTAGTAGTATTATTTTTGAGACAGGGTCTCGCTTTGTCACCCAGGCTGCAGTGCAGTGGCGCCGTCTTGGCCCACTGCAGCTCTGCCTCCCGGGTTCAAGTGATTCTTATTCCTCAGCCTCCCAAGTAACTGGGACTACAGGTGCATGTCACCATACCTGGCTAATTTTTGTATTTTTTTTAGTACAGTTGAGGTTTCACCATGTTGGCCAGGCTGGTGTCGAACTCCAAGTGGTCCACCTGCCTTGGTCTCCCAAAGTGCTGGGAATATAGGCATGAGCCACCACACCCAGCCTACTATTATTTTTAATTTTTTTTTTTTTTTGGAGACAAGGTCTCACTATGTTGCCCAGATTGGTCTTGAACTCGTGGTCTCCCAAAGTGAAACAACATAAGTTGCCTTAAAAGAAACTTTACATTCAACCACTTCTATATGTAAACTTCTGGAGTAAGCATTGCCATGAGACAGTTGAATTAGGGAACATTTTCATGATCTTCTTTGCCATCTTGTGTATTTCAAATTTTTCTAAGTGAGCATAAATTGCTTCTAAATGTGAAAAAGTTTATTTAAAAACTGCCCTCACCCCCTGCAGCTTTTCTTGCATGATCTGGCCCTTTCACAGCCTTCTATACCCTGACTCTCCCTTCTGGGCTGGGGCCTAGCTGGAGCCCCTGGGTACTGCTCTGTCTTCTTCTTCTCTGTCCCCAGCACAGCTCTCGCCTCCTGCTTGCTCACAGATCACCCACCCCCAGCTCCATCTCCAAACTGGCCCTGCTTCCGGAGCCCTGCACATGGGAGCAACGGGTTAGAAGGCCCTCATAAAAGGGGATGGGGAAGATGGGCCTCTGAGGAGAGCCTCCCTCTCCCAGCTTCAGGCCGCAGCAGGGTTCCTGCCCCTCCCAGGGAGCCCCTCCTGGGGTAACCACAGTCGCAGCTACCCTCAACATCCACCTGCGACTTGTGCACATGCTGCACATACCAGCAGCTGGCGAGGGCTCCTTCCGAGAGGGCACCCATTTCCTGAAACCATCCCCTGTGAAAATGCCCCTTGTTTTCAGAGTAGGAAGGAGAAGAGTGCTGAATCAAGGCCCCCAAGGAGTCCCCATTCCAATCCCCAGAAGCTGTGAACATCTCAATTGGCAAAAGGGACTCTGCGGTGTGACTAAGTGTGCAGGTAGGGGACAAGATATGATGAGGGTCCTTAAGGAGGCCAAAGGATCGATGGGTGTCAGAGAGCTGGCAGCCTAAGGAAGACGTGACCAACCATGGCTGGCTTTGAAGACGGAGGAATGGACCAAGAAAAAAAAAAGGGGGAACGTGGGCTGACTCTAGAAGCTGGAAAAGGCAACAAAATGGATTATTCTCTCCTAGAGCCTTCAAGAGGAACCAGTCCTGTTAAAACCTTGATTTTGGCCGGGCGCGGTGGCTCACGCCTGTAATCCCAGCACTTTGGGAGGCCGAGGTGGGTGGATCACGAGGTCAGGAGATCGAGACCATCCTGGCTAACACGGTGAAACCCCGTCTCTACTAAAAATGCAAAAAAATTAGCCGGGCGTGGTGGCGGGTGTCTGTAGTCCCAGCTACTCAGGAGGTTGAGGCAGGAGAATGGCGTGAACCCGGGAGGCAGAGCTTGCAGTGAGCCGAGATTGTGCCACCGCACTGCAGCCTGGGCAACTGAGCGAGACTCCATCTCAGACAAAACAAAACAAAACAAAACAAAACAAAACCTTGATTTTAGCCCAGTGGGACCCATGTCAGAGTTCTGACCTTCAGAGCTATAAGAGAATCTGTTGTTTCAAGCTGCCAAGTTTGTTAAAGCAGCAACAGAAAACTAATACAGTGCATTGGCGAGTCCCCAGTGACTGCCCAGAGATCCGGTGCTTCCCAGGGAGCTGACCTTTTGCCTTCCTGCTGCATGACCAGCTAACTATGGAGGGTGCGGCCTGACCTAGAAGTACCCATGGCCTTGGCGCAACCCCTGCTTGCAGCCCCTCTTCTCAGAGGTCCCCCTTGTCCAGCCGTACTTCGAAAGGAAATCCCCTTTGTGTCTCTCAAGCCGGGACTGATGAGTTCCAAGGCCAGTGAGGCTGGTGAGTGATGTGGGCGGCAAGGAGCAAGGGAGGCTGGGGACCTGGGACCTGGGTTCTGTGGCAACAGAGGTTTGGCCGTTCTGGGCTCAACTGCCCTGTGCTGCAGCTACTGGGCAGAGACAGCAAACTGCCTATTTCCCGACCAGCAGAAGCCAGAAATCAGGATTCTTATTCAGAAACTCCATATTATGAAAGTGGAATTTATGTTAAAATTCTAACACACACAGGGAGCAGGAGAAACGGAAGCCAACTGTGCTTTCCTGGGTCTTCTGCTGCTCTCCACACTGAGACCTCAGGCCCAGCCTCTGCACAGACGAGTGGGAAGGCACAGTTTTTGAACACCCACCTGAGGCAAGGAGGTCCCAGGAGAGGGAGTGTTGTCAGCCCAGGCCATGTCACAGGGAGGGAGGGAGCCTGGTGCTTGGCAGTCACCCCACAGGCACTGGTCAGCCATAGAAGGGAACCCAGACCTCCCTCTAGGAGGCAGGGGCAAGAAGAGAGAGAGCAGCTCCTTTTCCTTGCACCCAGGTCTTTTGGGGGAGACCAGACCAGGGGCAGGGAACTGGCTTGGGACCCCTTGTTCACTCTGGCATCCCCTGCTGCCTCCAGAGTCTTCTGCTGGTGCCCCAGAGGCTGTATCCAGGCCCCGAGAACACCGAGGCCCCGAGGGACTGTGCTGTCTGGCTGCTCATGGAACCTCCGGCCGGTGGCCCTTGCGGTGGATGACCAGCTGCGACTTCCAGTCGAAGGCGCGGCCACAGTCACTGCAGAAGTGACGCCGCTGGCCTGTGTGGCTCTTGCGGTGGATGACCAGCTGCGACTTCCAGCTGAAGCTGCACCCGCACTCCTCACACGGGTAACTCCGGGGGCCTGTGAGTGAGCGTCGGGGGTGGTGCGGAAAGGCCACCTCCCCTTGTGGTGGCTTCTCTGTGCTTTCCCCGGTGGCTAGCCCCGGGGACTGCACACCTGGCCCACTCGTGTGTGTCCGGTGGTGGATGACGAACACTGACTTCCAGTCGAAGCCGCGGCCACACTGCTCGCACGTGTAGGGCTTCCTGGGGGTGGCAGCCGGCTCCAGTCTCGTCTCTGCAGGTGTGGGCTGAGTGGGCACTGGCGGTGTCCCTGGGCGCACAGTGGGGGCAGGAGTGGCAGCCCCAGACAAGCCCTCCCAGGCTGCCGGCCCTGGGCCCTGGGGCGGCTGGGCCTCTGGGCAGCCAGGTGGACCCTCACTCTCATTTCCTGGGGGCAGGGGCAAACCAGGTGAGTCCCGGCACTCAGCAACCCCTCCCTCAGGCTTGTGGCCGTGGCACAAGCTCCCGTCCCCCCATGAGTGGGTGGCTCAGGTCCCACCGATACAGGAGGGGTGATTCAGGCTGGATGGTGTGGGGCACTCACCCGAGCGCAGGCTTCTGCAGACGCCTGTCCCCGTGAGCAGCATCCCCAGCTCTGACTGGGCCTGTGCCTCTGGCTGGTGGGGCGGTAACCCTGCCCGGGTGGGGGGCACAGTTAGGCATGGGGTTTGCATGAAGGAGGGGTGGGGTCGGTTCTGGTAGGTGACAGGGTGTTCCTCTGGAAGGTGGGAGAGCTGGGTAGGGCTGGTAGCACAGAGGCCCTGCCCAGCTAGGCCTGCTGCAGGGTGGGTGCAGGCCCCAGGGAGAGGGGCGGGGTGGGGCTGGCTGGTCCTCACCCAGGGAGACCACTGTGCCGTACTTCTCCAGCATCGCATCCCAGTACAGTTCCTTCTGTGACCGGTCCAGCAGCCCCCACTCCTCCTGCGGATGTGGCCCATCACTGTAGGCGTCTTTCCACCCCTTCCCTGCCCTGTCTGGTTCACATTCTTACCTATTACCCGGAAGAGTCAGCAGGTTACCTACGCCTCATCTGCCCCTCCTGCTGAGAATGATCTCAAGGTGTGTGTTTGTTAAGTGCAGAGGTTCTCCTTCAGATCACCTGACCAGTGCTGCTGCCAGCACTCATCCCCCTCTACTACACCATCCTGCTCAGAGGGCAGGTTTGGCAGCATCACAGGGACCTGAGTGACTTTATCGAGGAATGAACTCCCTGATTGGGGGTCAGCCCTCCTTGCTGCCTGAGTCCCATCATCTGGGGCTTTGCTGGGTTGGGAAAAATAATCCTGAGGGACAAGCTGTGGCAAGTCCAGGGGCAGGAAGGCGGCAGCTGTGAGGAGCCACAGCTAGAGATGGTGCTGGCTGGAGGTGAGGACACTGGGAAGTGCAGCCTACCCACCCTGCCTCACTTTCTGACTGTGCCATGGGGCTGTGGAGGGAGCCTGGAAGGACTTCTTAGCCTCGAAACACATCTCAACCAGCAATGTTGCTGCTGAAGCTCCCCAGTGGAGTTGTTAGAGGAGCCGGGAGAGGAAAAGACCTTGCTACCCACACTTGGGAACCAAGCGATCCAGGTAGAAGAGGCCTCAAGCTGAGCTTCCAGGCCTAACAGGTGGCCTCTGAAGAAACCCCTAGGAGAGAAGGGACTTCGGGCATTTCCCAGGGAGAGTGTCTCCATCTGGTCTCAGGTGTGGGGGGAGTCCTGCCACAGCTGGTCATCTTCTCCCCTCCCCAGCTACACACAAAAGTTCAAATCCCCAGGTCTGGCTCAGGACCTCTGGGAGCAGCAAACCTCCCAGCTGACTTCTCTGGAGGTGAGGAAGCCAAGCCCACTAGTTCCAGCCACTCTAAACTGGGTTTCCATGGCTTGAGGCCCAAATCCTTTTTTTTTTTTTTGTTTTTGACACACAATTTTGCTCTTGTTGACCAGGCTGGAGCGCAGTGGCACAATCTCGGCTCACTGCATCCTCTGCCTCCTGGGTTCAAGCAATTGTCCTGCCTCACCCTCCCTAGTAGCTGGGATTACAGGCGCCTGCCACCACTTCTGGCTAATTTTTGTATCTTTAGTAGATACAGGGTTTCACCACATTGGTCAGGCTGGTCTCGAGCTCCTGACCTCAGGTGATCCGCTCACCTCAGCCTCCCAAAGTGCTAGGATTACAGGTGTAAGCCACCATGTCCAGCCCCAAATCCTTTTCAATAATAGATCACCAGTCTGTCCCTCTGCCCCAGGTCCTGTGGAGGGGTACAGCTTTTACAGACTCCACTTCTGGGAAGCAAAGAGCCACTAGTCAAGGAGCCTGGAAAACCACCAGGCAGAGGGCAGCCATGGGGACAGTCCCTTCTCACACCTGGGGCCTATACTTCCCACTTGGGGCTGCTCACCTGAATCCTGGGTGGGTGGAAGGATGTGGAGGCTGGTTCTTGGTGTCCATGGTTCCCCTCAGGGGACTGTGCTGCAAGTGGAGGGCTGGAGGGTGCTGAAAAGTGGGGCAGATGGAAGGGTGGTGTCAGGGGCTGCCCACATGAGCCATGGCAGATGAGGAGCTCCTCTGCTGTGTGACATGGCACGTAGCCAGCCCTTGGCTCCTGCCTCCCAGGTCCCCATCCCAGACAGGGACATCCACATTCACTTCAGGAGTCCCAGCCTTGACACACCTCTCCTGGGACTCCCACCCTAGCCAGGAATGTCCACACTTCCTCCAGGAGTCCCTCATCTCTGGTGGGACCCCAACCTCACCCACTTCCTGTCCATCGACATTGGGCTCCTCCTTCACACTGCAGCTGAGCTGGACAGACCCCTCTATTCTGGTGTCCTGGGGACCTTCCCCAGGGGACTCCACTGTCCCTGAGGGGTGGGGGCTCCCAAGTGGTTCCTCTGTCTTCTGGGCTGCAGGGAGCACCTCCTGCTTCAGGACATGGGCTGTGATCTGAGGAGAAGAGGTAGGTCACAATGGCTCTAGCCAGGGTCTATCCCTCCAAGAAGCTGATGCCAGCCACACTCACCCAGCCCAACAGTTGCCCAGGGTCATGCTGCAGTCCTTCGACTAGGGCAGCGGCCTCCTCAGGACTGCCTGGCCGCTGACCGCGCACCCAGGCCTGGATCTCGGGAGGCAGTGTGCCCAGGAACTGCTCCAGCACCAGCATCTCCAGCATCTGCTCCTTGGAGTGTGCCTCAGGCTGCAGCCACTGGCAACACAGCTCACGCAGCCGGGCCAGGGCTTCTCGGGGACCTGCCACCTCCTGGTAGCAGAACCCTCGGAAGCGGAGGCGGGCAGTCTCAGGCTCCTCAAGGGTGGTCTCTGGGTCCATGACGGGCAGGCATGGGGGACCCAGAGGGGATGGCATTCTTGCTCAAGGGGGTGGTCTTGGAATCGTCAAGATGGGCCTACAGAAAAGGAAGGGTCGGAATGTCAGCCAAGAGAATCTGGCCAGGGGAAGGCAGACACCAGGCTCAGCCCAGGGGGCTGAGACCAGGACCAAGTGTACTCTGAGGCCAGAAGAGATAAGGCCAAGAAAGCTTCATGGAAGGAGGAGGGTCACAGGACCCAAACAATGATGGCAAATGAGAGCAGGAGGAAGCCTCAGGGACAAATGCTTGGACGCAAGGTGTCCAGGGAGCTTCCTGGAAATTGCAAACAGTTGGGTCCAGCAGGGGACTGCTGGGAGATGACGCTAAAGAGGTGGAGAAAGACAGTCATCACAGAGTTCCAGCGCCAGGCTGAGGAGCCACAGTGTCTAGCCGAGGTGCGAGGAGAGTGGACCAGGGTGGGCGGGTAGAAGGTGGGGCCAGGCTGTAATGTACGGGGACGAGTCGCCCTCCACAATCTCGGGGAGGTTGACTGGGTGGGACCTCCTTTAGGAATGGCTCTGGGGAGGGGGCACGTGGACATCGTGCTCGCTGACCACAGCGAGCCGTGGGCGACTCACACTGCCGGGGCCCGTGCATGTGAAAACGAAAAGCAAAGGCCAAGAAAAACGGGGCCAAAGCTCCACGTTGCGCGGAGTCGAGGGATGGCCACAGCATCCCGGCCCTGAAGGTCTGCAGTGAAAGACGCCCACCTGGACGGGCCTGAGAGACCAGGCCTGACACCCGGCCTATCCGAGGGATGCTCGAACTTCGGGATCTGTCCCCAAAAGGGGAAGGCAAGAGGGAGGCGTTCCAAGAGGACTTGCCAGGCCCGGCCCCCCGGAACGGCGTTGAGGGTAGGAAAGGCCTGAGCGAAGGCTGAGGTGACGCGCGCGGCCTGTCGGGAAGTGGGCGGGCCCTCCAGGGCGCCGACAGCAGGAGCCGTTCAGGCCCCAGAGGGCGACCCCAAGCCCTCCCACGGGGTGGAAAGGCTGCGCCCACTCTGGCAGCCTGCGCTCACCTCAACCCGGAGCGGTTGCTTGGAGGCCGCTTCCCGGATGTGGCGCCGCACAACGCGGGGCGCCTCAGCCGGGTGTTGCCCCGGCGACGCCGCGCTGACCAATCTCTCGCCTGCACCGAAGGCACCGCCCATGCCCTTTGAACTACATTTCCCATGAGCATCAGCAAGACAGGCGCGACCGTGACCCGCTGACCCGCATTTGCAGCAGCCTCTGACGCCTGAGAGGCGCTCTGTTCCTCTAGGAGGTACGGCAGAGTCCCAGGGTTATATGGTCTCCCTCCGCTCTGAGAGCAGCTCTTCCCGGGTTATAAACTTGCGCGTCTGTACAGTGGGCCGGTTTCTATTGGCAGGTGAGGGGAGGGGGTTTTGCCCAATCAGAGGTGGCGCTTGCTTGGCCCCGCCGCCCCCACGCCATTCCCCGGGCCAGCCCCTAGATAACGCTAGGGCATATCCGCCCGCCTCCAGCTGTTCCCGTGGCAACGTTCAGGAGCGTTGCCTCGACTTCCGAAGAGGCTGGAAGTGGCGGCCCAGTGGTTTCCTAGGTCGAGTAGTTCGCTGGGACTCGCTTCCAAGTGGACCCGGGAGAGGCGGTGGTGTAGAAGACCACCCTGAGCCTGGGCTTTCTCCCGCCAGGAGGGTGCGAGGGCCATCTTTGACCTCTGTTAAGCGCCCTAAGGAGGTACCGACGGTTGTGACCGCAGTCTCTGACGTCTTCAGATGTCAGTCCTACAAAGTCGGGGGTGGAGGTTTCCCTCCAGGCTGATCGGACATGCTCAACCGTTTATTTACCTTTGAATTTGGGGAGCAGAACTAGCCAGGGTGACACTAGTTTCTCCCAATAAGCAGTGTTACAGTTTTCTAAATCTGTGGGGTCAGTTTTGCTTCCACACTTAAAAGTGGCCGAGCCATTACTTAGTCAGTCCTAAATTACACCGCCTGTTTTGGTTTCTTTGGATACCTGGGAATCCCTGCTGCCTGCTCTGGATGAAGAGCAGTGGTCTTGATCACCGATTGGAAGCACCGAGCATGTGCGTGGATGAGACTTGTCAACTCGGAGCTTTCCAACGGCCTCCTCAGGTTGTTTTTGGGGATGAGGTGCTTAGGCCTTTTCTCTGGGACTATGCAGAGTCCCAGAAGGAAAAAAAAACAAAAACTTTCACCCTCCACCATGTGGGGAGAGCACTGGGGCGTTAAGGGCTTCTTCAGTAGTTGTTCCCCAGGCAGCTTTGATATAGGTCTCCCGTCTCTGGGCTGCTGGTTCTCAGCCTTCTGCGGTTCTGGAGTCAGCCTGGTGGGAACTCTCTCCTCTTCGCCAAGTCGCCACGTAGTATTTTGCCTTCCCTAACTTAGTGACAGCTCTCACCCACTTCTAGCTTAGGAATGCCATTGCTCCTGACTCCTCTGTCACCATCCTCATACTTGTGGGTTATGTGTTTTAAATACTCCCCTCTGTGGTTTCAGTGGATTTCTGAGCCCAGTGAGATGCATGTGTTCAGTCTGACCTTTTGACATAGAAGCCCAGGGATACTTTTACAGTCACTACCTATTCAAAATTAAGAGCAGAGGGGGAGGTTGGAGGGAGGTCAGCCGAGGGGCCAAGACCTGCATGGAGGTGGGAGCCTAGGTTGGGGGCCACTGATCAGTCATGGGTTTGGGGAGGGGAAGATTGGAGGAGGGTGGACAAACTGAGGGACAACAGGGGCACAAGCAGACGTGGAAAGGAACTTGATGGAGGGAGGCGGCTGGTGGGAAGACAAGGTAGGGTACTGAGCCCAGCCTAAGGGGTCAGGCGGGCTCAGGGCAGAAACTTCGCTCAAGAAGCGTCTGTCAGAGGCATAGAAATGATTTCACGTGACTCTCTGGGTATCTACTTGTTTGACAGATGCTTTTGCTCCTGACTCCCATGGGCTCCCCAGAAAAGTGCTCTTTCAGGCAGGGAAGGGTTATTGTCTGCATTTCACAGCTCTGCAGACTTACTGGGGGACAATGGTTCAGGGACCTACTGGGATTCTGGTGGCCCAAGTCTTGCAGGCTCCAGGGGAGCTAGGTTCTGTGTGTCTCCACTCCCTGCAGGAACCTGTGAGGTTTCACAGGTGGAAGAGTCTGGCCCCAATATCAAGTGTGTGGGGCCTGGATCTGGGCTCTTTGTGTATAGGGCAGGATAGCTGCAGGATTTTGGAAGCCATGGGATGGAGTGCCCACTGGTTGGAGTCAACCTTGCAGGGTCATCACACATGGCCACACCCTCTATCTCAGCAGCAGAAGGAACACAGCCCTGCCTTGGTTTCTCCACCTACCATCCTCCCATTGCCAGGATCCACCAGGACTCATCTAGCAGGGCTGCTGCTCCAGACAGCCCCACTCTATCCCAGTTCATCCAGCTCCTGGCTACCCCAACCCACCTCTGACCCTGAAAAGGATACAGGTATCCCACTCCCTCCCTGGGCTGCAGACAGGCTGTATCTCTACTCTGTGGCCTCTTGAGGGTACCCAGGTTGAAGCCAAGTCCAGGAACTTCTGTGATGATGACAAACGCTGATGGCATGTCAGGGTATGTTCAATACCATCTGCATTGTATGAGGGTGAAATAGGTGTCAGGTTGCTACCGTTCACACAAATGTTTAAAAAGAAACCTTTATCAGAGAAGCTCTTGAACTGCTATTAAGACTGAACCATGCTCTGGAGTAGGGACAAGAGGCTGTGCTCTGGAGGTCCAAACTGCTGTACAGGAAACTGCAACACCTACTCTGAGTTGCAGATGGTAGTCTTTTTTTTTTTTTTTCCATTAAGGAGAACATGAATTTCCTTGGAGGTGAGGCTCCAGGTAGGGACAGGGCCTGGTCTGCTGAAGGCCACAGGAAGCAAATGGCCCCCAGTCCACCTTTCTGTCCCTGCCATGAAGGGCCATTACACTGGGGTGGGGAGGTCCTCAGGAGGGTGTCACACATAGCCTTAGGCAATAGCAAGTCTTTCCTATTCAGCTCTGTCCAGCCTCCAATTGAGGAGGGATAATGGGGGTGAGACAGGGTTGGGGGTGAAGTGGCCACCAAACCCGGCAAAAGTGAGCAGCTCCATCTTGTCTGAAGTTAACATCATCCCCTCAGGTATAAAGCCTCCTCCTCACATCGACTTTGGTAAACCAGTCAGTGACAGGCCTTGGCCAAGCTGAGACTTGGGCAAAAACCTGAACGAGTGCCACCGGAAAGCCATCATCCTAGCTCTGTCCTTCCAATGCTGAGAGTCACATGTTCCCCCATGGGCATCCCTCTCCTGAGTCGGCTATGTGTGTGAAGCCAGGCCAGGCCGTGTGCCTCAGTTTCCTCATCTTCCAAGTCGGGATACCAGCCACAGAGCCATCTCACAGGGCTTCAGGAGAAACTTCCCAGTACTCAGGACAGGAGCTGGCAGTGAGCATGTGTTGGCTCTCATTAGGACCCCACCTGTCAGCGTCTACAAACATGATGTTCAGTGGACCCAAACCTTTTCTCTTTCCCAGAGGTGGCGGCTGACAGAGCCCAGACCCTGATCCCCAGTCCCTTGTGGTCTCTTGTCTGCTAGGCTGGCCCCTAGGAAGTCTTGGATGAACAGAGGCAGTGGGTTGAGGGGAGAATACCCTCAGCGGGCATCTCTCCAGCGGCCAGTTTGTGTACAGCTGTCATAAGTTTCTCTGGGCCACCCCCAACCCATGCCTGCATCCCTCTCACCTTAGCATCCACTGTCATATCACATGAAGCCGCACCACAGTGCAGTGCTGTGACTGTCGGCCTCCTACTGGCTCTGAATAGTCTCGGCCCCACTAGAGTTCAGCCACCACGTCCTCCCCCTGATGTTGCTGCAGTGCTACCTCTTTGGGGATGGAGGTGTGATCTGTGGGTGAACTGGCAAATCCTGTCCCCACGTGCAAATGAAATCACAGCCAAAGGGCCTCCCTTGTCCCTGACTAGCAAGCACGGGACTTTTTCTCTGCTGTGGATCTGCAGAGGACATATGCCCTTTAGCTGTGGAAGGGATTCACAGAAGGCCAGGGCTGCAACCTGTGACCTCAGACCTCCGCTGGCTGCGAGACGGCGGCTGGGCCCGAGGCGGGAGTGGGCTCGGTTTCCTTCGCTGGCGCACCTTCTGATGATGCCCCGGCAACAGACCTGGCCTGGGGGTGCAGGCTGGCCCTGGATCGCCGGACGGTCTTCTCGCCGGTATGGATCCTCTGGTGGTGGAAGAGGGCCGGGCGCTCACGGAAGGCGCGGCCACACTGCGTACACACGAAGGGCTTCTCGCCCGTGTGAATGCGCCGGTGGCTGAGCAGCACGGCGCCCTTGGCGAAGGCCTTGCCACAGTCCACGCAGCGGAAGGGCCGCTCGCCCGTGTGCAGGAGCTGGTGCTGGGTGAGGTTGGAGCTGTGGCTAAAGGCGCGGCCGCACTGTGGGCAGGCGAAGGGCTTCTCGCCTGTGTGCACGCGCTGGTGCTTAAAGAGCGAGGAGCCCTGGCTGAAGGCAGCACCGCAGAGCGCGCACACGAAGGGCTTCTCGCCTGTGTGCGTACGCTCGTGCTGGATCAGGTGCGAGTTGCGGCAGAAGCGGCGGCCACACTGTGCGCAAGCATAAGGACGCCCACCCGCGTGGATCTTGCGGTGCTGGCTGAGGTTGGAGCCGTGGCTGAAGGCCTTGCCGCACTCGGAGCAGCGGAAGGACTTCTCGGCCGTGTGGATGCGCTGGTGCCGCACCAGCGAGGAGCTATGCCGGAAGGCCTTGCCGCACACGGGGCACGCGTAGGGCGTCTCGCCGCTGTGGATGCGCTGGTGCTGCGTCAAGTGCGACGTCTGGCTGAAGGCCTTGCCGCACTGGGCGCACTCGTAGGGCCGCTCCCCGGTGTGGGTGCGTAGGTGCTTGAGGAGGTCGGAGCTCTTCACGAACACTTTGCTGCACGCCCTGCATTCGAAGGACTTCTCCCCAGCGTGAAGAGCCTCGCCCAGCTCGTCCCAGGTCGAGGGCTCCTGGCCACCGAGGAGTCTATGAGGCTCCTGCCAAACTGCACCCATTCGGTGATGTCCCCGACCGCCGGCAGCCTCCAGGTCCTGGGCGCTCCCAAAGGTTCTCCCAGGGACCTCCTGTGCACATGGTTTCTGCCGCTCAGGCGTCCTGGGCTGCCTCCCCAGCAACGCATGCTCTGTGAGTGTCTTTTCTCTAAGCCGGACGCCCTCGGGAGGCCTAAGCGGGGAGGTCAGTCGCAGGCTGACGCTGGCTTGCCCACTGCCTGAGCCTAGCAGGAGCCTCTCCCAGTAGATCACCGACACCCCCGTGGGTTTTCTCTCCCGAGATGGGGAGGCACCCCGTTGTCTCTGCAGGCTTTTTACACTGTGGCAGGCACCGGCAACAGGGAAGACGCTAGTAGTCATCCCAGGTGGGGTATCTGGGAAAGCTCGTGGCCATTCTCCAGAAACATCTCTATCCTCTGTCAAACTCCAGGAACCTAAAGGCAGAGAAACAGTGGTTGCCTGGGGCATCCTGGTTAGGAGAGGACCAGGGCAGGCTGAGTGGACAGGCAAGAAGGAACCCCGGAGCTGGCACAAAAGCTTAGGGGAAAAGTAGAGGTGAGGCTGGCCCTGCAGGAGGGGCTGGGGTTTGGAGGAACAATCTGCCCTGATAGGTATGGCACTGACTACACTGGGCACTCCCATGATCAAGGTGGCAGCCCCCCGACACCCAGGATGTGAAGCTGAGGAAAACTAGCGGCTGCTGTATGCTGCATACATCTCCACACTGGCTATTCCACCCACACTCTTTCCATTGCTTACCCCCTTCCCCCCGCCCCTGTCCCCCTTCTCAGGCACCCACTCCCCAACCTGCTCCTGCAATGACCTCCATCCAGTGCTCTAGACTATACTCCTGAATCCTGCTTACCGACTGCCTCTCCCACCACACCATGAGCCCCAGAAAAGCAGGACCAGGGTCGTCCTGATTGAGGCTGTGTCTACATTGCCTGGACTGGGCCTGACCACTGTGAGCACTCAGGAAATGTTTGCTGAACACAAAGATGAAGGGTGAAAAAAATGACCCATCAATTATGGCAGTGACTAGCCATGGAGGGTTTGAGGCCAGCCCAGCTGATAGCAGGACTCTGAGATGGTCTCACCATAGCCTGAGTGCCCTTCTGTGTCAACCCCGCTCCTGTGCCCTTGGAGCTCCACCTTCAAGGGCAGCTAAGGCTGCAGCCTCCAGGAGGGGCTGATGATGGAAGGGAAGGGAATCGGGTGGGAGGGAGGGGAGGAGGGTGCTTCTGGGGAGTCTGGGAACCAGGGACAGAGGCATGACCACAGGTTGGTCCTGAATTCACCCCACCCTGAGCTCCCTCTCACCAGGGTTGCGCCTCCTGTAGGTGGTCCTGGACAGGGTTGTGTCCGTTCCACTGGGAACCCAGGGCTCCTCGCCACGCTCCAGTTGGATGACCACACGAGGTCGAGAGGTGGAGAGTCCTGTGAGGAGGAGGTGCAGGTTAGAGTCCAGCCCCAGCTCAAGATAACCCACCTCCAAACAGAGGGCAGGAGTCAGGGCTTCACGGAAACAGAAAATGTCATCTGTGCAACTGCAGAATCTAAAGATGGCACAGGGCAAGGGGCTCACAGGAATAGCTCATTCATCCCCAGGGCAGCAACTGTGCCCAGGGCACCAAAGGAAGGGGACTGAGCCAAGGCTCGGAGAGGCCACAGCCGGACAGCGCCACAGGGAGTGGTTGAGCCAACCAGACTGCATGTCTATAGGACCAGACCCCTATTCCACATGGCTCCTGGCTGCAAGGTATAGGCCTGCTCGTCAGCCACCAGGGAGGTGAGGGGGCAGCCCTGGCCAGTCAGCTTGTTATCAGTTGCCCATTTCATGGAGTATCTAGGACCTTACCCAGCGAGGCCACAAGTGCGAAGTTGTCTAGCATCACGCGGCGGTACAGGGCCCTCTGGGCTGTGTCCAGGAGCCCCCACTCCTCCTGGGAGAAGTACACAGCCACATCCTCAAAGGCCATCTGGTCCTAAAAGAGCAGGGAGGAAGAGACAGCCATGGTCTAAGGCTGGGTTATCCAATCTTTTGGCTTCCCTGGGCCACATTGGAAGAAGAATTGTCTTGGGCAACACATAAAATACATTAACACTAATAACAGCTGATGAGCTAAAAAAAATAAAAATTGCATAAACATCTCATGTTTTAAGAAAGTTCACGAACTTGTTTTGGGCTGCATTCAAAGCCATCCTGGGCAGTGGGTTGGACAAGCTTAGTTTAAGGTATGGCTGTGAGCCAGGACCAAGCTCCCCATCCCAACAGCCACCTTCCATGATGTCCCTCAGACACTCACCCTCCTTCCCTGGGTTCTGCCCCCACCATCTTCAGATGGCACTTCCCTCACATGTCTGGGACCCCTCCCCTCTGCCCTCCCTGACCAGACCCCAGATGCCTTCTTGGCCTCCCCACTGGCAACGCCATACACAAGCAAGCTAGAACAAGTCCTGGCTGGGCCCTCAGCTGCCACACCAAGAGCAGCCCCAGGTGTCCACTCGTGACTCAGCATGACCACTCATGACCCTCCCCAGATGCACCCTTCCTGCTCTTGTAGCAAGAAACTGTGAGTCCCAGCAGGGGCTTCCCAGGCATACCCATCACTGGGACCCTCCCCTGCTGAGCCTGCTTGCCTGACATTTCCAGGCTGCTCATCCAGCCTGAGGGACTGGATGATTCTCACCAGTCGCCACAGGGGAGCAGCCTCAACAACCTGTGAACACAGAGGAACTCAATCCCTTCCTCCTTTCACCCGGTGTCCCCTTTCTTCCCCTCTCTGTTGCCACCCTCCCCTCCTCAGTTAGGTGCTAGGCTCTTCCCAATAGCCCCAGGCATCCCAGCTGGTCTTCTTTACCCTCAAGCCATAACTGCCCACACCTGGCTGAGTCCCTGCCCATTCCTCAGTCCAATTCATAGGCCCTGTCCACAGCCCAGGACGCCAACAACGTCAGGTCCAGTGACATGACCAACCTGGGACATCCCAGACTCTTGATCTTTCCCCTGAAGGAAACCTGCTTTCCTTTCAATTCTCCTTTCTATCTACAGCAGCTCTCTTCTTCCAGGCGCTCAGGCTGAACAACATGGGGTACTTAGTTCTTCAAACAGCCCACACCTGATGCATCCGCAGATCCACCAGAATTCACCTGGTCGCCCACCTCCACTGCTGCCCAGACTGTGGCAGTCGGTTCTTCCCTTCATGCCGACACCCCTGCATGTCTGTTCTCCACGCAACAAACGGTGGAACCGTTTTAAAGTCCTCAGAGGATGTCCTGATTCTGTTCAAAACTTCTATGTCTCCCGACGCCCTCGAGATAAAGCCCACTCCCTCGCCTGATACTGCAGCCGCACACATCCCCTCTACTCCAGCTCCACATCGAGAGAGCTCAGTCCCAGAAGCACCTGGGCTTCGGCTCCCCTCCCAGGTTTTGCACACGCAGGACTCTCCCCTCGGAGCCTCCTTCGGGACCTCAGCCCCCTGGCTGCCCGAACTCGGGAGCTCACCAGTGCCCTGGACGCAGGAGTTTGCACTGACCCCCGCAACCCCCCCAGGGCAGGGAGAGGAAAGACGACTAGGCGAGGTCTAGGAAGCGGCCTCCCTCCGTGAGGGCGCGGTCTGTGTGAGCAGGGACTCCCCTGCTTCCCCGACGCGGGCTTGTCAGCGCCACCGCCGCCAGCGGAACCCGCAGCTGGGAGGGAAGAAAGGCGTGGACCACCCAGCCTTTCCCCGCCAGCAGCGTCCCGGGGCCGCCCCGCGCCTCAGTCTCCCCGGCCATCATGGACGTGGAACGCCCAGCGCGCAGCCTCCTGGGCTGCCGCACGGTGGGAGAGCGCATGGCTCCCGCCGCGGCCCGACAGTCCCCTGGACGCCCACGACGCACTCTGAGAAACAGAGGCTTGGGGGCGCGGCCGGCGGCCGGCGCCCTTGATCACGACGCGTGCGCAGGGCGGGCCCGACGCGGGCCCTCAGCCAGTACCTTCCTCGCCGCCAGCCTCGAGCACCAGGAACCCCCTGGAAACCGGACCCGACCCGCGGTCCCCAGCCCAGACCACCGGTGTGGCCTGACGCGGGCGGCGAAGTGACAGTCCCACCGCCGGAAGTCCAGCCCTTCGGTTCTCATTGGCCCAGTGCGCGCCGCGGACGCTTGCGTACAGCCTTCCGGGTCACGTGGTTCCCGCCTGTTTCCCTGCGTGGAGGCGGGGCCACTACCGGTCTCCTTGGCAACGTCCAAGCCCCTGCCGCGCGGGGCGCTGGGAAATGGAGTCGCGCGGCGGCCTCGGGTTTTCAAGGGCTTGGTGGCGCTGGTGGATTCGCCCGGTGTGTAGTCCTGCCTTCGGCATTCCAGGTGTCCTCCCAAGCAGTCCCGGAGACTAAACCCTGCAGGTGCGAAAGCAGAAACTGCCGAGGTTCCAAGAGGCAACACCAGCAGTGAGCACGGAGGAGAAAATGCACCGGGTAGCGCAGGTGGAGGTGGAGGAGCCGATGCCTGGAGCTCCGGGTTCCCTTCCCAGCTCTGCCTCTCACTGACTGTGCGTCCTGGGCGCGGGTTTGACCTCTCTGTGTCAATGTCCCGTAAAGGTTTAAGGTCCGTTTTCAACCTTTACACCAAGAATTCTCAGCCCGTAAGCCTACATTTGTCTTAAGTATGAGACTGTTCCTCGACACTTGCCCAAAGCATCTGTTTTCCTTGTAATTTGGATGGGCAGAAGTTAATTCCCCAGATTTGCTTGTCCTTAGACCATCTAGATCTTGTCTTGCCCCACACATCACAATATTCATTCTTTTTTCCTTTTTTCTTGGGACTCATTTAAGTTTTTTTTTTTTTTTTTTAACAGGGTCTTTGTTCTGTTGCCCGTGCTGGAGTGCAGTGGCACAATCTCGGCTCACTGCAACCTCTGCCTTCAGGTTCAAGTGATCCCCCCGCCTCAGCCTCCGTAGTAGCTGGGACCACAGGTGTGCGCCACCATGCCTGGCTAATTTTTGTATTTTTTAGTAGAGATGGAGTTTCACCATGTTGGCCAGGCTGGTCTTGAACTCCTGACCTCAGGTGATCCGCCCACCTCGTTCTCCCAAAGTGCTGGGATTACAGGCCAATTTAAGTGTCTTTGACACATAAAAACGAAAGGCAGAGCAGTCTCAATGTAGACTGTCTTGTTTGGCAGATAATAAAAGGTTCTTTGTCTTGTTTTTGGAACCTGTAGACAGTTCTCAGCTGTCCAGTTCCTTAACTCTTTTTGCCTCCCTCCCTCTATACCTACCTCCATCTATAACTATCTCTCTGTCAACTGTCAGCTATAACTGTCCACCTAATTGATTCTACTTGTAAATCCTTGTAGAGCAAGGGAGCTCATCATGTTTGGAATGTTTTAATATAAATTTTGCTACTTTGAAAGAATTTAAGAACATTTCAGGACTGGGCGCAGTGGCTCACACCTGGAATCTGAGCACTTTGGGTGGCCAAGGTGAGCGATCACTGGAGCCTAGGAGTTTGAGACCAGCCTGAGCAACAAAATGTGACCCCATCTTTATAAAAAAATATAAAAATTAGCTGAGCATGGTCTTGCATGCCTGTAATACCAGCTACATGGGAGGCTGAGGTGGGAGGATTGAGTTCAGGAGTTGGAGTGTGCAGTGAGCTATGATGGAGCCCCTGCACTCCAGCCTGGGTAAGAGAGAGACCCTGTCTCAGGAAAAAACAAACAAAAACCCTGAGGGGGAAAAAAAAAACCCCAACACTTAGAAGTATTAAAGTTCAGGGCCGGGCGCGGTGGCTCACGCCTGTAATCCCAGCACTTTGGGAGGCCGAGGCGGGTGGATCATGAGGTCAGGAGATCGAGACCATCCTGGCTAACAAGGTGAAACCCCATCTCTACTAAAAATACAAAAAATTAGCCGGGCGCGGTGGCGGGCGCCTGTAGTCCCAGCTACTGGGGAGGCTGAGGCGGGAGAATGGCGTGAACCCGGGAAGCGGAGCTTGCAGTGAGCCGAGATTGCGCCACTGCAGTCCGCAGTCCGGCCTGGGCGACAGAGCGAGACTCCGTTTCAAAAAAAAAAAAAAAAAAAAAAGGAAGTATTAAAGTTCAAAAACCCTGAAGAAAAAAAACCCCAACACTTAGAACTATTCAAGCTGTGGCCGGGCGCTGTGGCTCACGCCGGTAATCCCAGCACTTTGGGAGGCCGAGGTGGGCGGATCTTGAGGTCAGGAGATCGAGACCATCCTGGCTAACACGGTGAAACCCAGTCTCTGCTAAAAAATACAAAAATAAAAGTAGCTGGGTGTGGTGGCGGGCGCCTGTAGTCCCAGCTACTCAGGAGGCTAAGGCAGGAGAATGGCATGAACCTGGGAGGTGGAGCTTGCAGTGAGCCGAGATCACACCACTGCATTCCAGCCTGGGTGACAGAGCAAGACTCTGTCTCAAAAAAAAAAAAAAGTAGTATTAAAGTTGTGATTTGATCAAATGCTTAGAGGCATTATTACCATTTTAAGCAATGTATGAATATTTGGAGGCATTTTAACTCTTCAAACGTTTCATTTTTTAATTTTTAATTTAATTATTTGAGACAGCATCTCACTCTGTCACCCAGGCTGGAGCACAGTGAAACAATCTTGGCTCACTGCAATCTCTACCTCCTGGGTTCAAGAGATTCTCGTGCCTCAGCCTCCCGAATAGTTGGAATTACAGGTGCATGCCATCACACCCACCTAATTTTTGTATTTTTAGTAGAGACAAGGTTTTGCCATGTTGGGCTGGTCTCGAACTCCTGACCTCAAGTGATCCGCCTGCCTTGGCCTCCAAAAGTGCTGGGATTATAAGTGTGAGCCACTGCACCTGGCCTGAGTGATATTTTCTTTTTTAGTGTGTGTGTGTTTTTTTTTTTTTGAGATGGAGTCTTGCTCTGTGGCCCAGACTGGAGTGTAATGGCGTGATCTCTGCTCACTGCAATCTCTGCCTCCCAGGTTCAAGTGATTCTCCTGCCTCAGCCTCCTGAGTAGCTGGGATTACAGGTGCCTGCAACCACAACCGACTAATTTTTGTATTTTTACTAGAGACGGGGTTTCACCATGTTGACCAGCCTGGTCTTGAACTCCTGACCTCAGGTGATCCACCTGCCTTGGCCTCCCAAAGTGCTGGGATTACAGGCATGAGCCACCGCGCCCGACCGCCTGAGTGATATTTTCTAACAAATTTTCTACTTCTCATCCTCGTGTGAGCTATAAGATGACTGGTATATGGTATGCTATCAGTCATAATTATGATTATTGAGATTTCGGCCACAAAAACTAAAATGACCAATTTTTTTTTTTTGACAATCACATCTTTAACCATGACATTTTAAGTTTTGTCCTCTTCCTTCTTGGGGAATGGGACTGCCTCAGTTGGAGATCTGGAATGATCGAAGATGTCTACTCAAGCAGGATTGTTTTTTTTTTTTTTTTTTTTGAGACGGAGTCTCGCTCTGTTGCCCAGGCTGGAGTGCAGTGGCAGGATCTTGGCTCACTGCAAGCTCCGCCTCCCGGGTTCAAGCCATTCTCCTCCCTCAGCCTCCCGAGTAGCTGGGACTACAGGCTCCCGCCACGACGCTCAGCTAATTTTTTGTATTTTTAGTAGAGACGGGGTTTCACCGTGTTAGCCAGGATGGTCTTGATCTCCTGACCTCGTGATCCACCCGCCTCGGCCTCCCAAAGTGCTGGGATTACAGGCATGAGCCACTGCGCCCGGCCATGGGCTGCATTTTTTAAAAATGAAAAATGTGAATCTGCAAGTCAATGCCTTTGAATTTAGCTTGCACAAGGATTGGTTAAGAATATCTGATATGCCTCCCTCAACTTCTTTATTTTGAGACAGGGTCTGGCTCTTTTGCCCAGGCTGGAGTACAGTGGCACAACCCACCTCACTGCAACCTCTGCCTCCTGGGCCCAAGCCATCCTCCCACCTCAGCCTCCCAAGTAGCTGGGACTATAGGTGCATGCCAGCTAATTTTTGCTTTTTTTGTTCTTTTTGTTGAGATGGGGTTTCATCATGTTGCCCAGGCTGGAGTTCTCTTCAACATGGTTGTAGGGAGTCCTTTATTAGATGGCATTTCTCATAAACAAAATCTCCAGGTTGGAGCCCTTGATCTTTGATATTTTTGTCTCCCAGGAGCTCACATTAAGGAGAGCTGGTTTGTAGGTTCCTTCATTCAGGACCATTGGAAAAGCCTTAGGCCACGGAAGGTTAAAAGTTTCTGTAAGCTTTGTAAATTGATTTTCTATTACCTTATTTGTACATTCCAGCAGTCTGGAAGACTGAGAGTAGTATGCAAAATGGACATTCTAAATAACCAGCCATATGTTAAAGTAGATTGAATTGTTTCATCAGTGAAATAGATTCCTTGGTTGCTGTGAAGCTTCAAAGCAACTCCTCAAGAAGGAAGAGGACAAAACTTTTTTTTTTTTTTTTTGAGATGGAGTTTTGCTCTTATTGCCCAGGCTGGAGTGCAATGGCTCGATCTCAGCTCACTGCAACCTCCGCCTCCTGGGTTCAAGCGATTCTTCTGCCTCAGCCTCCTGAGTAGCTGAGATTACAGACATGGGCCACCACACCCAGCAAATTTTGGATTTTTATTAGAGACGGGGTTTCTCCATGTTGGTCAGGCTGGTCTCCGACTCCCGACCTCAAATGATCTGCCTGCTTTGGCCTCTCAAAGTGCTGAGATTACAGGCATAAGCCACCGCGCCCAGCTGAGGACAAAACTTAAAATGTCCATGGTTAAAGATGCAATTGTCAAAAAATTTTTGGTCAATTTTTTGTGGCCTAAAACTCAACATAGGCCAGGTGCGGTGGCTCACGCCTGTTATCCCAGCACTTTGGGAGGCCGAGGCAGGCGGATCACGAGGTCAGGAGTTTGAGACCAGCCTGACCAACATAGAGAAACCCCATCTATGTAAAAAACTGGCACAGTTGAAAGGCAGAACATCTAGAGCTTTAAAAATCAAGGATTCCAGGCCAGGCGCAGTGGCTCACGCCTGTAATCCCAGCACTTTGGGAGGCCGAGGCGGGCGGATCACGAGGTCAGGAGATCGAGACCATCCTGGCTAACATGGTGAAACCCCGTCTCTACTAAAAATACAAAAAAATTAGCCAGGGGTGGTGGCGGGCGCCTGTAGTCCCAGCTACTCGGGAGGCTGAGGCAGGAGAATGGCGTGAACCCGGGAGGTGGACCTTGCAGTGAGCTGAGATCACGCCACTGCACTCCAGCCTGGGCAACAGAGCGAGACTCCATCTCAAAAAATAAAAATAAATAAATAAAATCAAGGATTCCACTTTAAAATGGAATCTTGAGGACCCCACAAGATGGAAATACCACAGGACAGGGCTGTGTTTCCACAGTGCACCTCACTGCATGGACATTCCCTGATGCTGGTGGGACACCCAGCACCAATTAGCCCACTCTGTGATCTGTGATCAGCCCATCTCCCAAAGGATTCTTCCCCCTTGGTGATGAGTGTTTCTATAAGTCTCCAAGTGTTCAAACCATACTTTTCTTATTTAAACATGCAAAGGAATTAGTACACCCTGCAGTAATAACCACTCACTGAAAACAACTGCTATCAGCCAAAACTGCAGCCCTTGCCAGTAACTTGCCAGCCAGTGCACACCCAAAGATCATGTTCTTTCATAGAACAAAGTAACCCTTGGTACCCCCCAAGCCAAAAGGTCAGAGAACTCAGTGTAAAAGAGATCAGAGCTTTAGACCTAAGATAAACTGCCTGCTACACTTAGGATTCCATGAGGAAGACAGAAGACTCCATAAAAGGTGTATGTGACACTTTACTGTGTTCCTCAAAGGGTCTCAGAGATATTAGAAGACTCCTCTAGATTTCTTTATGTGGTATCAAAGATAGCTAAAGGAAGAAAAAGTAGAAGAAAATGGGAGAGCTCTAAGCCAATTTGGGGAGATTTTAAGTTTTTCAGAAGGCCAATAAAACTTTACATCATACTAACAAGAAAAGAAGCAAACAAAGGGACTAAACATATGTAAAAAGGGGTTTCAGTCAACAGAAAAAAAAAAAATTCCCAGAAACAGGCTCCAAATGAGAAAAAGCAGAAAGGTATTTTTTCTTAAAAAAAAAAAAAAAGCCTGAATATCAGCTTTTAATTAAGCTGACATCTGACCATAGAATTCATTGTATTTTATTTACTTACTTTTGTGACGGAGTCTCACTCTGTCGCCCAGGCTGGAGTTTGCTATAGTTTCATAGCTCACTGCAACCTCCGCCTCCCAGGTTCAAGTGATTCTCCTGCCTCAGCCTCCCAAGTAGCTGGGACTACAGGCACGCACCACCATGCCTGGCTAATTTTTGTATTTTTCAGTAGAGATGGGGTTTCGCCATGTTGGTCAGGCTGGTCTCGAACTCCCAACCTCAGGTGATCCGCCCACCTTGGCCTCCCAAAGTGCTGGAATTACAGGCATGAGCCACTGTGCCTGGCCTATAGAGCTCTTTTTAAAAAACCTTTCAAATATCTTATCAGAGTATAGCCTGCACAAACAGAAAGTAGGCCTCCCATCCAATTTGTCTGGTTTTAGAACAAACATATTAAGTTTCCTATTGTGCACACAAATATATTACTTTAGGAATTTCAAAAGATCTCCGTTTTGGCCACTGCATTTTAGGGTCATCTCGAGTGACCTGGGTCCATTTACCTAAGTTTTTGGAAATAGGATCTCCATAGGTTTCGAAGGGTGGGGGGGTTGCTCCTTAAGGGAAAGCTCAGTTTTCATGAGCAGTTTCAAATAATTGTAGAAATACCTTTTCAAAAGTGACCAAGGTTAGTACAGTGTATTTAGACGAAGTGTGTTGCTTTGTGAGCATCACTCCTCAATGAGTCACCAGTGAGTTGTGATTCACTCTTTTATGTGTCTTGGAATCTGTGATCACCTGTGTTGGCAGAGTGCTCAAGGTACCAGATGAACAACCTTTATGTGAATCTTCTGGCTGAGCTGAAAGCCCCTGAAGGTGTTCTTCTTGCAGAAGAAGTAGGGAGACCCTATGAGGCCACTATGCATCATGAACAAACATCCCGACACCTTCATAAATCTCTAGTCACCTAGAATTGGGTTTAGAGGGAGCAAGTGCCTCTTCACTCAGGGACAAGAGAACTGATATGGTTTGGATGTGTGTCTCCTCCAAATCTCATGTTGAAATGTGATCTCCAGTGTTGG
The DNA here is from genome assembly GCF_000001405.40 of Homo sapiens. Classification (NCBI taxonomy): domain Eukaryota; kingdom Metazoa; phylum Chordata; class Mammalia; order Primates; family Hominidae; genus Homo; species Homo sapiens. The sequence continues at coordinate 58,459,954 of NC_000019.10, read as the reverse complement.
ACATGGGGCCTAGTGGGAGGTGTTGGATCATGAGGTATATTAGGCCATTCCTGCATTACTATAAAGAAATACCTGAGGCTGTGTAATTTATAAAGAAGAGAGGTTTAATTGGATCACTGTTCTGAGGGCTGTACGAGCATGGCTTCAGAATCTGCTTCTTGCTAGGTTCTCAAGAAGCTTACAATCATGGCAGAAGGTAAAGGGGGAGGAGGCATCTCACCTGGTGAGAGCAGGAGCAAGAGAGAAAGGAAGGAGGTGCCACAGACTTTTAAATAACCAAATCTTGTGAGAACTCACTACCTTGAGGACAGCACCAAGAGATTCAAGAGCGATCCACCCCCATGACCCAAACACCTCTCACCAGGCCCCATCTCCAACATTGAGGATTACATTTCAACATGAGATTTGGAGGGGACAAACATCCAAACTATAGTATGGGGGCAGATTCCTCATGAATAGCTTGCCACCATCCCCCTTGGTGAGAAGTGAGCTCTTGCTCTGAGTTCATGAAAGATTTGGTTGTTTAAAAGTGTGTGATGGGCTGGGTGCGGTGGCTGACACCTGTAATCCCAACACTTTGGGAAGCTGAGGCGGGTGGATCACTTGAGGCCAGGAATTTGAGACTAGCCTGGCCAACATGGCAAAACCCTGTCTCTGCTAAAAATATTATACAAAAATTAGCTGACATGGTGGTGCACACCTGTAATCCCAGCTACTCAGGAGGCTGAGGCAGGAGAATCACTTGAACCCAGGAGGCAGAGGTTGCAGTGAGCTGAGATCGTGCCATTGCACCCCAGCCTGGGCAACAAGAGCAAAACTCCATTTCAGAAAAAAAAAAAAAAAAGTGGGCCGGGCGCGGTGGCTCACGCCTATAATCCCACCACTCTGCTGTGAGGCCAAGGCGGGCGGATCACAAGGTCAGGAGATCGAGACCATCCTGGCTAACACGGTGAAACCCCGTCTCTACTAAAAATATTAAAAATTAGCTGGGCGTGGTGGCGGGCACCTGTAGTCCCAGCTACTCGGGAGGCTGAGGCAGGAGAATGGCGTGAACCCGGGAGGCGGAGGTTGCAATGAGCCGAGATCGTGCCACTGCACTCCAGCCTGGACAACAGAGCGAGACTCCTCAAAAAAAAAAAAAAAAATGTGTGACACTTCCCCCCCGCCTTGCTTCCTGTCTTGCCATGTGATATGCCAGCTCTTCCTTCATGTTCCATCATGATTGCAAGCTTCCTGAGGTCCCACCAGAAGCCATGCAGATGCTGGTGCCATGGCTGTACATCCTGCAGAACCATGAGCCAATTAATCCTCTTTTCTTTATAAATTACCCAGCCTTAGGTGTTCCTTTATAGTGACACAAAACAGACTAATAGAAGAACTCACCCTCATGAACCTTTCAGTTTGAAACAGAAATTGGTTACCATTGAAAAGACAAGACTGAGTTACAAGCAATAGGAAACAGCTGCAACTTTAAAATCATGGTATGTAGGCAGGCGCAGTGGCTCACGCCTGTAATCTCACCACTTTGGGAGGCCAAGATGGGCCGATCACTTGAGGTCAGGAGTTTGAGACCAGCCCAGCCAACATGGTGAAACCCCGTCTCTACTAAAAATACAAAAATTAGCCAGGTATGGTGGTGCAAGCCTGTAATCCCAGCTACTGGAGGGGCTGAGGCAGGAGAATGGCTTGAACCCAAGAGGCAGAGCCGAGGTTGCTCCACTGCACTCCAGCCTGGGCGACAGACTGAGACGCTTCATGAAAAACAAACGCAGTGGCTCACGCCTGTAATCCCAGCACTCTGGGAGGCCAAGATGGGCAGATCACCTGAGGTTGGGAGTTCGAGACCAGCCTGACCAACATGGAGAAACCCTGTCTCTACTAAAAATACAAAATTAGCCGGGCATGGTGGTGGGCGCCTGTAATCCCAGCTACTCAGAAGACTGAGGCAGGAGAATCACTTGAACCTGGGAGACGGAGGTTGCGGTGAGCCGAGATTGTGCCATTGCACTCCAGCCTGGGCAAGAAGAGTTGCCTTGAGACTCTGTCTCAAAAACAAACAAACAACTGAATCATACCCTGGAATAGAGACAGGAGGCTGTGCTGTGGAGGTCCACACGGCTGTAAAGGAAACTACATCTATTTGAAGTTGCAAATACTAGTCTTTTTTTTTCTCCATTGAAAAGACCATTAATTTCTTGGAGGTGAGGTCTCAGGTAAGGATGGGGCCTAGTAGGCTTAAGGCCACAGGAAGCAAATGACCCCCAGTCTACCCTTTTGTCTCTGCCATGCAGGCCCATCACACTGGGTTGGGGAGGTCCTCAGGAGGCTGTCACACATGGCCTTAGGTAATGGCAAGTCCTTCCTATTCAGCTCTCTGTCCAGCCTCCAATTGAGGAGGCATAACAAGGGAAAGGTGAGATGGAGGGGGTGGGGGTGGGGGCGGGGATCGGCCACCAAATCCAGCAAAAATGAGCAGCTCCACCTTATCTGCTCCAAAGCTATCACTGTCTCCACAGGTGTAAAGGCTCCTCCTCACATCGACTTTTGTAAATGAGTGAGCGACAGGCCTTGGCCAAGCTGAGACTTGGACGAAAACCTGAACGAGTGCCACTGGAAAGCCATCATCCTAGGTTTGTCCTTCCAATGCTGAGAACCATGGGCATTCCTCTCCTGAGTCAGCTGTGTGACCCCAGGCCAGGCCCTCACACCTGGCTGACCAGAGCACAGCCCAGGAGCTGGCAGTGAGCACACATTGACTCTCATTAGGATCCCGTCTGTCAGCATCTGCAAACATGATGCTGAGTTGACCCAAAGCTTTTCTTTTTCCGAGGAGGAGGCTGACACTCACAGGCCACACCCTGATCCCCAGTCCCCTGTAGTCTCCTGTTTGCTGAGATGGCCCCCAGGAAGCCTTGAATAGAGGCCTCAGGGGGAAAATGTCCTCAGCGTCCGTCTAGCGGCCAGTTTGTGTGCAGACATCATAAGTTTCTCTAGGTCATCCTACCCCATGTCCGCATCCCCCTCACCTCAGCATCCACTCTCATAACACATGAAGTAGCACCACCATGCAGCGCTGCCTTTGTCGGCGTCCTATGGCCCCAACTACAGCCTCAGCCCCACCAGAGTTCCAGCTGACATGTCCTCCCTCTGATGTTTCTGCAGTGTTACCTCTTTGAGGATGGAGGTGTGAGCTATGACTAAACTGGCAAATCCTGTCCCCACCTGCAAATGGAACCACAGCCAAAGGGTCTCCCTCGTCCCTGACTCTCAGGCACAGAGCTTTTCCCCATCGTGGATCTGAAGAGCACTCGGACCCTTTAGCTGTGGAAGGGATTCACAGAAGGCCAAGAAAGGGTTGGGCTGCGACCTGTGACCTCAGACCTTCGCTGGCTTCAGGACTGGGCTTGGCTTCCCTCCCCGGCGCACCTTCCGATGATGTCCCTGAAGGAAACCTGGCCCCGGGGTGCAGTCTGGTGCTGCGGCATTGGTCTTCTCTGTGGTGTGGATCCTCTGGTGGTGCAAGAGGGCAGGGCGCTCACGGAAGGCGCGGCCACACTGCGTGCACACGAAGGGCTTCTCGCCCGTGTGAATGCGCCGGTGGCTGAGCAGCACGGCGCCCTTGGCGAAACCCTTGCCACAGTCCACGCAGCGGAAGGGCCGCTCGCCCGTGTGCAGGAGCTGGTGCTGGGTGAGGTTGGAGCTGCGGCTAAAGGAGCGGCCGCACTGGGCGCAGGCGAAGGGCTTCTCGCCTGTGTGCACGCGCTGGTGCAAAAAGAGCGAGGAGCCCTGGCTGAAGGCAGCACCGCAGAGCGCGCATACGAAGGGCTTCTCGCCTGTGTGCGTACGCTCGTGCTGGATCAGGTGCGAGTTGCGGCAGAAGCGGCGGCCACACTGTGCGCAAGCATAAGGACGCCCACCCGCGTGGATCTTGCGGTGCTGGCTGAGGTTGGAGCCGTGGCTGAAGGCCTTGCCGCACTCGGAGCAGCGGAAGGACTTCTCGGCCGTGTGGATGCGCTGGTGCCGCACCAGCGAGGAGCTATGCCGGAAGGCCTTGCCGCACACGGGGCACGCGTAGGGCGTCTCGCCGCTGTGGATGCGCTGGTGCTGCGTCAAGTGCGACGTCTGGCTGAAGGCCTTGCCGCACTGGGTGCACTCGTAGGGCCGCTCCCCGGTGTGGGTGCGTAGGTGCTTGAGGAGGTCGGAGCTCTTCACGAACACTTTGCTGCACGCCCTGCATTCGAAGGACTTCTCCCCAGCGTGAAGAGCCTCGCCCAGCTCGTCCCAGGTCGAGGGCTCCTGGCCACCGAGGAGTCTATGAGGCTCCTGCCAAGCTGCGCCCATTCTGCGATCCCTGCCACCACTGGCGGCCTTCAGGTCCGAGGCATTCCCGAAGGCTCTCCCAGGGACCTCCTGTGCACATGGCTTCTGCCGCTCAGGCGTCCTGGGCTGCCTCCCAGGCACCCGGTACTCTGTGAAGGTCTTTTCCCTGGGCCGGCTGCTCTTGGGGGGCCTGAGTGGGGAGGTCAGTCGCAGGCTGATGCTGGCCTGGTCACTGCGCGAGCCTAGCAGGAGCCTCTCCCAGTAGATCACCGACACCCCCGTGGGTTTTCTCTCCTGAGATGGGGAGGCACCCGGTTGTCGCTGCAGGCTTTTTACACTGTGGCAGGCATCGGCAACTGGGAAGACGCTAGTAGTCATCCCAGGTGGGGTATCTGGGAAAGCTCGTGGCCATTCTCCAGAAACATCTCTATCCTCTGTCAAACTCCAGGAACCTAAACGCAGAGAAACGGTGGTTGCCTGGGGCATCCTGGTTAGGAGAGGACCAGGGCAGGCTGAGTGGACAGGCAAGGGGGAGCCCAGGAGCCGGGACAAAAGCTTAGGGAAAAAGAAGAGGTGAGGCTGGCTCTGCAGGAGGGGCTGGGGTTTGGAGGAAGCATCTGCCCTGACAGGTGTGGCACTGACTGCAGTGGGGACTCCCATGATCAAGGCGGCAGCCCCCAGACACCCAGGATGTGAAGCTGAGGAAAACAGCAGCTGCTGCGTGCCACCCACGTCTCCACACTGGCTGTTCCACCCCCTCCCTTTCCATAGCTCACTCCCTTCTCCCCTGGTGCCCCGTCTTGGGCACCCACTCCCAAACCTGCTCTTGCAATGACCTCCAACCAATGCTCAAGACTGCACTCCTGAATCCTACGTACTCACTGCGTCTCCCCTAGCACCATCAGCCCCACAAAGGCAGGACCATGAGTGTCCTGGTCAAGGCTGTGTCTACAATGCCCACAAGCCCTCAGGAAACATTTGATGAATACAAAGATAAATGATGGGCGAAATAAATACCTATCAATAATGGCTGCTAGTTGTGGAGGGTTCAAGGCCACACAGCCCAGCTGAAGGTAGGCCCTTCTGTGTGAACCCAGCTCCTGTGCCCTTGGAGCTCTCCCTTCAAGGGCACCTACTAAGGCAGCAGCCTCCAGGAGAGGCTGATGATGGAAGAGAAGGGAGTCAGGTAGGAGGCAGGAGAGGAGGATGTGTTTCCAGAGTCAGAAAAGCAGGGACATGGGCTTGGCCACAGGTTGGTCCTTAGTTCACCCCACCTGAGCTCCCACTCACCAGAGTTGAGCCTCCCGTAGGTGTTCCTGGCCAGGGTCATGTCCTTTCCACTGGGAACCCAGGGCTCCTCGCCACGCTCAAGTTGAATGACCACACGAGGTCGGGAGGTAGAGAGTCCTGTGAGGAGGAGCAGGTGAGAGCCCAGCCCCAGGTCAAGACAACCCACCTCCCAACAGAGAGCAGGAGTCAGGGCTTCATGGAAATAGACAGTAATCTGTGCAACTGGGAGAATCTAAAGATAGCACAGGGCAAGGGGCTCATAGGAATAGCTCATGTGTCCCCAGAGCAGCAACTGTGCCCAGAGCACCAAAGCAACGGGACTGAGCCCAGGCATGAGAGAGGCCACAGCTGGACAGGGCGGCAAGGAGTGGCTGACCCAACCAAACTTTGTGTCTACAGGACCAGACCCTTGTTCCACGTGGCCCTGGCCAGATTTGATCCTGCTCATCAACCAGGAGGGAAGTGAAGAGGCAGTCCTGATTGTCACCAAGTGCACTTTTCATGGAGCACCCAGGGCCTTACCAAGTGAGGTCACAAGTGTGAAGTTTTCCAGCATCACGTGGCGGTACAGGGCCCTCTGCGCTGTGTCCAGGAGCCCCCACTCCTCCTGGGAGAAGTACACGGCCACATCCTCGAAGGTCATCAGGTCCTAAAACAGCAGGGAGGTGGAGGTAGGCATGGTCTAAGGTATGGCTGTGAGCCAGGACCAAGCTCCCCATCCCAACAGTCACCTCCCCCAGTGTCCCTCCTTCCTTGGGTTCCACCCCGAGATTATCTTCAGGTGGCACTTCCCTCACCTGTCTGGGACCCCTCCCCTCTGCCCTCCTGGTCCAGGCCCCAGATGGCTTCTTGACTTCCCCACTGGCCACCCCTACACAAGCAGGCTAGAGCAAGCCCTGGCTGGGCCCTTAGCTGCCACACCAAGGGCAGCCCCAAATATCCACTCGTGACTCAGCATGACCATTCATGACCCTCCCCAGATGTGCCCTTCTTGCTTTTGTAATAAGCAAGGGTGTAAGTCCCAGCTGTGGACCCCCCAGGCATGCCCATCACTGAGACCTTCCCCTGCTGCGCTTGCCTGACATTTCCAGGCTGCTCATCCAGCCTGAGGGACTGGATGATCCCCACCAGTCGTCATAGGGGTGCAGCCCCAAGAACCTGTGAACACAGGGGAACTCAATCCCTTCCTCCCTCCACATGGCGCCCCCTCCTCAATTTATTTATTTATTTATTTATTTATTTATTTATTTATTTATTTATTTTTATTTTGGAGACGGAGTCTCACTCCGTCACCCAGGCTGGAGTGCAGTGGGGCAATCTCGGCTCACTGCAAGCTCCGGCTCCCGGGTTCACGCCATTCTCCTGCCTCAGCCTCCCGCCACCACACCTGGCTAATTTTTTTGGATTTTTAGTAGAGACCGGGTTTCACTGTGTGAGCCAGGATGGTCTCGATCTCAGCGCTCCCGCAATTTCTTTCCCACATTGCTGCCACCCTCTCCTATTCAGCCACCTGCCGAACTCCTCCCCTGATAGCCTCAGGCACCCCAGCCGGTTTTCTTTACCCTCAAGCTGTAACTCCGCACGCCTGACTGCTCATCGCCTTCTTCAGTCCAGTTTATAGGCCCTGTCCTCAGCCCAGGACACCAACAACGTCAGGTCCAGTGACATGACCAACCTGGGACATCCCAGACTCTTGATCTTTCCCCTGAAGGAAACCTGCTTTCCTTTCAATTCTCCTTTCTATCTACAGCAGCTCTCTTCTTCCAGGCGCTCAGGCTGAACAACATGGGGTACTTAGTTCTTCAAACAGCCCACACCTGATGCATCCGCAGATCCACCAGAATTCACCTGGTCGCCCACCTCCACTGCTGCCCAGACTGTGGCAGTCGGTTCTTCCCTTCATGCCGACACCCCTGCATGTCTGTTCTCCACGCAACAAACGGTGGAACCGTTTTAAAGTCCCAACTCAGAGGATGTCCTGATTCTGTTCAAAACTTCTATGTCTCCCGACGCCCTCGAGATAAAGCCCACTCCCTCGCCTGCTACTGCAGCCGCACACATCCCCTCTACTCCAGCTCCACATCGAGAGCGCTCAGTCCCAGAAGCATCTGGGCTTCGGCTCCCCTCCCAGGTTTTGCACACGCAGGACTCTCCCCTCGGAGCCTCCTTCGGGACCTCAGCCCCCTGGCTGCCGGAAGTCGGGAGCTCACCAGTGCCCTGGACGCAGGAGTTTGCACTGACCCCCGCAACCCCCCCAGGGCAGGGAGAGGAAAGACGACTAGGCGAGGTCTAGGAAGCGGCCTCACTCCGTGGGGGCGCAGTCTGTGTGAGCAGGGACTCCCCCGCCCCCCCGGCGCGGGCTTGTCAGCGCCACCGCCGCCAGCGGAACCCGCAACTGGGAGGGAAGAAAGGCATGGACCACCCGGGACCGCCATCCCCGCCAGCAGCCTCCCGCGGCTGCCCCGCGCCTCAGCCTGCCCGGCAGTCATGGGCGCAGAATGCCCAATGCGCTGCCTCCTGGGCTTCCGCGGGGCGGGAGAACGCGTGGTTCCCGCCGGGGCCCGACCGCCCCCGGGCCGACCACGTCATACTCGAAGATACCGAGGCTTGGGGGCGCGGCCGGCTGCTCGTGGTCCGTACCTTCCTGGCCGCCCGCCTCGGGCCCCGACCCGCGCGCCACAGCCCAGACCACCGGTGTGGCCTGACGCGAGCAGCCAAGTGACAGTCCCAACGCCGGAAGTCCAGCCCCCAGAGCTCACATTGCCCCAATACGCGCGCAGACGCTTGCGCACAGCCTTCTGGGTTATGTGGTTCCTGCCTGTTTTTCGGCGCGGAGGCGGGGCCATTACCAGTCTCCATGGCAACGGCTAAGCGCCGCCGCGCTGGGCGCCTGGAAATGGAGTAGCGCAGCTGCCGCGGGTTTCCAAGGGCTCCGTGGCACTGGTTGAGTCGCCCGGCAGGTTGTCCCGCGTTGGGGATTCCCAGTTCCTGGCACCCACCTAAGCAGCCCTGGAGACTAAACCCTGCAGGTGTGAAAGCAGAAACTGCGGAGGTTCCAGAAGGCAACACCAGCAGGTAGCAGGGAGGAGAAAACGCACCGGGTAGGGCAGGTGTAGGTGGAGGAGCAGATGCCTGGAGCTCCGGGTTCCCTTCCCAGCTTTGCATCTCACTGACTGTGCATCCTGGGCGAGGGTTTGATCTCTCTGTGTGTCAGTGTCCCGTAAAGGTTTAAGGTCCGTTTTTCAACCTCTACACCAAGAATTCTCAGCCTGTAATGACACTACCCGCTTGTCATTTGTCTTGATTCTGTGATTGTTCTTGGACGCTCGCCCAAAACTTGTTTTCCTTGTAACTTGGACGAGCAGAAGGTAATTCCCCAGCCTTGCTTGTCCTTAGACCATCTAGTTCTTGCTTTGCCCCACACATCACAACATGGATGCTTTGTTCCTTTTTTCTCTGGACCAATCTAAGTGTCTTTGACACATAACAACAAAAGGCAGGGCAGTCTCAATGTAGACTGACCATGTTGTTGGCAGAGAATAAACGATTCTCTCTTTGTTGCTTCCCTGTGAGGGTCTTGTTTTTAGGATCCTTAGACAGTTCTCAGATGTCAAGTACGTTAATTCATTTTGTCTTCCTCTATACCCACCTCCATCTATAAATATCTGTCTACTGTCAGCTATAACTGTCCACAGAATTGATTCTACTTGTAGATCCCTATAGTGTAAGATAGCTCGACAATTTTTGAATGTTTTTATTTAAATTTTTCCTGCTTTGAAAGAATTTAAGAACACTTAAGTACTATTGTGATTTAATCAAATGCTTAGAGGCATTATTAACATTTCAAGCAATTTTTTTTTACTTTTTTTTTTTTTTTTTTGAGACAGGGTCTCACTCTCTTACCCAGGATGGAGTGCAGTGGTGCATACTCGGGTCACTGCAACCTCCGCCTCCCATGCTCAAACAGTCCTCCAACTTCAGCCTCCCAAGTAGCTGGAACTACAGGCAGGAGCCACGATGCCTGGTGTATTAGTCTGTTTTCACGTTGCTGATAAAGACATATCTGAGACTGGGTAATTTATAAAGAAAAAGAGGTTTAGTGGACTCATAGTTCCACGTGGCTGGAGAGGCCTCACAATCATGACAGAAGGTGAAAGGCACGTCTTACATGGCAGCAGGCAAGAGCAAATGAGAGTCAAGCAAAAGAGGAAACCCCTTATGAAACCATCAGATCTCGTGAGACTTACTCACTACCACAAGAATAGTATGGGGGAAACTGTCCCCATGACTCAGTTACCTCTAACTGGGGCCCCTTCCACAACATGTGGGAATTATGAAAGCTACAATTCAAAATGAGATTTGGTTGGGGACACAGCCAAACCATATCATTCTGTTCCTCGCCCCTCCCAAATCTCGTGCTCACATTTCAGAACCAATCGTGCCTTCCCAACAGTCCCCCAAAGTCTACTTATTTCAGCATTAGCTCAAAAGTCCACAGTCCAAAATCTCATCTGAGACAAGGCAATTCCCTTCTTCCTATGAGCCTGTAAAATCAAAAGCAAGTTAGTCACTTCCTAGATACAATTGGGGTACAGCCGTTGGATAAATACACCCATTCCAAATGGGAGAAATTGGCCAAAAGAAAGGGGCTAAAGGCCCCACGAAAGTCTGAAATGCAGCAGGACAGTCGAATCTTAAAGTTCCAAAATAATCTCCTCTGACTCCATGTCTCACATCCAGGTCACACTGATACAAGCAGTGGGTTCCCATGGTCTTGGGCAGCTGCAGCTCTGTGGCTTTGCAGGGTACAGCCTCCCTCCCAGCTGCTTTCATGGGCTGGTGTTGAGTGTCTGTGACTTTTCCGGGTGCGTGGTCCAAGCTGTTGGTTGTATCTACCATTCTGGAGTCTGGAGGATGGTGGCCCCCTTCTCACAGCTCCACTAGGCAGTACCCCAGTGGGGACTCAGTGTGGGGTCTTCAACCCCACATTTCCCTTCAGCACTGCCCTACCAGAGGTTCTCCATGAGGGCCCTGCCCCTGCAGCAAACTTTTGCCTGCTCCAAATCTGGGCATTTCCATACATCTTCTGAAATCTAGGTGGAGGTTCCCAAACCTCAGTTCTTGAGTTCTGTGCACCCACAGGCTCAACACCACATGGGAGCTGCCAAGGCTTGAGGCTTGCACCCTCTGAAGCCACAGCCTAAGCTGTACCTTGGCTCCTTTTAGCCATAGTTCAAGCAGCTGGGATGCAGGGCACCAAGTCTGTAGGCTGCACACAGCAGGGGGAGCCCACGAAACCATTTTTTCCTCCTAGGCCTCTGGGCCTGTGATGGGAAGGGCTGCCACAAAGGTCTCTGACATGTCCTGGAGATATTTTCCCCATTGTCCGGGCGATTAACATTTGACTCCTGGTTACTTATGCAAATTTCTTGAATTTCTCCACAGAAAATGTGTTTTTCTTTTCTGTTGCATGGTCAGGCTGCAAATTTTCTGAACTTTTATGCTGTATTTCCCTTTTAAAACTGAATGCTTTTAATAATATCAAAGTCACCTCTTGAATGCTTTGCTGCTTAGAAATTTCTTCCACCAGATACTTTATTTTTATTTTTATTTTTTTTGAGATGGAGTCTTGCTCTGTCACCCAGGCTGCAGGGCAGTGTTGCAATCTTGGCTCACTGCAAGCTCCGCCTCCTAGGTTCATGCCAGTCTCCTGCCTCAGCCTCCTGAGTAGCTGGGACTACAGGCACCCGCCATCATGCCAGGCTAATTTCTTTGTATTTTTTTAGTAGAGACGGGGTTTCACCATGTTAGCCAGGATGGTCTTGATCTCCTGACCTCATGATCCACCTGCCTCAGCCTCCCAAAGTGCTGGGATTACAGGCGTGAGCCACTGCACCCGGACCAGATACTTTAAGTCATCTCCCTCAAATCCAAAGTTCCACAAATCTCTACAGCAGGGGCAAAATGCCACCAGTCTCTTTGCTAAAACATAGCAAGCATCACCTTTACTCCAGTTCCCAACAACTTCATCTCCATTTGAGACTACCTCAGCCTGGAGTTCATTGCCCATATCATTATCAGCATTTTGGTCAAAGCCATTCAACAAGTCTCTAGGAAGTTCCAAACATTCCCACATTTTCCTATCTCCTTCTGAGGCTTCCAAACTGTTCCAACCTCTGCCTGTTACCCAATTCCAAAGTTGCCTCCACATTTTCGGGTATCTTTATAGCAGTACCCCACTCTACCAATTTACTATATTCATCTGTTTTCACATTGCTGATAAGGACATACTTGAGACTGGGTAATTTATGAAGACAAAGAGGTTTAATGGACTCACAGTTCCATGTGGCTGGGAGGCCTCACAATCATGGCAGAAGGTGAAAGCCCTGTCTTACATGGTGGCAGGTAAGAGCAAATGAGAGCCAAGCAAAAGAGGAAACCCCTTATAAAACCATCAGGTCTCTTGAGACTTATTCACTACCACGAGAACAGTGTGGGGAAACTGCCCCCATGACTCACTTATCTCCCACTGGGTCCCTCCCACAACGTGTGGGAATTATGAGAGTTACAATTCAAGATGAGATTTGGGTGGGGACACAGCCAAACCATATCACCTGGCTAATTTTATTTACTTTTTTTGTAGAAACGAGGTTTCACCATGTTTCTCAGGTTGGTCTCGAACTCCTGTACTCAAGCAATCCACCTGCCTCAGCCTCCCAAACTGCTAGGATTACAGTCATGACCCATCATGTCCAATCTCAAGTAATGTTTAATGTTTGGAGACGTTTAACTTCTTAAACACTTTATTTTTACATTATCCATCTAATGTGTAATTCTTCAGGCAAATGTTAATTACTTAATACTTAGAAAAATGCTAATTGTTTGAAACATTCTTAATGAATTGGGCATGAAATAAAAATAGCAACAAATTGCCTTCTGTACACACAAGAGCCTCCTCTTTTTGGCTCAGACCCCTACCCTGCACAGGATTAGCACTAAGGGTGGTCACCTGGGGCAGCTGATTGACCCTAGCCAACGTGGTCCTTTGGTTAAGCTCCTGCATTGTCGGCCAGGCATGGTGGCTCACGCCAGTAATCCCAGCACTTTGGGAGGCCGAGGCAGGCAGATCACTTGAGGTCAGGAGTTTGAGACCAGCCTGGCCAATATATGGTGAAACTCCGTCTCTAGTAAAAATACAAAAATTAGCCAGGCATGGTGGCACACGCCTGTAAGTCCAGCTATTTGGGAGGCTGAGACAGAAGAATTGCTTGAAACCGGGAGGCAGAGGTTGCAGTGAGCTGAGATCATGCCACTGCACTCCAGCCTGAGCACCAGAGTGAGACTCTGCCTCAAAAAAAAGAAAGAGAGAAAAGAAAAGAAAGGACGAGAAAAGAAAGAAAAGGAAAGGAAAGCAAAGGAAAGGAAAGGAAAGAAGAAAAGAAAAGAAAAAAGAAAAGACAAAAGGAGAGAGGTCGGGTGCAGTGGCTCATGCCTGTAATCCCAGCACTTTGGGAGGCCGAGGTGGGGGGATCACGAGGTCAGGAGATCGAGACCATCTTGGCCAACATGGTGAAACCCTGTCTCTACTAAAATACAAAAAATTAGCCGGGCGAGGTGGTGTGTGGCTGTAATTCCAGCTACTTGGGAGGCTGAGGCAGGGGAATCTCTTGAACCCGGGAGGCGGAGGTTGCAGTGAGCTGAGATCGCACCACTGCACTCCAGCCTGGTGACAGAGAAAGACTCCATCTCAAAAAAAAAAAAAAAAAAAAAAGAGAAAGAAATTATCCAATCAGGCTCCTTGCTTGGAATGGGGTCATGTCCATGTCAAACCCCATCATGAGTGAGCATGATACCACCCCAATGTGTGCAAGGCCCCTACCATCCCTCCAAGGTAGTATAAACAGGAAACAGGGAGTGACTTACATTGAGCAACTGGGAAGTCACCATAAAACAGAGATGGGCTTCCACCACAGGACCCAGTGGTGTGATAGCTCTGCCAAGGTCCCTCAGCGGGTTGCAAAGTACAACATGGGTTCTGTCAGCTTCTCCACATGCAGGGCGATCATGGTACAACATGGGTTCTGTCAGCTTCTCCACATGCAGGGCCATCATGGAGTGTCTCCTCAGGGAGGAATCCTTCTACACAAGGTTTAGCTGTGGCTGAAGGCTACTCATGTAGGGCTGGGTTTTGTTTTGTTTGTTTGTTTTTTGAGATGGAGTTTCACTCTGTTGCCCAGGTTGGAGTGCAGTGGCATGATCTTGGCTCACTGCAATCTCCGCCTTCCAGGATCAAGTGATTCTCCTGCCTCAGCCTCCTGAGTAACTGGGATTACAGGTGCCTGCCACCATGCCCGGCTAATTTTTCTGTTTTTAGTAGAGACAGGGTTTCATCATGTTGGCCAGGCTGGTCTCAAACTCCTGACCTCAAATGATCTGCCTGCCTCGGCCTCCCAAAGTGCTGGGATTACAGGCGTGAGCCACTGCACCCAGCTGTGTTTTTTGTTTGTTTGTTTGTTTGTTTTTGGTGAGGGAGACAGGGTCTTGCTCTGTCACCCAGTCTGGGGTGCAGTGGCTCTAACTCAGCTCACTGCAACCTCTGCCCCCTGAGGTCAAGCAATTCTCCTGCCTCAGCCTCTGGTGTAGCTGGGATTACAGATGGGCGTTACCATGCCCAGCTGATTTTTGTATTTTTTGTAAAGAGGGGGTTTGCCATGTTAGCCAGGTTGGTCTCAAACTCCTGACCTCAGGTGATCCCCCTGCCTTAGCCTCCCAAAGTGCTGGGATTACAGGCATGAGCCACCACACCTGGCCAGTGTGAATTCTTTTATACTAAATAAGGGAGGTGAAGACTTTCCTACATTTACTATAATCAAAAGGCTTTTCTCCAGGGTGAAGTTTCTGGTGCCAAGCAAGGCAGGAGCTGTGGCCGATGCTCTCCCATGCTGGCTGCACTCATAGAGGGTTTTTCCAGTGTGAATCACTTTGTGCACATCAAGGCAGGAGCTGCAATTTTTTGCTCTCCTACATGCTACACTCACAATGCTGTAAATTGCTGGTGCTAAATAGGATTAAAATTGAGAATAGGCTTTCCAACATTAGCTGCATGCACTGGGCCTCTCTGATGAGAATTCTGCAGGATGAGGTTTCATATTTCACTGAAAGCTTTCATGTAGTTATTGCATTTGTACAACCATTTTCCGGTGTTAATTTGTTTTTGCTAATGAAAGCAGAACTCTGAATATAACATGTATGAACCTCAAGTCAGGTACCAGGGAAGCCACCAGGACAGCTGGCAGTGCCCCACATTCCCTGAACTTAGGAGTCCTTCATTAGGGTATGACCATTTTGATACAGAGGAGAGTTTTGCAAAATTTTGCTCATGGCTGGACCACACTCCTTGCGCTTATGGGGACTTTCTCTGGGGTGAACATATTGGTGCTCAAAGGAGGTAGAGTTCTGGCTGGAGGATTCCCCATGTTACTATACTTGTAAGGGCCTTTGAAGATGTGCATGTACTCCTGCTTTCTCAGGATGAAGACAAAAGTGAAGGCCTTCCCATGCTCATAATACACTTGCAATTTTTTCCACTGTGAAGTTTTTTGGTAGGAGAAAAGGCTTGCTTCCCCTCAAACACCTTTCCATATGCTGTGTATTTATCAGCTATCTCTTCAGTGTCAGTTCTCTGTAGGTTCTGCAAAATGTGGAGCTGCAGGGCCCTAGTGTCTGGTGACAGGTCAGTACCATGCAGTGAGCGAAGTCCAGGTCTTGAACCATTGACACCTATGCCCATACTCCTCAAATGGAACAAGCCAGTCTCACGGAAGAAGAGGTTTTCAAAAACTATTTAGGTATCTATGTATTTATTTATTTATTTTAGAGATAGGATCTCGTTATGTTGCCCAAGCTGGACTCAAACTCCTGGTCTCAAGCGCTCCTCCTGCCTCAGCATCCCAAGTAGTTGGGACTGTAGTTATGAGCCACCATGTGCAGATAACAACTATTTAAAGATACATTATCCGTTCAAGACACATTAAAGGGAGGCCAATGGTAGAAGACCTGGCCACTGGAGGGGAGGACGGGAGAAGGGGAAAGAGTGAATCTTGGAAGACAGAGAGGAAGCCATCCAGGGAACAGGAGTCAGGGCAAAGTAGGATAGAGTGTCAGAAGAAGGTCAGGAAAATTTTTTTTAAAAGGCACAGCTATACATCCTGGTGCCAGGACAACAGAGGGCACAACTCAGGTACCAGGTGAGCCACCAGGGCACTGCCAACAGCTCTGCCACAGCTGTCTTCCACTCAACAGAACTGGTGCACCATGGGGCCTCTCTGTCCATGGCCTAATTCAAGCCACCCTGTCCACCAGCCAGGTCTCTTCATTTGTTCTAGTTAGGTGATCACATGGCGGGGGTGGTGGCAGTGATCCTATACAGCTCTCATCAAGTGGTTTGTGAGAAGGCAGCCCACGTCAAGGTGATCCACCCCATGACAAATCACCGTAGGTGAAGATCACCTATGCAGGTATATAGCTGGAAAGAACTGAACTTCACAAAGTCAATGCTCAGTGACCCCACAATCAATGACCATGTCAGTGCCCACTGGGACTCACAAGGGACAGCTGGCAGAAAACTCCTACTAGAGTGAGGGAATGTGGCAGAAAGGACAGAAAAGTCACAGATCCTGACAGGGTAACCTAGCCAGGAAACGACCCAGCTGCATGTGATATGCTACACAGGTTTTGAGACTTCCGATTCCAGGTGGGCATTGAGGGGTGAGATTTCCGGCACCGCCATGATGGTCCTCATTTTGTGGCTTGTGGGTTGGGCTACAGGAGGCCTCTAGAGCTGGACAAGGGCGTGGGAGTGGGTGCAGGGACCATCACTGTGGCTTCACAAGGTTGTCAAGATCCCAGGGAAGGTGTGGGGGTTGTTTATGCAGCAGCCAGGGATAAGTAGCAGTGAAAAGTGAAGCCGGCTGGGCTTCTGGGTCCAGTGGGGACTTGGGGAACTTTTCTGTCCGGCTAAAGGACTGCCAACACACCAATCAGCGCTCTGTGTCTAGCTAAAGGTTTGTAAACGCACCAATCAGCACTCTGTAAAAATGCACCAATCAGCGCTCTGTGTCTCCCTAAAGGTTAGTAAACGCACCAATCAGCGCTCTGTGTCTAGCTAATTGGCTGGGGACTTGGAAAACTTTTCTGTCTAGCTAAAGGATTGTAAATGCACCAATCAGCACTCTGTGTCTAGCTATAGGTTTGTAAACTCACCAATCAGCACTCTGTAAAAATGGACCAATCAGTGCTCTGTAAAATGGACCAATCAGTGCTCTGTAAAATGGACCAATCAGTGCTCTGTATAATGGACCAATCAGCAGGATGTGGGCAGGGCCAAATAGAATAAAAGCTGGCCACCCAAGCCAGCAGCGGCAACCCGCGGGTCCTCTTCCATGCTGTAGAAGCTTTATTCTTTTGCTCTTCGCAATAAATCTTGCTGCTGCTCACTCTTTGGGTCCACACTACCTTTATGAGCTATAACACTCACCACAAAGGTCTGCAGCTTCACTCCTGAAGCCAGCGAGACCACAAACCCACTGGGAGGAACAAACAACATTGGACACGCCACCTTTACGAGCTGTAACACTCATTGCAAAGGTCTGCAGCTTCACTCCTGAGGTCAGCGAGACCACGAACCCACCAGGAGGAATGAACAACTCTGGATGTGCCACCTTTAAGAGCTGTAACACTCACTGCGAAGGTCTGCAGCTTCACTCCTGAAGTCAGCAAGACCACGAACCCACCAGAAGGAAAAAACTCCAGACACATCTGAACATCTGAAGGAACAAACTCCGGACACACCATCTTTAAGAACTGTAACAGGGCCGGGCGCGGTGGCTCACGCCTGTAATCCCAGCACTTTGGGAGGCCGAGGCGGGTGGATCATGAGGTCAGGAGATCGAGACCATCCTGGCTAACAAGGTGAAACCCCGTCTCTACTAAAAATACAAAAAAAAAAAATTAGCCGGGTGCGGTGGCGGGCGCCTGTAGTCCCAGCTGCTCGGGAGGCTGAGGCAGGAGAATGGCGTGAACCCGGGAAGCGGAGCTTGCAGTGAGCCGAGATTGCGCCACTGCAGTCCGCAGTCCGGCCTGGGCGACAGAGCGAGACTCCGTCTCAAAAAAAAAAAAAAAAAAGAACTGTAACACTCAACACGAGGGTCCGCGGCTTTATTCTTGAAGTCAGCGAGACCAAGAACCCAGAGGAAGGAAACAATTCCGGACACAGCAGGACACTGGCCAGTGCCAGGGCCAGCAGCACCTCCCAGAGGGAACAATGGAAAGGCGGAGGAAAACCTAGATTTCATGTGTAGGGGAAAGAGGAGACACAGTAGCCTTACCTAGTGGGCACTGGAGTACAAAGCTCTGTAGTATCATGTCACTGTAGAAGCCCCCTTGGACCTCACTAAGGAGCCCCACATTCTTGGAAGATGTACTGACCCTGTCCTCAAAGGTCATTAAGCCCTGCAACACCAAGCCAATGGGCAGACAGATGTGATCTAAGCACTGAGCGTGAGCCCTAGCCACTGGTCCTCCAACCTAAAACCCTCCTTCCCAAATCCTATCCTCAGGCCGTTCACTGGGCCAGGCCACCAACATAATGCAGTCTGGACGTCCTGAAGCCACACCAGAATTCTATATATCCAGAGGCCCATTTGACACCTCCACTCACAGGTCTCCAGACAATTCAGACTCTATACCTACAAAATCCATCGCTAATCTTCCATGAAACATCCTCCTCCTGCCAACTGCCAACCTCTATTCTCCACAGGAGGCATCCTAATTCTTCCTAACTACTTGGGATGGTCCTTCACCCCTACTCATGCTTATTCCACTTATCTAAGGTAGCAAAAAATTCCATTAGCTCTATCTTGAAGATCCACTGGGAATCTGATCACTTCTCCCATCCTTCTTGCTTCCGTTCTGGACAGGCCACTATCATAACTGTCTGGAACAATACTGCAATAACCTCCCCCACAGTCTCCCTGCTTCCAGCCCCACTACAACCACCTTCTCCAGTAGTGTGTTCATTCAGCAACCACTGAAATACTTTCCAAATTCTAACTCAGGTCATGTCCATCCCTTTTCTGTTCAACACCTTTCATGGCTCCCAGGCGCCCTCGGTGTGCCAGGAGAGGCAGGACTCCTCTTACGCTCTCCACTCGCTGCCAAGGGGGCATGAGAGCCTGCCTGAACGCTCAGGTCAGGGTCAAGTCCAAGTCTTCGCATATGCAGATCCCTCCTCCTGTACCCTCCACGTCTCAACAAACTGGATTCTGAAATGGTGACCCCCAACCTGTGAACGCTCCACACTGTTCAGTGGGGCCCGCAGAGGACCTGGGGCAGATACTTCTCAATCGGAGACTTAGGACAATGGTGCTGAGTCCAGCGGAGTGGGTGCCAGGAGACCTTTGGCGCACGTTCCATGCCTACAGCCGGGCGCACACTGGGTCAAGACCTCCCAATGCGTAGCTTTTCTTGGCCTCGGCCTCGCGCTCCCTAAAGCCAACATAACGCCAAGGGCGACGACTCCCGAGAGCCGCGGACACCTCCGCGCGGTGCAACCTGAGGGTCCCACTGGGCCGGCTTTATCTAAGGCACAGGGTGGGGAAGGGGGGTGCGGTGTTGTGGGGGGCGAACACTGGGCTCAGGGGCGATATTCGCCGCGGTGGGGGCGCTTGTATGTCAAGAAGGCGGAACTTCCCCGACTCTCGTGCCTTCCTCGCTCCTGTTTCCATGGGCCCAGGGAGCCTCCAAGATTCCGTCCCTCGCCTGACAACGCGGTCCCTTCAGAAGCAGACAAAATCGAGAAATGCCAAAGTGATGGTCCGAGGACGACGACGGAAGTCCCGCTGCCAGGCTGTGATTGGCCAGCGTCTTACACTCCGCCCGGAAGTGCCTGTCTCCTCGGCTGCCAATGGCCAGCCCTGAGGCACCGCGAGGGTCCTTCTGGATAATGTAGTTTGCGTTGCCTGAGCAGCGACGCAATAAACGCCATTCCTCAATCACCTTGGCAACGACCTAGCAGTAGCGTGACGGGCATAGGGAAATAGCGTCATAGACGGCGGGGATCCTTGAGCCAATGAAAGCTCGGACCAGTGGCAAGTCCGAGCTGTCATTGAGAGGCGGGACTTCCGGCGCCGCCATTGCGGTCCTCATTTTGCTGCTGGTGGGTTGGGCTACAGCAGGCCTCTGGAGCCACACCAGGGCACGGGAGTGGGTGCAGGGACCGTCACCGCGCCTTCACACGCACCATAGTGCCCGGCTAATTACTCTGCTTTTATGAGCCAAGGTGTTCCCGAAAGTGGAGCCAGCGCCACGCGTCTCCAGGGTCTCCATACCCAGCCTTCGTCCCTGCGGTGCCCAGAGGCCTTGCGCGCATTTTGCATTTGGGAAGACAGGTCCTGAGTGCGACCGTCACCCAGCGGAAGTGTGAGGGTTCGGCCCAGCGGCAGGGCTAGCCCTGGGCCTCCTGTTATGGCCCTGCCCAGCCCACAGGTTCTAATGGGGTTGCCAGCGTTGCTGATGGGCCCGGCGCAGGTAAGTGGAGTGTGCCCCAGGCCCTCACCCGCTGGGATTCCGGCCCTCAGGATCCTGAAGCCCAGATAGAGGGGATGTTGGTGTCCTGGGACTCTTGATCGTGTCCTGTCCTCACACGTGGGTCCTGGGCCCTGCCCTGGGAGTCACTTACCCTTACCATCCTGAATCCAGGCAAGGGGTTATATCGAGGGATTCCCATTTCTGGAATCCTGTGGAATGAGATCTGGAAGGCTGTCCCAGGGACAGTGACCAGCATGTGTACCTTGTTTAGTGGTGATGAAATGGAAGCATTCTGGGGACTGCCGGTCTCCATTTAGTCTGGTGGAAACAGGGAAGGGAAACCAATAGTTAGGCCTGGAATGGCAGCCTGAGGAGCTGGACCTCTATTCTGATGGTGGTGGGAGCCATGGAAGGTTTGGAGTAGAGGAAGTAGGTGCTCTGACTCCAGTCTTAACAGACGCCCTATGGATGCCTAGTGGGCAGCAGACTGGAGGGATGGTGATGGTGGAGCAGGAAGGCCAGTGAGGAGCTGACAGATGTGGTCCAGATGTGTGCTTTGGGTAGCTGGACAGAGGGGTGCCCGTGGAGGTAGGACAGATGGTTGGCTTCTGAATCTGCCCAAACTGGGCCATGGATTACCTGATGTGGGACAGTGAAAGAAAGTGAAATGTTAAGATTGACCTAAGGCTGAGTGCAGTGGCTCACACTTGTAATCCCAGCACTTTGGGAGGCCAAGGCGGCCAGATCACTTGAGGTCAGGAGTTCAAGACCAGCCTGGCCAACGTGGCGAAACCCCACCTCTACTAAAAATACAGAAAAATTAGCCAGGACATGGTAGTGTGCACCTGTAATCCCAGCAACTTGGGAAACTGAGGCAGAAGAACTGTTTGAATCTGGGAGATGGAGGTTGCATTGAGCTGAGATCGTGCCACTGCGCTCCAGCCTGAGTGACAGAGCGAGACTCTGTCTTAAAAAAAAAAAAAAATTGCCGGGCGTGGTGGCTCACGCCTGTAATCCCAGCACTTTGGGAGGCCGAGGCAGGTGGATCACTAGGTCAGGAGATTGAGACCATCCTGGCTAACACGGTGAAACCCCATCTCTACTAAAAATACAAAAAATTAGTCAGGCGTGGTGGTGGGTGCCTGTAGTCCCAGCTACTCGGGAGGCTGAGGCAGGAGAATGGCTTGAACCCGGGAGGCGGAGCTTGCAGTGAGCCAAGATCGCGCCACTGCACTCCAACCTGGGTGACAGAGCGAGACTCTGTCTCAAAAAAAAAAAAAAAAAAATTGACCTTAGATCTTTCAGATGTGGAAGTTGGTGTGAGGAGTAGATTTCAGGGGGAAGATAAAGAGTTGGATTTTGGCCATGTTGTATTTGAGATGTCCCAGACACTACCAAATTGAGGTGCCAAGTAGACCACTAAACATGTGATTATGAAATTATGTCGGGTTTAGGCTGGAAACATCCAAGGGATGGATGCTTGTGTGTGGACACTGCATGCAGTTGTGGGTTGGGTTCAAGATAGTGGCTGAGCCTCCTGAGCAGAGAGTAGGTCTAGGACAACAGTGAAGCATAGCGGCAAAAGTAGGATGAGAGTTGGGCTTTGGTTTAGGTTGATTTGCTTCTCTACAGCTCACTACATTGTTGCGGCCATCCTTCTTGTGGTCAGGGCATGTTATCTCTTCTTAAATAGGGTCCTGGGGTTTTTGTCAGGCTGGTGGAGTGGCAAGATCAGAAAGGGTCAGCCTAAGCTGAGTCCCCAAGCCAAGGTGGGGGCCAGTGGATCTTGGATTTGAGTGTTAGGAAGAGCAAGGACAGCTATGACTGGGGAGGAGACAACACATACAAAGGCAAAGATATCAGAGGGAAGAGATATTTGAGATCTGCTTATGGTTCTGGGCAGCTGATGGTTGAAGGAACAGGGCTGGCAGGGGAGGCATTGACTTGAGGGGCTATGACTGCCTCTTGCAGTGGGGTTTTTGGAGCTCTGTAGCTGGCTTGGACCAGGAATGGATCCCGGTTGCATCTGTCAGGTATGCCATGTGCATGGTGAGATGCTAGGGAGAATGCCTACAGTGTGAACAGGGAGGGGTTGGAAATATAAGAACTGTATGGTCTGAGGAGTGACATGTAAAGGTGAGAGAATGTGAACCATTGGGCCCATGGCCCTGGTACAAGAGGCTTAAGAAAGGGAAGCCCAAATTTTCTTATGTTTGGGAGGTATGAGCCAGAAGACACAAGGAAAATTGGCCAGCAGGAGGGAGGAGGAAGCATCCATCTGCCCACCTGCCTATTGTTCCTCTAGGTTGGGTTGGCCTGGATACAGTGACCAGTGGGACTACTAGGAGAGAGGGGCACCATTAATTCCAGGGCATGTTAGGTGGGGGCCCTGAGGAAGAAGATAAGCTGTGGATGGGTGAGTAGTGGGTGGACTGAGAGGATCATAAGAAAAAGAGATATTAGTGGTAGATGTATCAGGATTCTGAGTCACACAGCAAGGTCCTGCATATTTCCATTTGACCAATTGTTTGTTTCTTTGTCAGCATACTTCTTGGCCCTGTGGCTCAGCTGTCCCCACATTGAAGAGCATGGTAACCTTTGAAGATGTGGCTGTATACTTCTCCCAAGAGGAGTGGGAGCTCCTTGATGCAGCCCAGAGGCACCTGTACCACAGTGTGATGCTGGAAAACCTTGAGCTTGTGACCTCACTTGGTAATGCCCTGTCTCAGCATGGTGATGACTACCTTATGCCTTGTGTCTTTTCCCCATAGAAAGCTCTGTTCATCCCAAAGCCAGATCATGGGTACTGCTTCCTTCTCGGGTTTCCTGTTGTAGGTGCTGGGGTGCTGAGGTTCTGCTGTGTGTACTTCCCCTGTCTCTCTCTGAGCAGCCTCATGAGCTTTCCTAATAGCTGTTGCCCAGGAGCCTTGTGGAGGCAAAGGTTGGGGATCAGACACCTCCAGTCTGCCTAACAGATCCCACTGAGATTCACCAATCCCTGGTCGGGTTACCCAGTATGAGGTCATGCCCAGATTCTGTCTCTTTCCCAATGAGATTTTTTTTTCCTTTTTTTTTTTTTTTTTTTTTTTTTGAGATGGAGTCTTGCTCTGTCCCCCAGGCTGGAGTGCAGTGGCGTGATCTCAGCTTACTGCAAGCTCTGCCTCCCAGGTTCACGCCATTCTCCTGCCTCAGCCTCCCAAGTAGCTGGGACTACAGGTGCCTGCCACCACACCCAGCTAATTTTTTTTGTATTTTCAGTAGAGAGGGGGTTTCACCATGTTAGCCAGGATGGTCTCAATCTCCTGACCTCGTGATCCACCCACCTCAGCCTCCCAAAGTGCTGGGATTACAGGCGTGAGCCACCACGCCCAGCCCCCAGTGAGATATTTTTTAAAAACAGCTTTATTAAGATAAACCATACAATTCACCTTTTAAAGTACACAGTCTAGTGATTTCTATATGTTTTCACATGGTATAATCATTGCTATAATGTAATTTTAGCATGTTTTCATCACCTAAAGAGAAACTGTAGGTCCTATTAGCAGTCCCATTAGCTGTCACTCCCCATGTTCCCTTATCCCTTTCCCCCCGGTCCTAGGCAACCACTAATCTACTTTCTGACTATATAGATTTACGTTTCCTAGACATTTTATAGAATACTATGTATTTTTCTGTGACTGGCTTTCTCTTAGCATGTTTTTGAAGTTCATCAATGTTGTAGCATGTATCAATATTTCATTCTTTTTTATAGCCAAATATTCCAGTGTATAGAAAGACTACAGTTTGTTTATCCATTTACCAGTGGATGAGCATTTGGCTTGTTTCCATTTTTTAGGTGTTAGAAAAAAATGCTGCTATAGAAGCTGGGCAAGGTGCCTATAATCCGTCTACTCAGGAGGCTGAGGCAGGAGGATCACTTGAGCCCAGGAGTTTGAGACCAACCTGGGCAACATAGCAAGACCCCATCTCAAATTTTAAAAAAATTCTGCTATGAACAGTCCTGTACACATTTTTGTGTGGATGTTTTTAGTTCTCTTGTGTAGCTCTGTAGAAGCAGACTTGCCAAACTGTTTTCCAAATTGGCTGCACCATTTTACATCCCTGTCTGCAGTGTATAAGTGCTCCAGTTTTTCTACTTCATTTGTTGTCATTTATTTTTTTTTATTATAGCTATGCTAGTGGATGTGAAGTGGTATCTCATTATGGTTTTGGTTTTCATACTCCTCATGTTTAAGGATGCTGAACTTCTTTTCATATGCTTATTGGCCATTTGTGTATATATCTTCTTTTAGAGAAATGTCTATTTAAGTCCTTTGACCCATTTCTGTGTCCTTACCCCTGGTGAGGTCTCCCTTATTCTGTTGCTTGGCTGGTCCCTATCCTGCCAATAGTAATGGGCCCTTCTTCACCCTGATGATGGCCCTGTTGGCCTGTCAGCAATCCCTGGGACCTCTTCTTGGGTGTGAATTCCTGGGTAACATTTCTAATGAAGTCAACCATTCCCACCAAGTGGAATTCTTAGTTAACTGGCATTTCTCTACTTTCAGGTTCTTGGCATGGAGTAGAGGGTGAGGGGGCCCATCCCAAGCAGAATGTTTCTGTAGAAGTGTTACAGGTCAGGATCCCTAATGCAGATCCTTCCACCAAGAAAGCTAACTCCTGTGACATGTGTGGGCCATTCTTGAAAGACATTTTGCACCTGGCTGAGCATCAGGGAACACAGTCTGAGGAGAAACCCTACACATGTGGAGCATGTGGGAGAGACTTTTGGTTGAATGCAAACCTTCACCAGCACCAGAAGGAGCACAGTGGAGGGAAGCCCTTTAGATGGTACAAGGACAGGGACGCACTTATGAAGAGCTCTAAAGTCCACCTGTCAGAGAACCCCTTCACTTGCAGGGAAGGTGGGAAGGTCATCCTGGGCAGCTGTGACCTCCTCCAGCTTCAAGCTGTTGACAGTGGGCAGAAGCCATATTCCAATCTTGGGCAGCTTCCAGAAGTCTGTACCACACAGAAACTCTTCGAGTGCAGCAACTGTGGAAAAGCCTTCCTGAAGAGCTCCACTCTCCCCAACCATCTGAGAACTCACTCTGAAGAGATACCATTTACATGCCCAACAGGTGGAAATTTCTTAGAGGAGAAATCAATCCTTGGTAATAAAAAGTTTCACACTGGGGAAATACCCCATGTGTGTAAGGAGTGTGGGAAGGCCTTTAGTCACTCATCTAAGCTGAGGAAGCACCAGAAATTTCACACTGAAGTAAAATATTATGAGTGCATTGCATGTGGGAAAACCTTCAACCACAAACTCACATTTGTTCATCATCAGAGAATTCACTCAGGAGAAAGACCTTATGAGTGTGATGAATGTGGGAAAGCCTTCAGTAACAGATCACACCTCATTCGGCATGAGAAAGTTCACACTGGAGAAAGGCCTTTTGAGTGCCTGAAATGTGGAAGAGCCTTCAGCCAAAGCTCCAATTTCCTTCGGCATCAGAAAGTTCACACACAGGTAAGACCTTATGAGTGCAGTCAATGTGGTAAATCCTTCAGCCGAAGCTCTGCTCTCATTCAGCACTGGAGAGTTCACACTGGAGAAAGACCGTATGAATGCAGTGAATGTGGAAGAGCTTTTAACAATAACTCCAACCTTGCTCAGCACCAGAAAGTTCACACCGGAGAACGGCCTTTTGAGTGCAGTGAATGTGGAAGAGACTTCAGCCAAAGCTCCCATCTCCTTCGACATCAGAAAGTTCACACTGGAGAACGGCCTTTTGAATGCTGTGATTGTGGTAAAGCCTTCAGTAATAGCTCCACCCTCATCCAGCACCAGAAAGTACATACTGGGCAAAGGCCTTATGAGTGCAGCGAATGTAGGAAATCCTTCAGCCGCAGCTCCAGCCTGATTCAGCACTGGAGAATTCACACTGGAGAAAAGCCTTACGAGTGTAGTGAGTGTGGGAAAGCCTTTGCTCACAGCTCCACTCTCATTGAACACTGGAGAGTTCACACAAAAGAAAGGCCTTATGAGTGCAATGAATGTGGGAAATTCTTTAGCCAAAACTCCATTCTCATTAAGCATCAGAAAGTTCATACTGGAGAAAAGCCTTATAAATGCAGTGAATGTGGGAAATTCTTTAGCCGAAAATCCAGCCTTATTTGTCACTGGAGAGTTCACACTGGAGAAAGGCCTTACGAATGCAGTGAATGTGGGAGAGCCTTTAGCAGTAACTCCCACCTGGTTCGTCATCAGAGAGTTCACACACAAGAAAGGCCCTATGAGTGCATCCAGTGTGGAAAAGCCTTTAGTGAAAGATCTACACTTGTTCGGCACCAGAAAGTTCACACCAGAGAAAGGACTTATGAGTGTAGCCAGTGTGGGAAACTCTTCAGCCATCTTTGTAACCTTGCACAGCATAAAAAGATTCATACCTGAGTGGAGCCTTATGGAAGTGGTCTTTGTGAGAAAATCTTCAGCCAAGTCAAACTTCATGCAGCAGAATCCCCATACCAGAAAAATTACCTACATGTACTGCTAATGTGGAAAAGCCTTCAGAAGCTACTCTGTTTCTGACCAGCCCAGGAACCTTTGCAGGGCCATCTCACCCATGCAGCATAAGGCAGAAGCCATAGTCACTTTCCATCTTGCCTGGATCCAAAAATTTGCAGCAGTCCTGTCCTCATGCATGGGGAAAACAGTACCCTGAGCCTTCCTTCCTGTGTTCTCTAGGGATTCAGGACTGTGCTCAGCTGAACCGATGCTGGTTGAGGGGCCTTGAGGGAAATCTAATTTGAGCTCAGGAAGATGCACATTCCTTGTGGATGTGGTCAAGTCTGTGTTTAACCCCTAAGATGTGTCCATTGAGGCCACAAATCACCCTCCACTGGAATCACCTACCTTGCCTGCACTAACTGGTGATAATAAAGACCTTATTGATCAGGTCACCTTTAATCTTAGGGGTTCTGTTGGGGTAGGTTGAGAAAATGAATGGATAGATTGGGGAGTGCCTTTTGGGGGCACAAAATCTGCCTAAGGGCACAGTAGAAGAGCGGGTAGTTGCTCTGTCCTGTTGTAGCCTACTTTGCATTGCTGTGTGAAAGACTGGGAAAGACTGAAAGGCTCTGGATTGAACATAGTGGCCTGTTTCAGTTACCGTAGGGCCCAGAGCTTACCCAGAGGAAAAATAAACTCATCTACAACACTAAAATAGTCACAGGGTCACCAAGGCAAAGACCTAGAGGGGTCCATGGAGGACTCTATGTGCATAGAGAAACACTGGATGTGAGGTAATAACCAGGGATTTGGGTAGACTGGTGAACTAGGGCACATGCCATCATGGACAAAGGAATAGCCATAGTTCCCCATCAACTGGGACTGTGCAGGGTGAGGGTGTGCAGAACAACTCCAGAGCTACAGACCTTTGTATTTGCCATGTTAAAGTTTTTGCCACAGTTAAAGCAGATAAATGCAATGTCATGTACATTCACTTCACCTCTCTCAAACTGTATCTTGGCACCCATCACTCCCCAGGTAGGAACTGGGAGCTGAGAGAAGTGATAGCCTGACGTCCAGGAAAGTGGTTTTTGCAGTCTGGCCAGGGTTTCTGGTCACTAACACACACTTCATGCCTTCACAGTCTTGCTGGCCAACAGAGTGGGCACAGGCAGATGGGGGCATTTAACACAGTTGACAGAGCTGGTATTTTAGAAGGAGCTAGAGATCCAGAACCTTGTAGAATATGGTGTTTGGCACCTTTTTTTTTTGATATGGAGTCTTGCTCTGTCGCCCAAGCTGGAGTGCAGTGGCGCGATTTTGGCTCACGGCAAGCTCCACCTCCTAAATGGCTCACGCCATTCTCCTGCCTCAGCCTCCCGAGTAGCTGGAACTACAGTTGCCCGCCACCACACCCAGCTAATTTTTTTGTATTTTTAGTAGAGACGGGTTTTCACCATGTTAGCCAGGATGGTCTCGATCTCCTGACCTCCTGATCTGCCTGCCTTGGACTCCCAAAGTGCTGGGATTACATGCATGAGCCACCGCACCTGGCCGGCACCTATTTTAAAAAGCTTATTTACCATGTAATTTCAGCATCATCACATGTGAGCTGCTGCTGTTTCTTTGACCTCCCCCATACAAGGAAGTACTCATGAGAGCATTGGCTGGGATGTGAACAGGAGTCCCCATAAAGGAGAGGCCTGGCCAGGTGCAGTGGTGCACACCTATAGTCCTAGCTGCTTGAGAGGCTGAGGCAGGAGGATCTCTTGAGCCCAGGAGGTTGAGTCCATCCAGGGCAACATAGCAAGGCCCCATCTCTAGAAAAGAAGGGTGGCCTGGGCTCACATCACTGAACAGCAGTTTCAGTAGCCACTGCTGCTTCCACATCTGTCCTAGATCCCTCTCTGTTCTCCCTGCCTATGTGAATGTCACCTAACAGGCTCAGTAGTGGGATATGTGACAGGACCAGTACTCCATGACTGGTCGTTCCTCACCCTGACCATGGCACCCTTGCCCTGCCAAAGATTGTACTCCTGGCTGAACGTTAGGCAGTGTACTCCAGGTAGAAACCCCACACAAGGGAGTGGATCAAACCTTCACCAACAGTAGACCATTTATGGTGAAGACCACCTTTTCAGATGTGACATGGCTCACAGTAAGAGCACTTTTCAGTTCATGCACAGCAAAATTCATAAGTGAGAGGACTCAAGGGCCAGGCATTTGTGAAGGCTTTCCAGGGTAACTACCCCCTTCCAGCACTGGAGTACCAGAATAATGAGAAGCTCAAAAGAGAATGTGGAAAGGCCTTCCTTTCTCCATCACCAGAGTACTCATGGCACAGGGAAGCCATGAAGAAGAGCTGAGTGAGAAGATGCTGCCACACAGCTCTAACATCAGATAACACCGGGCAGGCCATGATAGGGAGAAGCCCTTCAAGAGCAGTGGCTATGGGAAGACATGAAGACTTTTGCCCTCTTCAACCACCTAAGAACCCACACTGAAGAGAGATCTTTAAATACTTGGTATGAAGAAAGACCCTCAAGAAGAAATCGATTCTTATCTATAACCAAAAAATTCACAGTAGAGAAAACCCCTGCATCTAAGGAATGTGGGATGGTCTTCAGTCACCTCTCCTATGTGAGAAAGCTATATAAAGTACCTATGGGAAAAAGGCATTACAAATGCAGTGAAAATGGGAAAGCCTTCAGCTATAGACACCCCCTTTTAAGAAAAATCACCAGAGAATTCACAAGAGAGTTATGGGCAACAAATGTGGGAAAGCCACAGCTCCCAGAATCTTAGGCGGCACTGTATTACTGCTATTGCAGAAGCCATCTGTATTAGTTACCTATTGCTGTGTAACAAATTACTCAAAACCTAGTGGCTTAAAACAATAGTCACTATTTCACAGTCTCTATAGGTCAGGAACTTTGGTGCAGCTAGCTGACTCCTCTTTAGGGTTTCTCACAAGGCTAACATCAAGATGTCAGCTGGGGGTGTATCATCTGAAGGCTTGACTAGGGAAGGCTCTGCTTCCAAGCAAACTCATGTAATTGGCAGCATTCAGTTTTTTGTGGGCTGCTGGACTGAGGACCCGTCTGTTGGTCTGAGACCTCCTCCAGTTCTCTGCCACATGGGCCTCTCCAAAATGGCAGCTTGTCAATCAAAGCTTGCAAGCTGATCATGCAGTGGAGAATACCAACAAGTCAGTCATTTGTAACCTAATAACAGAAGTGAGATCCCATCATCTTTGCTAAATTTAGTTAGAAGCAAGTCACTTGGTCCAGCCCACAGTCAAGGGGAGAGCATTACACAAGAGCATGAATACCAGAGGGCAGAGATCATTGGAAGCCATGTCCAAAGCTGCCTGCCATACTGTCTCATCTCTGCCACCTGGCAAGATCTCATGATATGTATCAGTCTCCCTCACTGTGCTAAGGGAAAGCAGACTATACTCCCTTTTCCATTCTCTAGAGAGAATTACATAGGCTTTGAGTACCTTCATTTTCTTTCCCACTGATGGCTTTAGATTTTGGTATGACAATTCTTGCTAAGATCTGAGCTGGTGTCTTCTGGAGCTTTCCAGAAAAGGTTTCTTGGCCGGGCACAGTGGCTCATGCCTATAATCCCAGCACTTTGGGAAGCTGAGGCAGGCAGATCATGAGGTCAGGAGATCGAGACCATCCTGGCTAACATGGTGAAAACCCACCTCTACTAAAAATACAAAAAATTAGCCAGGTGTGGTGGCGGGTGCCTGTAGTCCCAGCTACTTAGGAGGCTGAGGCAGGAGAATGGTGTGAACCTGGGAGGCAGGGTGTGCAGTGAGCCGAGATCGTGCCACTGCACTCCAGCCTGGGCGACAGTGTGAGACTCCATCTAAAATAGAAGAAAAGGTTTCTCTTCATGGACATTGTTTGCATCTACATGTGACACTTAGGAATGATCTGTTTAGTCTCAATCACTCACTCCTGGATCTGCCTGTCTCTCTCTGAGATAACAAAGGCCTTAATGTTTAGCCACCTGCATCAGAGTTGGTGAGGTGGTTTGAAACAATTCATCCTAATATAAAAAGAACAGCTTTTGTAAGGGGGCACTGAGTGTCTCAAACAGCCGCATGGGCAGGAAGAGTGCTCAGTCCAGTTTTGGTTGAATTTGTCTTGTTGCCCTAAGGCCTCCTATGAAAGACTGACAGGCTTGGACTGAATCTTGTGATCTGGACACCAAGGGTCACCTGTGGGCCCAGAGCTAGCTCTGAAGAATGGGGTAGTTTCTTTGAGAACCTCCACAGCAAAAGTTTGGTCCTCTGTTCCCAATGCATGTCCCACTTTACCAGCTACATCCCCCAGTACCTGCCCATGGCTCATGACTCATGAAATATAAAACTCAGTAGGCAGGCATAACTGGTTCAGACCTGCCAGGGCTATGTGGGAACTATCATTGGTACAAAAACTCTAAGTGTGGAGAAGACTGTGGTAGACAAGAGGGGACATGTCTGTTCTAAACGCACATCAGAAACTTCCAATGACTATGGCCAAGTGAGATAAGGGTGTACAGAACTTCTCAGGACATGCAGACCTATGTGTCACTCATAACTGAAATTCAAATAAATATTTTGTGGATTTCCTGTGGACTCCCTGGGCTGTTCATCTCATGGCCATCACTGCACAGGTAGGCACCTCAAGACAGAGAAGACAGAAATCATGGTCTGGAGTGGCTTATGTGAGTAGCCAGGGTTTCTTGAGAATCATATGGCCGTGGCCTTCATAATTCCACTTCTGGTGGCCACCAAGCAGGTCTGTCCCTCTTAAGGGGTGGGGAGACAATATGGTGGAGTCAGTACAGATTTCCCATATCTCCTGGTTTTCCAAGAAGAGCCAAATATTCAGATTTCTATGTGGCATGTGATTTTATAAATGTTGAAAATCATTTCCAAAAACATTTCAATGCAAACTCAGTTCACCAAAACTATAGGTTGGCTTTAGATATTTCCCTGGGTCCTCCTGAGGCCTAGGGGAGAAAAGACCGGAAATCCTCTGACATGAGAATCTTTGGCCTGTGGTGTCCATCCATACTGTATGATGGATCAGAGGCCACTGCAGCTGCCACGTCTCCTGGAAGCCCCTGAGGGGATGGACAATGATAACCACATTGTGAGCAGAAGCCACAACAGTTTTGCCGTCAGCAAAGTTTACAGCAGGGCTTCTCAAATACTCCCCAGCACAGTGAGGTGTCTGGGGGATACCTACCCTACTCAGGCCTTCCTTCCTGAGTGTAATGTCTCCAATATGGAAGATGCTAATGTCTCCAATATGTAAGACACATGTGGGATCAGAATTAAAGGTTAGCTGAGCCATATGGGGCTCAGCCTTCTAAGCAAATAAAGTTAGGGTAGACACGTCATCAGAGCTCAATCCTCTGTGTGAGTGGCCAAGATTAGATCTCATAAGATGGTGCTGGGCATGATTGTGGCATGCCTGTTTCCAGCTACTTGAGGCAGGAGGATCACTGGATCCCAGGAGTTCAAGACTGCAGTGAGCTATGTTTGCACCACTGCACTCCAGCCTGGGCAACATAATGAGACCTTGTCTCTAAAACAGGAAAAAAAAAAGGCTGGGCGCGGTAGCTCACGCATGTAATCCCAGCACTTTGGGAGGCCAATGCGGGCGGATCACCTGAGGTTGGGACTTTGAGACCAGCCTGACCAACATGGAGAAATCCCATCTCTACAAGAAAAGAAAGAAAGAAAGAAAGAAAGAAAAAGAAAGAAAGGAAGGAAGGAAGGAAGGAAGGAAGGAAGGAAGGAAGGAAGGGAAAGGAAAGGAAGGAAGGAAGGAAGGAAGGAAGGAAGGAAGGAAGGAAAGAAAGAAAGAAAGAAAGAAAGAAAGAAAGAAAGAAAGAAAGAAAGAAAGAAAGGAAAGAGAAAGAAAGAAAGAAAGAAAGAAAGAAAGAAAGAAAGAAAGAAAGAAAGAAAAAAGCCAGGCATGGTGGCGCATGCGTGTAATCCCAGCTACTCAGGAGGCAGGAGAATTGCTTGAGCCTGGGAGGCAGAGGTTGCAGTGAGCTGAGATCACGCCATTGCACTCCAGCCTGGGCAACAAGAGTGAAACTCCGTCTCAAAAAAATAATAAAAAATAAAAATAAAAAAGGAAAAAAAAAAGATTCCTAATACATGAGTAGAGTCCTACGTGTTTCTACTGAACCTGCCTTCTGATCTCCGACTGGGTCTCAGTATACAGCAGCCAACCTGTTAGGGGAAGATAGATGTTTGCCAATAATGCCAGAATATTCCAGGCAAAGTCCTGATGGCTGTGACTTTTGAGCTGTCCAGGTTACCAGCTTTTGTGGGATTCAGTGGCTCCACTGCTTTCAGACTATGCTCAAACCAAAAGGCAGTTGCCTTCAGCCCCTTGATGCAGTGTACTGACTACCCTGTTATTGTACACTCTGCTGTATGCAATGGTAGTTCTCTTCTGGAATCTACTGGGCAGTTCCTTGCCCCTGGGCCTTTGCTTGTGCCCTCCCACATCAGGGACACCCTTGAAAGGCTTCTCAACCTCTCCCAATCATACCTCCAGATCAGCTATACCTCTCCTTCATGCTAGTGTCAGCATCTGTTGATTCCCTCATCTCCAACTCCCAAGCTTTGAGTGAACTATCTGGAACATGGGGGCTGTGAAATCTGAAGAGCAGCAGATTAAGGCCAAGGGTGCCAAAACACTCAGTAACCTTCTCTGGCTTGGCTCAACTTGGACTCCTACTGCTAATAAATTGTGCGATCTGGGGCACAGACTCCCAAGCTTCAGCTGTCTCATCTATAAATCCATGAAATCTGTCTCACAGTGTCCACCAGAACTTCTGACAACACAGAAAACTCTCCATCAATATGAAGCCCTTTACACCGACAGTGGGAATCACTACATTCTCCTTAGGCCACACCCACTAACCAGAGCTTCAGCCATTATACACGGATGGCAGACAATGTTGTCCTACCACGCCATCCTCTCACCTTGGACCCCAATTTTGACATTTCCAGACTCGCCTCTTGTGAAACCCAGATCCTCTACCCCCAGCCCCAGCCTTCTTCTGGCACTCAGAGAAGTCAGCCAAGCTTCGATTGTTTGATGGGGAGGCATGGCCTGACAACTAATGACTCAGAGCTACCAGTCTCTGGCCTCTCCAAAATGCCAAGAACTCATCGATCTGCAGACCTTGTAACCCTCAAGGAATCACTATACCCTCAATGGATATGAAAATAGACACCACTGTGATTCAAGAAGGTGATCTAAGAAAGAAGCACAAGTGAAAATTTATAACCAAGAGATTTCAACATGGGAGGGTGGAAATCTAGAGGTAGGGAGAGGTGAGTAAAGCAGTGGAAACATTAGACCCAGTTCACCTGCCTTGAAATCTCAGCTCTCTTTCTTACTAAATCCTACCTACTATGTGACCTTTTTGTTAGGCTGTTTTTGTGTTACTATAAAGAAATATCTCAGGCTGGGCATGGTGGCTCATGCCTGTAATCCCAGCACTTTGGGAGGCCCAGGCAGGCAGATCACCTGAGGTTGGGAGTTTGAGACCAGCCTGGCCAACATGGTGAAACGGCGTTTCTATTAAAAATACAAAAAATTAGCCAGGCGTGGTGGTGGCGGCTGTAATCCCAGTTACTCGGGAGGCTGAGGTAGGAGAGTTGCTTGAACCCGGCAGGCAGAGGTTGCAATGAGCCAAGATCACGGCATTGCACTCCAGCCTGGGCCACAAGAGCAGAATTCTGTCTAAAAAAAAAAAAAAAAGGAAAGAAGGAAGGAAGGAAGAAGGAAGACAGGAAGGAAGGAAGGAAGGAAAAATCTAAGTCTAGATAGTTTATAAGGAAAAGAGGTTCAGTCGGGCGTGATGGCTCACGCCTGTAATCCCAGCACTTTGGTAGGCCAAGGCAGGAGGATCACTTGAGCCGGGGAGTTTAAGACCAGCCTGGGCAATAGAGCAAGACCCCATCTTTTTTTTTTTTTTGAGATGGAGTCTGGCTCTGTCGCCCAGGCTGGAGTGCAGTGGCGCAATTTCGGCTCACGGCAAGCTCCACCTCCTGGGTTCAAGCAATTCCCCTGCCTCAGCCTCCTGAGTAGCTGGGACTACAGGTGTGCACCGCCACGCCTGGCTGATTTTTTTTGTATTTTTAGTAGAGACAGGTTTCATTACGTTGGCAATGCTGGTTTCAAACTCCTGACCTCATGATCCACCCGCCTCGGCCTCCCAAAGTGGTGGGATTACAGCCATGAGCCACAGTGCCTGGCCAAATTGTTTCTAACTTTTGACTATCTCAAATGAAGCTGCTATAAACATTTGTGTACAAGTCCTTGTGTTAATATATCCTTTGAATTCTCTTGGGTAGATACTTAGAAGTGGAATTTTGGGGGTATATGGTAGGTGTATGTTTAATTGTTTTGTTTTGTTTTTGTTTTTATTTTGAGACAGGGTCTGGCTATGTTGCCCAGGCTGGACTTGGACTCTTGGGCTCAAAAGATCCTCCTGCCCAATGTAGCTGGGACTACAGGTGCACTCCACCATACCCGGCTTTTATGTTTAACATTTTAAGAACTGTCAAACTGTTTTCAAAAAAATTTATCACACTTATATTAGAACTCACTGAGAGTTCTAGTTGCTCCACATTCTTGCCATATATTTGTATGTTTGTCTTTTTCATTTTAACGATTCTAATAAATGTGTAGTAGTTGTATCTCATCATAGTTTAAATTTGCATTTCCTGAATGACTAGTGACGTTGAACAACTTTTCAAGTGTGTATTTGATAACCATATATCTTCTTTCAAAGCATATTTGTTCAGATCTTTTGCCCATTTTAAACTTTGGATGATTATTAACTTATAATCGAGTTATAAGTGTTATTTATATATTTGAGATAAAAGATGTCGAATATATTTAGCAAATATTTTCTCCCAACACGTGCTTTTCCTTTTCCTTTGTTGTTGTTGTTGTTGTTTGTTTTATTTTGTTCTTTTGAGACTGAGTTTCACTCTTGTTGCCCAGGCTGGAGTGCAATGGTGCGATCTCAGCTCACTGCAACCTCCGCCTCCTGGGTTCAAGCTATTCTCCTGCCTTAGCCTCCCAAGTAGCTGAGATTACAGCCATGCGCCACCACACCTGGCTAATTTTTTTTTTTTTTGTATTTTTAGTAGAGATGGGGTTTCACCATGTGAGTCAAGCTGGTCTCGAACTCCTGACCTCTGGTGATCCGTCCGCCTCGGCCTCCCAAAGTGCTGGGATTACAGGTGTGAGCCACTGCCCCGACCCCCTTGTTTTTCTAGTAGTTTTACAGTTTTGAGTCATATGTTTAAGTCTTTATTTAGAGTTGTTTTTGTATACGGTGAGAGATGGGGGTCTAGTTTCATTCATATGGATATCTAGTTTTTGGATTTATTGAAGAGGGTATCCTTTCCCAATGTATGTTATTGGCATCTTTGTTGAAAATCAGTTGGCTGTAAATATCTGGATTTATTTCTGGGTCTCCATTATGTTTCCGTGGTCTATGTGACTATTATACCAATACCACACTCTTTTGGTCACTATAGCCTTGTAATATATTTTCAAGTCAGGTAGTGTGATGCTTCCAGCTTTGCTCTTTGTGCTCAGGATTGCTTTGGCTACTTGGGCTCTTTTTTGATTCTACAAAGCTCTGAGAACTTTTTCTAATTCTGTGGGGAAAAAATGCATTTGATATCTTCATAGGGATTGCATTGAATCTGTAGCTTGCTTTGGGCAGTATGGTCATTTTAACAATATTAATTCTTCTGCCAGGCGCAGTGGCTCATGCCTGCAATCCCAGCACTTTGGGAGGCCAAGCTGGGCAGATCACGAGGTCAGGAGTTTGAGACCAGCCTGGCCAACATGGTGAAAACCTGTCTCTACTAAAGATACAAAAAATTAGCCAGGCGTGGTGGCACATGCCAACAGTCCCAGCTACTCTGGAGGCTGAGGCAGGAGAATGGCGAGAACCCCGGGAGGCAGAGCTTGCAGTGAGCCGAGATCGCGCCACTGCACTCCAGCCTGGGCGACAGAGCAAGACTCCGTCTCAAAAAAAACAGCCGGGTGTGGTGGTTCACGCTTGTAATCCCAGCACTTTGGGAGGCCGAGGCAGGCAGATCACAAGGTCAGGAGATCGAGACCATCCTGGCTAACACGGTGAAACCCTGTCTCTACTAAAAATACAAAAAATTAGCTGAGCATAGTGGCGTGCACCTGTAGTCCCAGCTGCTGGGAAGGCCGAGGCAGAAGAATGGTGTGAACCCGGGAGGCGGAGCTTGTAGTGAGCCCAGATCGTGCCATTGCACTCCAGCCTGGGCAACAGAGCGAGACTCTGTCTCAAAACAAACAAAAACAAAACAAAATATATTAATTCTCCTAATCCATGAGCATATGTTTTTCCATTTGTTTGTATCATTTTTTTTTTGGAAGGGGGTTATTTGTGGGCAGAAGAGGAAGAATGTGAGGATGAATCCAAAGGTCTCTTCAATTCTATTATCAATGTTCTGTAATTTTCCTTGTAGAGGTGTTTCACCTCCTTGGTTAAATTTATTCCCAGGTATATTTTGGTAACTATCATAAATGGGATTGCCTTCTTGATTTCTTTTTCAGCTAGATCATTACTGGTGTATAGAAACACTACTGATTTTTGTACATTGATTGTATCCTGAAACC
Source organism: Homo sapiens (assembly GCF_000001405.40). Taxonomy (NCBI): domain Eukaryota; kingdom Metazoa; phylum Chordata; class Mammalia; order Primates; family Hominidae; genus Homo; species Homo sapiens. The sequence continues at coordinate 58,422,553 of NC_000019.10, read as the reverse complement.
TTGCTGAATCTCTTTATCAGACCTAAGAGTTTTTTTGGTGGGGTCTAGGTTTTTCTAAATATAAGATCATGTCATCTGCAAACAGGAACAACTTACTTAGTCTCCTCCAATTTGGATACCTTTTCTTTTCTCTTGCCTGGCTAGGACATCTAGTACTATGTTGAATAGGAGTGGTGAAAGTGGGCATCTTTGTCTTGTTCCAGTTCTGAGAGAAAAAGCTTTCAGCCTTTCCCCATTCAGTAAGATGTTAGCTGTGGGTCTGTCATATATGGCCATTATTATGTTGAGGTATGTTCCTTCTACGCCTAGTTGAGAGTTTCTGCCATGACGGGATGTTGAATTTGATCAACTGCTCATGCCTGTAATCCCAGCATGTTAGGAGGGTAAGAGGGGCAGATTACTTGAGGTTAGGAGTTTGAGACCAGCCTAGCCAACATAGCAAACCCTGTCTCTACTAAAAATACAAAAATTAGCCAGGCGTGGTGGCACACACCTGTAGTCCCAGCTACTTGGGGGGCTGAGGCAGGCGAATCGCTTGAACCCGGGACGCGGAGGTTGCAGTGAGAAAAGATTGCACCACTGCACTCCAGCCTGGGTTACAGAGCGAGTCAAAAACAACAACAACAAAACCTAGTGACATTTTTATTGGGACTGCATTGAATCTGCAAATCAACTTTGGGAGGATTAACATACTAATATTGAGACTTCCAGTTCATGAACATGGTAAATGTCCTCATTTACTTAGGTATTCTTCAATCAGTCTCTCAGCAACATTTTGTAGTTTTCAGTGTACAAGTCTTGCATAATTTTGTCAAATTTATTTCTAAGTATTTCATAATTTTATGCTCTTATAAATTACATTTTTAAAATTACATGGCTGGGCACGGTGGCTCACGCCTGTAATCACAGCACTTTGGGAGGCCGAGGTGGGCGGATCACGAGGTCAGGGGTTCGAGACCAGCCCGACCAACATGGTGAAACGCTGTCTCTACTAAAAATACAAAAATTAGCCGGGCATGGTGCGGCGAACCTGTTAATCCCAGCTACTCAGGAGGCTGAGGCAGGAGAATCACTTGAACCTGGGAGCCAAGACTGCACCACTGCACTCCAGCCTGGGTGACGGGGAGACTCCGTCTCAAAAGAAAAAAAAATTACAATGTGGATTGGCTTCCGTTCCCCCTAAAAAAGCAGCACTGAGATTTCTATAGGCAGCAAGGTGATCAATATCCTATCCAGCAGCCAGTCTGGGGAAGTGGGGGAGCAATGGAAAATGAAGATAATTCCTCCTTCAAGGGATTTTTGTGAAGCTGAGGTAGGAGGCAGATGGGACTCTACTCCAGAGCAGGTTGAAGACGCTGAAATCAGGAAAAGGCGCTGAAAGCACTTCCCCGTAAGACAGGCCCGCCATTGCCATGGCAGTTTGCCACTGCCTTGGCAACACTCGGAAGTTACTGCCCCTTAGCATGGCAACAGCTGGAAGTTACCACCCATTTTCTAGCCCATTCTGAATAACATTTAGCATCTCGTATGTCTTTAAAAGTGGGTATATAGGCTGGGTGCGGTGGCTCACGCCGGTAATCCCAGCACTTTGAAAGGCTGAGGTGGGCAGATCACAAGGTCAGGAGTTCGAGACCAGCCTGGCCAGCATGGTGAAACCCCGTCTCTACTAAAAATACAAATTAGCCGGGCATGCTGGCCGATGCCTATAATCCCAGCTACTCGGGAGACTGAGGTATGAGAATCACTTGACCCTGGGAGGCGGAGGTTGCAGTGTGCTGAGATCACACCACTGCACTCCAGCCTGGACAACAGAGTGACTCCATCTCAAAAAAAATAAAATAAAATAAAAGTGGGTATAAGCCAGGAACAGTGTCACACCAACCCCAGCACATTGGGAGTCTGAGGCTGGAAGATCACTTGAGCCCAAGAGTTCAAGATCAGCCTGGGCACATGGCAAAACCTTGTCTCTTAAAAAAAAAAAAAATTTAAAGAGATGGGGTCTTGCCATGTTGCCCAGGCTGGTCTATGAACTTCTCGGCTCAAGCGATCCTCCCACCTCAGTATCCCAGAGTGCTGGCATTACAGGCATGAGCCGCCAATCCTGACCCCCTACTCCCAAATTTTTTTTTTTTTTTGAGACAGAGTCTTGCTTTGTCACCCAGGCTGGAGAATAGTGGTGAGATCTTGGCTCACTGCAACCTCTGCCTCCCCAGTTCAAGCAATTCTCCTGCCTCAGCCTCCCAAGTAGCTGGGACTACAGGCGCCCGTCACCATGCCGGGCTAATTTTTTTGTATTTTTAGTAGAGACGGGGTTTCACCATGTTAGCCAGAATGGTCTCGATCTCCTGACCTCATGATCCACCTGCCTCGGCCTCCCAAAGTGCTGGGATTACAGGCGTGAGCCACTGCACCCAGCCAATTTTTTTGTATTTTTAGTAGAGGTGGAGTTTCACCATGTTGGCCAGGCTGGTTTCAAACTCCTGACCTAAAGTGATCTGCCCACCTTGGCCTCCCAAAGTGCTAGGATTACATGCATCGACCACCACGCCCAGCCTAAAACGATTTTTTCTTTAATTAGCTGAGTGTGGTGGTGTGTAACTGTAGTCGCTGCTACTCAGGAGGCTGAGGTAGAAGGATCACTTGAATCCCTGGAGTCAAGGGTGCAGTGAGCCGTGATCATACCACTACACTCCAGGCTGCGTGACACAGCAAGACTCTGAAAAGGTCCCATAAACCGCAAGATCTGGATCCATACTTTGGTTACCCTACGTGTCTCTCTTGAGCCCCAGAGGGAAAGCCCTGACACCATGACAGCAAAAACTTGACAACTGCAAAGGCCACAGCATCCAGACACCAGGAGTACTGGCTGGGTCACAAAAGGCACATCCCAGGACTATAGAATCTTTCAGTCTCAGGATAATGGCCATGAGAGGTGAACAGCCCAGAGAGGATATGAGAATCCAGAAAGTCTGTAGATTATTTGCTGACAGTGACCTTGACACAAATAACAGGTCTGCAATTGCTGAGAAGTTCTGGTGCCCTCACCCCAGGAAACCTCAGTTGCTGGAACATTTGTGGATGCCTCTTTAGAACTGGCTGAAATCCTCTTGTTTATCAGACACTTCACTCCATACTACTTCACTCAATATTTCTATGCCCACTTACTCTACTCAAATTACTCTACCCAACAGGCCCCTATAGGTCTTAGAGTCAGTCTATAACTTACCTCCATGTTCCAGATTTTGGAGAATATGACTTTTGAGCTGAATCTGGAAACAGCTCCTTCTGACCAATGCTGGAAGTTCTGGAACATTCCCTGGGAACAAGGAACCCAACTTTTTATGTCCATAAACATATAGAAGATCTCTCACCAACTATTCCCTTCCGCAAGGTGAGCTCTGGACCCACAAAAAAGCCTGACATCCAGGCTACAAGTCTTTCCCTGGAGGACTCAGGGGCCAATACAAATTAGGCCAACCTTGACTAGAGGTATTTTCTGTCATCCTGCCATCCCCACTGAGGCAGAAAAAACTCAAGAGACCACCTCCACAAAAGCCATTCCCTCAACTTACGGTGATAGTGCCGGATTCTATTCTCAATCTCTCCACACACAGGGATCAGAACCTCAATATTAAAAGAGACTTGGCAGGGCACAGTGGCTCACAACTATAATACCAGCACTTTGGAAGGCTGAGGCAAGAGGACTGCTTGAGGCAAAGAGTTCATGACCAGCCTGGGCAATGTAGCAAGATCCTGTCTCTATACAAATTTTTAAAATTAGTCAGATGTGGTGCCACACAAGTACAATCCTAGCTATTCAATACGCTGAAGCAGGAGGATCACTTGAGTCCAGTAGTTCAAGTCTGCAATGAGCTAGCTTCACACTACTGCACTCCAGCCTGGGCAAGACTGTGAGACCCTGTCTCTAAAAAAACTAGGCCAGGCACAGTGGCTCCCAGCACTTTGGGAGGCCAAGGCAGGAGGATAGCTTGAGGCTCAGAGTTCGAGACCAGCTTGGGCAATATAGCAAGACCCTGTCCACAAATGAAAAAAAAAAATTAGCCAGGTGTGATGGCGCACACCTGTAGTGCCAGCTACTCAGGAGGCTGAAGCAGGAAGATCCCTTGAGACCAGCAGTTCAAGGCTGTGGTGAGCTATGATGGCACCACTGCATTCCAGCCTGGGCAACAGAATAAGACCATCTCAAAAAAAAAATAAAAAAAAAATTTTAAGCGGCTTAAACAATAAAGCCTTTATTACCACATAGTCCAGAGCAGTATGAGACAGTCCATGCTAGGGCATGACAAATACCATGTGTAATGTCAACCATTTCCATGAAAATGGTAAACCTTCCCAGGAAGCCCCCAGCAGATACCAGCTCAGCTCCTCCGGCCAGAGGTGGGTCATGTCCACAGCTAAACCAGTCAAGGGTAGGGAATGAGGCCTGTTTTGGGCTCCACTATTAACGATTCTCTACTGTTTAGAGCAAGGAGCACAAGGTCTGCTGTCCCACTTGCTGTAGGGACCTTATGGGGTGGATAGAGGTGGATGGCGGTGGATAAACTCAGTGATGTGACACTGCCAACAGCCCCAGGCAAGTCAGAGTGCAATGTGGCTCCCGAAAGCGTCCCACACACCAGGCACACACGGGAACTCTCCCTGGGGTGGGTGTTGGGATGTGCAAGGTTTAGCTTCTTTCGGATGGCACTCTCACGGCCACTCTCCTTAACCTCCTTTCTGGAATAAGACCTTTCCTGATGAACACGGTGCTAGCAGCTAACGACCTTCCCATGTGCCCTGTCCTCCTGACGCCTTTCTGGAGTATGGACTTTCTTGTGCTGAAGGAGGGTGGAACTATGTTTGAAGGCCTTCCCACACTCTGTACATTCATAAGACCTCTCTTCAGTGTGGAACTGCTGGTGCCGATTGCGGTAGGATCTGGTAGTGAAGGTTTTCCCACACAGGCTACATTCATAGGGCCGTTCCCCAGTGTGGACTTTCCAGTGCTGATAGAGGCCTGAACGGGTCACGTAGCCTTTCCCACATTGCTTGCATTCAAAAGGCCTTTCTCCAGTGTGAACTCTCTGGTGAAGAATGAAGCTATTATTGTATTTAAAGAACTTCCCACATTCTGTACACTCATAGGGCCTTTCTCCAATGTGCACTTTCCGGTGCCGAATGAGGGTAGACAGAACACTGAAGGTTTTACCACATTTGCTGCACTCGTAAGGCCTTTCTCCAGTGTGAATCCTCTGGTGTAGAACAAGTGCGTCTTTGCGGTTGAAGGTTTTACCACAGTCACTACACTTAAAAGGTTTTATGCCTGTGTGAACCTTCTGGTGTTTCCTCAGCTTAGACGGGTAACTGAAGGCCTTCCCACATTCATTACACACATGGGCTGTTTCTCCAGTGTGAATTTTTCGGGGGTTAATATGAGCTGACTTCTTGAAAGCACTTCTGCCTGTTGGGCATCTGAAGGGTCTCTCTTCAGAATGCGTTATCAGATGGTCAAGGAGGGCAAAGGCCTTTAAGAACACCTTCCCACAGTCACTGCATTTGAACAGCTTCTCTGCCACATGGACTTCTTGCTGTTGCCCACAACTGGAACCAGGTGGGAAAGCTGCCCCATGCTCAGTGTGCCTTCTTGGTTTCCCCTCACTATGAGTGTCCTGGTGCTGGATGACTCTGTAGCTCTTTAGATGCTCAGGATGGGCTCTCTCATCCTCCACTCTACACAAACCATCTGAAAGCAGAGATGAATCATTACTAAGAGTTGAACTAGAGGGAGGAGGTACCTTAATCACCAGTGCATGTCAGACACACCCAGAAGGACTCCATAGAACTGCTGAAAGGGCCAGGCGTGGTGGCTCACGCCTGTAATCCCAGTGCTTTGGGAGGCCAAGGCGGGCAGATCACGTGAGGTCAGGAGTTCGAGACCAGCCTGACCAACACGACGAAACCCCATCTCTTCTAAAAATACAAAATTAGCCGGGTGTGGTGATGCATGCCTGTAATCCCAGCTACTCGGGAGGCTGAGGCAGGAGGATCACTTGAATCCAGAGGCAGAGGCTGCAGTGAGCTGAGATCGCGCCACTGCACTCCAGCCTGGGCAGTAAGAGCAAAACTCCGACTCAAAAAAAAAAAAAAAAATTAGCCAGGCATGGTGGCAGGCGCCTGTAGTCCCAGCTACTCAAGAGGCTGAGGCAGGAGAATGGCATGAACCCAGGAGGCAGAGGTTGCAGTGAGCTGAGATTGCGCCACTGCACTCCAGCCTGGGCAATAAGAGCAAAACTCCATCTTAAAAAAAAAAGAATTGCTGAGAGGTTGCTAGGAAAGGTCTGGGTTGGGAAAGCCTGGCACAACTGAATATGGCTCCACCAGACTACAGACTAAGGAAAACCTCAACTGAGATGAGGGCACAAGATAGGATATGGTGCAGGGAAGAGAGGTGGGGTCTCCAAGTCACTCCTCTGCAAAGGGTTTCAGCAGGGCCTTGGCTGCTGGTGACAGCCAAGCACTATGAGGAGGCATGTGTCTAGTCCCAGCAAAATGTGATTCCAAAATAGTAGCTGGTGTTTAAGTATTAATTAAGGATTGGCTGAAGTTCAAATACCTGTTTAAGGATATGTGCACATTTCAAGACACGCACTGAGTCGCCAACAGTAGACAGCTCTGCACAGATACAGAGAAGGGCAATGAGGAGACGCAGGCCAGAGAGGCAGGAACATGCGGGGCCTGAAAATCATGGTAGAGATGGCAGACTGCACAGTGTCCACATAAGACAGGAAAGGTGGAAGGAAATAAGGTATGGTCACTGCCCTCAACACCAAGGTATCGGTGTATGCAGGTACTCAGCATTCTGTGAGCCCACTGCTGAAACCAAGGTATTCCCCTCCACTCCACTTACCAAGACCAAAACCTCTCCTGGCTTCTGCTCTGCTGACTGGAGTCACATCCACCCAGCTGGGCACCCACGACTGTTCATCATCCTCCAGCTGGGTAAACACAGGGGATCTCGAAGGTGCAAGTCCTGCGGGTGACAGGTAGTAAAAGAAACAGGCTGGGCATGGTGGCTGATGCCTGTAATCCCAGCACTTTGGAAAGTGAGGTAGGAGATCACTTAAACCCAGACGTTCGCAACCAGCCTGGGCAACACAGTAAGACCCCAACTCTACAAAAAATATATTATTTTAATTAGCCAGGCATGATGGCATGCACCACCTGTAGTCCCAGTTACTAGGGAGGCCATAGTGAGAGGATCACTTGAGCCTAGGAGGTCAAAGCGTCAGTGAGTCACGATCACACCATTGGACTCTAGCCTGGGCAACAGAGTGAGACCCTGTCTCAAAAACAAACAAACAGGCCGGGCGCAGTGGCTCACGCCTGTAATCCCAGCACTTTGGGAGGCCAAGGTGGGCGGATCACGAGGTCAGGAGATCAAGACTATCCTGGCTAACACGGTGAAACCCCCCTTCTACTAAAAATACAAAAAAATCAGGCGGATGTGGTGACGGGCACCTGTAGTCCCAGCTACTCGGGAGGCTTAGGCAGGAGAATGGCATGAACCTGGGAGGCAGAGCTTGCAGTGAGCTGAGATCACACCACTGCACTCCAGCCTGGGCGACAGTGCGAGACTCTGTCTCAAAAACACAAACAAACAAACAAAAAGAAAAAAAAAAGCCTTTCTATGAAGCAAAACTGACATAACTGAAGAAACAGACTGTTCAGCAATAATAACGATTGTAATTTCCCACCATCAATAACAACAGCAGACTTGAACAACAATGAAAACCAACTAGTCCTAACAGACATCTATAGAGCTTGCCACCTAACAACAGCAGGATATACATTGTCACGTGCACATGGAACGGTCTTCAGAACATACCATTTGCTAGGATATAAAATAAGCCTCGGCTGGGCGCGGTGGCTCATGCCTGTAATCCCAGCACTTTGGGAGGCCGAGACGGGCAGATCATGAGGTCAGGAGATCAAGACCATCCTGGCTAACACAGTGAAACCCCATCTCTACTAAAAATACAAAAAAAAAATTACCCGGGCATGGTGGCAGGCGCCTGTAGTCCCAGCTACTCAGGAGGCTGAGGCAGGAGAATGGCGTGAACCCAGGAGGCAGAGCTTGCAGTGAGCTGAGATCGCGCCACTGCACTCCAGCCTGGGCGACAGAGCAAGACTCTGTCTCAAAATAAATAAATAAATAAATAAAGCAAGCCTCAGTAGATTTCAAAGGATTGAAATAATGTCAAGTATGTTCTCTGTCCACAAATGAATTAAAACAGAAATCAACAACAGAAAGAAATTTAGGAAACTCACAAATTTAAGGAATTTAAACAAAACATTCCTAAAAATCCAGAGTCAAAGAAAAAATAAATCACATGACAATTACAAGTACTTTGGGAGGAATGAAAATAAAAACACAGGGCTGGGTGTGGTGGCTCAAGTGTAATCCCAGCACTTTGGGAGGCCGAGGCAGGTGGATCACAAGGTCAGGAGTTTGAGACCATCCTGCCGAACACAGTGAAGCCCCGTCTCTACTAAAAATACAAAAAAAAATTAGCCAGGCGTGGTGGTGGGCGCCTGTAATCCCAGATACTCGGGAGGCTGAGGCAGGAGAATGGCATGAATCCAGGAGGCGGAGCTTGCAGTGAGCCGAGATAGTGCCACTGCACTCCAGCCTGGGTGACAGAGCAAGACTCCATCTCAAAAAAAGAAAAAAAGAAAAGAAAAGAAAAATACAACAGGCCGGGTGGTGGCTCACGCCTGTAATCCCAGCACTTTGGTAGGCTGAGGTGGGTGGATCACCTGTGGTCTGGAGTTCAAGACCAGCCTGGCCAACATGGCGAAACCCTGTCTCTACCAAAAAAAAAAAATACAAAAATTAGCCAGGTGTGGTGGACCATGCCACTCGGGAGGCTGAGGCAGGAGAATCGCTTGAACTTGGGGGGCGGAGGTTGCAGTGAGCCAAGATCGCACCACTGCACTCCAGCCTGGGAGGCATCAGACTCCACCTCAAAAAAAAAAAAAAATTAGCCAGGCATGGTGGCACATGCCTGTAATCCCAGCGACTTGGGAGGCTGAGGCAGCAGAATTGCTTGAACCCAGGAGGTGGAGATTGCATTGAGCCGAGATCGCACCATTGCATTCCAGCGTGGGCAACAGGACTCCATCTCAAAAAGAAAAATTAAAAAAAAAGAAAAAGAAAAAGAAAAAAATACCACAACAAACAAAAAATTATGGGATGCAGAAAATGCAGAGCTTAGCAGGAACATTATGGCTATAAATACCCATATTTTAAAAGATCTCAAACCAATAACCTAACTTTATACCTCAAGGAACAAGAAAAAGAAAAACAAACCCAAAGATAGCAAAAGGAGGGAAATAATAAAAATTAGAGCAGAAACGAATGAAACAGATTAGAAAAAGAGAACCGACAAACCAAAATTTGGTTCTTTGAAAAAATCAACAAAATTGGCAAATGTTTACCTAGAGTGACAAAAAACAGAGAGAAGACTCAATACTACTTTGAACAGGAATGGAAAAAGGACATCACTAGTAACCTTATAAAAATTAAAAAATAATGAAATACTATGTACAAATGTATGCCAACAAATTGGATAACTTAGATGAAATGGACAAATTCCCAAGTAGACACAAACTATCAAAACTGAGTCAAGAAGAAACAGAAAATCTAAATACAAATGTAACAAAGAGGGTTTTCTTGTTGTTATTAAAAAACATTCCCCCCAAAACACACACAACCCCAAGCCCTGATGGCTTCAAAGGTGAATACTAACAATACTGAAATAAGAATTAACACCAATACTTAAGAAACTCTTCCAGAAAACAGAAGAGAAGGAAACATTCCCAACTCATCCATTGAGGCCAAAATTACCCTCATACTCAATACAGAGACATTATAAGAAAACTACACCACTGGCTGGGTGTGGTGGCTCACACCTGTAATCTCAGCACTTTGGAGGCCGAGATGGGTGGATCACCTGAGGTCGGGAGTTCAAGACCACCCTGGCCAGGCCGGGCGTGGTGGCTCACGCCTGTAATCCCAGCACTTTGGGAGGCCGAGGCGAGTGGATCATGAGGTCAGGAGATTGAGACCATCCTGGCTAACAAGGTGAAACCCCGTCTCTACTAAAAATACAAAAAATTAGCCGGGCGCGGTGGCGGGCGCCTGTAGTCCCAGCTACTCGGGAGGCTGAGGCAGGAGAATGGCGTGAACCCGGGAAGCGGAGCTTGCAGTGAGTCGAGATTGCGCCACTGCAGTCCGCAGTCCGGCCTGGGCGACAGAGCGAGACTCCGTCTCAAAAAAAAAAAAAAAAAAAAAGACCACCCTGGCCAACATGGTGAAACCCCTGTCTCTACTAAAAATAAAAAAATTAGCCAGGCATAGTGGTGCATGCCTGTAACCCAGCTACTCAGGAGGCGGGGGCAGGAGAATCACTTGAACCCAAGAGGTGGAGGTTGCAATGAGCCGAGATCATGCCACTGAACTCCAGCCTGGGCGACAGAGTAAGACTCTGTCTAAAAAAAAAAAAAAAAAAAAAAACAAGTATTATAAGCCATGACAGGGAATTTATCCCAGTAATGCAAGGTTGAACATATGAAAATCAACAATTAGTGTTGGGAGGCCGACGGGGGCAGATCACGAGGTCAAGAGATCAAGACCATCCTTGCAAACATGGTGAAACCCCATCTCTACGAAAAATACAAAAATTAGCTGGGCGTGGTGGTGCACGCCTATAGTCCCAGCTACTTGGGAGGCTGAGGCAGGAAAATCACTTGAACCCGGGAGGTGGAGGTTGCAGTGAGCCGAGATCGCGCCACTGCACTCCAGCCTGGCGACAGAACAAGACTCCGTCTCAAAAAAAGAAAAGGCAATCAATTATTCTAATATACTACATTAACAGAAGAGAGGACAAAAATCACATGATCATTTCATTAGACATTGGAAAAGCATTTGACAAAATCTAGTGACCTTTCTTTTCTTTTTTTTTTTTGAGACGTAGTTTCACTCTTGTTGCCCAGGCTGGAGTGCAATGGTGCGATCTCAGCTCACTGCAACCTCCACCTCCCAGGTTCAAGCGATTCTCCTGCCTCAGCTTCCCTAGTAGCTGGGATTACAGGCATGTGCCACCACACCTGGCTAGTTTTCTATTTTTAGTAGAGATGGGGTTTCACCATGTTGACCACGCTGGTCTTGAACTCCTGACCTCAGGTAATCCACCTGCCTCGCCCTCCCAAAATGCTGAAATTACAGGCATGAGCCACTGCACCTGGCCATGACTTTTCTTAATAAACACATTAAATGAACTAGAAAGAGAAGGGAACTTCCTCACCTGAAATGGGCATCTGCAAAAAACCAACAGCTAACACCATACTTAACAGTGAAGAATAAAGTACTTAGGAATAAATTTAACGAAAGAAGTACCTTTGTGGCCAGGCGCAGTGGCTCACGCCTGTAATCCCAGCACTTTGAGAGGCCAAGGCAGGCAGATCATGAGGTCCGGAGTTCAAGACCAGCCTGGCCAACAAAGTGAAACCCTGTCTCTACTAAAAATACAAAAATTAGCCAGGCATGGTGGCGCGAGCCTGTAGTCCCAGCTACTCGGGAGACTGAGGCAGGAGAATCGCTTGAACCCTGGAGGCAGAGGTTGTGGTGAGCCGAGATTGCGCCACTGCACTCCAGCCTGGGCAACAGAGTGAGGCTCTGTCTCAAAAAAAAAAAAAAAAAAAAAAAAAAAAAAATTATATATATATATACATATATATATATATATACACACATATATATATATACATATATATATACACATATATACATATATATATACATATATACATATATATACACATATATACATATATACACATATATACACATATATATACACATATATACACATATATACACATATATATACATATATATACATATATATACATATATATACATATATATATACACATATATATATATATATATATATATATATATATATATATATTTCCCAAACCGTTCTGATTAAAATTCATGGCTCAAGCCTGGCCCAGGGAGGTCCCTGTAAAATTTCTTTTGTAGGGAGGCAAAACCCAGAGCACAGAGAAGCCATGTCTTCAAGAGAGTCACATGGCCAGGAAAAGGCAGAGCTTGGTGGGATTTGGTGGGCAAACTATGAAACATCTGACCCCCAAAACCTGCTCCACTAGCTCCTGGGGCAAGAGGTGTTGAGGCTGCCAACAGCATTGCTCAGAGAAAGGCAGGGAAAGAGCACACCGCCGAGTCCCACCACCGAGTCCCACCACCCACAATACCTACAACAGGGAATCTGGGAAGGAAAGAGCCCCCATGGTCTGGCTTCGTTATGGACAGAACTTCGCATGGGGAAAATGAGGGGGTAGTCAGTGTGCTGGGGGACAGTGTAAGAGACTTACCCAGTGAGCTAACGAGTGCAAAGTTCTCCAGCATCACATCCCGGTATAGGCCCTTCTGGGTCACATTAAGGAGCCCCCACTCCTCCCTGGAGAAATATACCGTCACATCCTCAAACATCACCAAGCCCTGCAATGATGGGTCCAACTGAGCCTTGGGGTCAATGATGGGCAGAAAAAAACAACCAAAATATGGACAGATGGACACATTCAGGCCCTTGACCTGTATCTCAGGGTCCTATCACATCTCCCCCTGACATTATCTTTCCCTATGAGCTCTAAACTCTTCCCCACCTTACTCCCTACACATACCCTTATACCTTCCTTCTCCTATCCCAGAGGAATATCAGAGCTGCTGGTGTTATTGATGCTTCTGGTGTTACTACTGGAAACTGTGTCCAGCCCAAAGCGACATCAGGTTGGTGACCAGACTGATGCCATCTATGTGCAGGGCCAAGGGCACAGGCTCCACTCTATCTCCTGCCTGCCAATTCCAGTCCCAGAGATCATACCTCTCAGACGCAACCAAACCTATGCTCATCCTTCTCCCTTAGGTCTCAAGTACCTGGTCCCAGGGTCCAGTTTGCCTCCTGCTCAACAGGCACAAAACTGGACAACAGAATGCCTAAAACTGTACACCCCCAGCACAACGTCCCCAGTTTACCCTATAGGCAATTGCCTGGCCTTCCACACGCCGTTCTGCACATGCGTCTCCAGAGGGCCTGGCACAGCAACTACGACCCCATCCTGTCCCAGTCCTGCGGCACATCTCCAATGGCTCCCACTGCCAAGGGCATGCCCCAGCCGTGCATCAAAGACCTCCCCCTGGAATCATACGCAGATCTCCTGCCCTCCTCCAACTCTGCCCTGGCACACGCCGCCCCCCACCTGGTGGGCCCCCTCATTCCTCGGAGGCATCCTCTGCTCACCTCCGCCTCCCCGGCCATTGGACCGTGCGGGCAGAACCCGTGGACTGGACCCACGGCCTCAGCCGAAACGCGTCCCGGGCGCGGAAACCCTCGGCCGCCGTGGAACCTTCCCGGGAAGCTCTCCCCGCGCGGGTGAAATGCGTCCGAAGACAGGGAACCGCTTCCCGGAGCCGCTGGGAAGGAGGACGGTACGGAGGCCCGGGAGACCCACGGCGCCTGTCCGCGAGCGATAAGTCTGAGGAAGATGGAGCCACTCGCCGGTGGGGCACGGCGCGTGGAAGGCGCGGCAAAGGTCCCTGCCCTTCACCTCGCGCAGGGGATCGCGAGGAAGTCACCCCGGCCCACGCAGAGCTGCCTGAGGCGCCGGGACAGCCTTCCCGCCGAGGACTGCGGACTGCCGGGCAACGCCGGAACTCCCGGAACTCCCGTGGCCCGCGCCTCCCCTCGCTCGGCGCCCCTCACGCCACGACCTCCATTCCCGGCTCTCCTCGCGGCGCGGCTGGGTCGTTGCCAAGGCGATAAGGGAGGGCGCCGCTAGCTCCTGAAGCGGGACGTGAACTACATTTCCCATAAGGAGCCTCGACGTGGGGCCGTTCAGACTTGGCCAATGGCGGCCCAGGAACGGGAACGTTCGGGCGGGCCCTGCGTGGGGCGGGGCTTCCGGCGTCGGCTTTCGGCGCTGGCTTTGGGGCGGTTTGCGGCAGTGGGATCATTGGGCGGTGGGCGGTGTGGAGGAGTCTCCGCTGGTCCGCAGAAACGAACGAAGGCGCGAGAATCGGGAAGTTCTGCCTCAGTGACCTGTACGCGTCCTAGCCGCAGTGAATGTTGCTGAACCCCGGTGACCTCACAGTGGAGGGGCGGCCCCATGGGGCCATCGGACCGCGCCGCGCGGGGGCGTTCGCCAGGGCCTCCGCAGAAGCCCGCCTGTGCCCGCAACCGCCCCGAAATTCTCTCCCTGGCACCGTGTCCGCTTTACGGAGCCCGGAGCAAGGCTCAGAAAAATGTCCCAGCCAAAAACATGGTACATGCCTGTCATCAGGCAAGTCTTCAAAGAGCGGCTGGGACCAGGGGCCGAGGGACCTCGTTTAGAGGCGGCTTAGGGGGAAGGTCAGCAGTTGTGTTTCAGTTGTGTTGGGTTTTCGGCGCCCCACAATGCGGGCGACGTATGGGCCACAGGTGTGGATGCCAGGGACAGGTCGCCCTGCACATGGCTGAGGCACGGTAGGCTTGTAGTCTACCCCATATCAGGCCATGGTGATCTCAGGTATGGGGGCCTGGGAGAGGAGAGTGAGTACATGGCTGAGTACGTCAGAGCACGGGGTCAGGGACACATCAGGGGAGGACGCTGGCAGGAGAATAACCGGGCTCCTGGGTGTCCTCCGCTGAATTCAGACGCGTTCATGTTAGAGCAGGTGGGCCTGCGTCCTCCCGGACGAACGGAGTTCTTAGGCAAGGTCCAGAGGAGCTTCTACCTGAAGTGGTGCTGGAGAACTTTGCACTCAGTGCTGGGTGAGACCACTGGCACCATAACTCTCCCCAGCCTCAACTCTGGTTTTTTTCCTCTGTTCTTTCCATGTTCCCCTTGGAAGTCGCTGTTGGTCGTGGCACTGAGGCCCAGATCATGCCACCTCCTCTAACAAGTGGCTGAGTGGACACCCCACACATTCTACCCAAGGGCCGTGAGTGGCCAAGATCGGGGCTCAGAAGTCTCTGAATCTTCACAGCTGGTCACGTTCAGCTCGGTCACTTCCTGTAAGATTCCAGGCACTGCATGCACTGACATGGGTGCGTGTGGGCCCACTGGGTCCTGCCTGGGAGCCTTCCCTGAATGTTCATTTTTTGCAGGTCTGTGTTTGTCTTGGAGTAAGGATTATTCTCGCTTGCTGGGGTCATGGTGTTTTGGCCTCTCCTGGCCTGGACTCTCAAAAACTCATCATCCTTCATAGGTCTGAAGGCTTCTACATTCCCACCAGCAGGTGGACCATATGAACTCAAAACTAGTTGTGGCAGAGGGACCCTGAAGAGATCTACCCCTGGTGAATGCCCCCAGGAGTGGGCTGTTCTCACACCTGGTGCCCAGCCTGTGCCCTCGCAGGTCTTGGTGCCTCCACTCAGCTCAATTCCAGTTTTCTGGCCATGCCCCGCTGTGTCCCTTTCTCTCTCCTTAGTGCCTAGCTGTGCAATGTTTGCCTCTCCTTAACATGTCCTCAGCTGACCCCATATCCTCAGTCCTTGCAACCCTGTTCCTCAGTGACACCTGTGTATTCTCTCCAGTGGAGACACAGGTGGGACACCCCCAAGCTCATGGTACATGCCTGTCATCAGTACCCCTGGACTGTCATGGTGGGTCAGTCTGCCCTAGGCTGGACTGACCAACCTGTTCATTCCCCCACAGGATTGCCCTTTACAGTTCATGAGTTCCCCCAACTGGAGTGCAGACAAGAGCACTGATTGATGGACCAGGTAGACTTGAAACCAGGAATAGCACAAAAGTTATCAAAGAGGCTCAGCCATGGAGATTGCAAGCTGGGGATGGAAGTATCCCTGGAATTGAGCTGTTCTCACACCTGGTACCTGAGTTATACCCCTGGTGTCTGGGTACCAAGGTCACTAGCCTTGCCACTTTTCTATGTTCCTGATCCCCTACTAAACAGTCCACCTTTTCGCCTACTTCCCCTGACTCCTGTACCCTGTCCCCTCTTTCTGCCTAGTTTGAAGACACTGGTCATCCCATAACATGTCCTGGGCTAATACATATCCTCAAATCGTTCTTGAAAATCTGTTCCTCTTCCCTCCTCCCCCTCCCCCTCCCCCCCCCCCCGCTCTTTCCACGGTCTCCCTCTGATGCCGAGCCGAAGCTGGACGGTACTGCTGCCATCTCGGCTCACTGCAACCTCCCTGCCTGATTCTCTTGCCTCAGCCTGCCGAGTGCCTGCGATTGCAGGCGCGTGCCGCCACGCCTGACTGGTTTTCGTATTTTTTTTGGTGGAGACGGGGTTTCGCTGTGTTGGCCGGGCTGGTCTCCAGCTCCTAACCACGAGTGATCCGCCAGCCTCGGCCTCCCGAGGTGCCGGGATTGCAGACGGAGTCTCGTTCATTCAGTGCTCAATGGTGTCCAGGCTGGAGTGCAGTGGCGTGATCTCGGCTCGCTACAACCTCCACCTCCCAGCAACCCGCCTTGGCCTCCCAAAGTGCCGAGATTGCAGCCTCTGCCCGGCGGCCACCCCGTCTGGGAAGTGAGGAGCGTCTCCGCCTGGCCGCCCATCATCTGGGATGTGAGGAGCCCCTCTGCCTGGCTGCCCAGTCTGGAAAGTGAGGAGCGTCTCTGCCCGGCCGCCATCCCATCTAGGAAGTGAGGAGCGCCTCTTCCCGGCCGCCATCACATCTGGGAAGTGAGGAGCGTCTCTGCCCGGCCGCCCATCGTCTGAGATGTGGGGAGCATCTCTGCCCTGCCGCCCCGTCCGGGATGTGAGGAGCGTCTCTGCCCGGCCGCCCCGTCTGAGAAGTGAGGAGACCCTCTGCCTGGCAACTGCCCCGTCTGAGAAGTGAGGAGCCCCTCCGCCCGGCAGCCGCCCCGTCTGAGAAGTGAGGAGCCCCTCCGCCCAGCAGCCACCCCGTCTGGGAAGTGAGGAGCATCTCCGCCCGGCAGCCGCCCCGTCTGAGAAGTGAGGAGCCTCTCCGCCCAGCAGCCACCTCGTCCGGGAGGGAGGTGGGGGGGTCAGCCCCCCGCCCGGCCAGCCGCCCCGTCCGGGAGGGAGGTGGGGGGATCAGTCCCCCACCCGGCCAGCCGCCCTGTCCGGGAGATGAGGGGCGCCTCTGCCCGGCCGCCCCTACTGGGAAGTGAGGAGCCCTTCTGCCCGGCCAGCCGCTCCGTCCGGGAGGGAGGTGGGGGGGTCAGCCCCCCGCCCGGCCAGCCGCCCTGTCCGGAAGGGAGGTGGGGGGGTCAGCCCCCCGCGCGGCCAGCCGACCCGTCCGGGAGGGAGGTGGGGGGGTCAGCCCCCTGCCCGGCCAGCCGCCCCGTCCGGGAGGTGCGGGGCGCCTCTGCCCGGCCGCCCCTACTGGGAAGTGAGGAGCCCCTCTGCCCGGCCAGCCGCCCCATCTGGGAGGGAGGTGGGGGGGTCAGCCCCCCGCCCTGCCAGCCGCCCTGTCCGGGAGGGAGGTGGGGGGGTCAGCCCCCCGCCTGGCCAGCCACCCCGTCCGGGAGGTGAGGGGCGCCTCTGCCCGGCCGCCCCTACTGGGAAGTGAGGAGCCCCTCTGCCTGGCCAGCCGCCCCGTCCAGGAGGGAGGTGGGGGGGGGGGTCAGCCCCCCGCCTGGCGAGCCGCCCTGTCCGGGAGGTGAGGGGCGCCTCTGCCCGGCCGCCCCTACTGGGAAATGAGGAGCCCCTCTGCCCGGCCACCACCCCATCTGGGAGGTGTACCCAACAGCTCGTTGAGAACGGGCCATGATGACAATGGCGGTTTTGTGGAATAGAAAGGGGGGAAAGATGGGGAAAAGATTGAGAAATCGGATGGTTGCCGTGTCTGTGTAGAAAGAGGTAGACGTGGGAGACTTTTCATTTTGTTCTGTACTAAGAAAAATTCTTCTGCCTTGGGATCCTGTTGATCTGTGACCTTACCCCCAACCCTGTGCTCTCTGAAACATGTGCTGTATCCACTCAGGGTTGAATGGATTAAGGGCGGTGCAAGATGTGCTTTGTTAAACAGATGCTTGAAGGCAGCATGCTCCTTAAGAGTCATCACCACTCCCTAATCTCAAGTACCCAGGGACACAAACACTGCGGAAGGCCGCAGGGTCCTCTGCCTAGGAAAACCAGAGACCTTTGTTCACTTGTTTATCTGCTGACCTTCCCTCCCCTATTGTCCTGTGACCCTGCCAAATCCCCCTCTACGAGAAACACCCAAGAATGATCAATAAAAAAAAAAGAAAAAAAAAAAATCTGTTCCTCTGTGAGATGGGCCTGATCTCTCCCACGGGTGGAGCAGAGGAGTAGAGGGTCCAGGGCCTGAGTCTCCCATAGGCTAAGTATTTGCCCTGAGTCATAAAGCCAGTGGGAGGCAGTGCTACAGTTTGATTCCAGGAAGTCTCAGACCAAAGTTCTCTCTTAACCACTTACCTTTCCTGGGCTTAATAGTTAGTTCATTTATGTTTTTCCTGGCACTACTTCATTGGACCTCATTTTAGTTTCTTCTTTTTTTTTTTTTTTTTTGAGACGGAGTTGCTCTGACACCCAGGCTGGAGTGCAGTGCCACGATCTCACAGTAACCTCCGCCTCCCGGGTTCAAGCAATTCTGTCTCAGCCTCACGAATAGCTGGGACGACAAGCGCGTGCCACCACACCCGGCTAATTTTTGTATTTTTAGTAGAGTTGGGGTTTCACCATTTTGGCCAGGATGGTCTCCATCTCCTGACCTCGTGATCCGCCCCGCTCAGCCTCCCAAAATGCTGGGATTACAGGCATGAGCTACCGCACCCGGCCCATTTGTTAACATTGTAAAATGAATATTAGTACATTATTATTAATGTACATTATATGGGTTTTCACAAATGCATAAATTCATGTATCCACCATTACAATATAGTACAAAATACTTTTACTGCCCCCAAAAATTACTTGTGCTACTATTCATTCCTCCCTCCCTCCCTCCCTCCCTCCCACTGAGTCCCTGGCAGTCACTGCTTTACTGTCTCTATAGCTTTACCTTTTCCAGAATGTCATAAACTTGTAATCATACAGTATGTAGCTTTTTCAGTCTGGCTTCTGTCACTTACCAATGTGCATTTCAGACTCCTCCATGCCTTTCATAACTTGGTAGCACAGTTAATTTTATTGCTGAATGATATTCCATTGTGTGGATGTAACACAGATTAGCCATTTATCTATTGAAGGACATCTGGGTTGATTCAAGTTTTGAGCAATTATGAATAAAGCTGCTATAATAATTTGTGTGGTTTTCGCATGGACATAAGTTCTCAACTCATTTGTGCAAATACCCAGGAGTGTGATTGCTGTATCATATGGTAAGACTATATTTAACTTTCTGTAAGAAACTGCCAAACTGTCTTCCAAAGTGGCTATACCATTTTGCCTTTCTATCAGCAGTAAACGAGAGTTCCCATTGCCTCACAACCTTGCTAGCATATGGTGCTATCAGTGTTTTGCATTGTAGCCATTCTAATAGATGTATAGTAGTATCTCATTATTGTTTCAATTTGCAGTTCCCTAATGGCATATGATGTGGAGCATATTTTCATGTGCCTATTTGCCAGCTATGTATCTATTTTTCTTAGGTGAGGGGTCTATTCAGACCTACGGCCTTTTTTTTTTTTTTTTTTTTTTTTTGAGACGCAGTTTCGCTCTTGTTGCCCAGGCTGGAGTGCAATGGTGCAATCTCGGCTCGCCGCAACCTCCGCCTCCCGAGTTCAAGCGATTCTCCTGCCTGTCAGCCTCCCGAGGAGCTGGGATAACAGGCATGTGCCACCACGCCCAGCTAATTTTGTATTTTTAGTACAGATGGGGTTTCTCCATGTTGGTCAGGCTGGTCTCGAACTCCTGACCTCAGGTGATCCGCCCACCTCAGCCTCCCAAAGTGGTGGGATTACAGGCGTGAGCCACCGCGCCCAGCCTTGAATTGTACACTCAAAATGGGCAAATTATATGGTATGTAAATTGTTTTTTAAAAAAATCTGTTATGTTTTGAAAGAACAAGTAGATGTCTGGGAGATTCTTTGGAGAAGTACTTAATGTGAAATTTTCCACAACGATAAAAATGAAAGCACCCATCCCCCTGGTGGGGGGACACAGATCACAGGTAGCTTGTGGCCCCTCTTGGGCACTTCTTCTCCCACCACCCTCTGCTCCTTCTGCAGAGGCTTACAGAGCAGAGGAAACCCCAACCTAGGGCGAGACTCCCAGCTTTGCCACGCCAAGCCGGGCCCCAGGGGAGCCAGTGCGAACTCTAGCCTACTCCCTGGGATGAGAGGACCTCAGCACTAACCAGGTCTGCAAGTGGGTGTGGGGTTAGAGTGGATCAACTATGTGATCCTATCAACCTACGTTCGAATTTGACTGCATTTAAAAAAACACTTTACCCCCCCAAACGGAGTCTCTCGCTCTGTCGCCCGGGCTGGAGTGCAGTGGCGCGATTTCGGCTCACTGAAGCCTCCGCCTCCCGGCTTCAAGCGATTCTCCTGCCTCAGCCTCCCGAGTGGTTGGGACTACAGGCGCCCGCCACCACGTCCGGCTAAAAAAAAAAAAAAATCTTTTTTTTTTTTTTTTTTTGAGGAGTCTCACTTTATATAGGATCCTCACGTTATACTATGTGTTTGGATCTGCGTTAAAATGTATTCATAACTATATGATCTGTACTCAAAGCGACAGCCCCCAGACAACTTAAGCCCGCGGGGCCGGGGACGAGTCTGTGCCACAGACTCGTCCCCGGCGTGGCGTGGGGACAAAACGCGTGAGGGCGCTCGAAGGGACTGGTCTCTCGCTTGCTGCTCACCTGAGGCCCCGCAGCCTCCTGTCCCCCATCCTGGGGTCCCGCAGCCTCGCTCTGCGCGCCGCAGCCTTTCCTCTCGCCAGCGCCATCGGAGTGCTGGTGCTCACTGTTCTCACCACTCGCTCCCCGAGTTCCCCGCGGTTTCAGCCCCCGTCGCAATCTCCAGCGCAACGTGGTCGTCATGGCAACATCGCCCTCGGGTCCCTGATTGGCCGTCGAGTCTGGCGCGCCTTCCCTACCTCACGTAATAGGGCTGCGGCACTAAGGCGACGCGCGCGCGCAGCACAGGCGTGATGAGTTGTTATGGCGACCAGAGTCCCGCCTCTTCAGCCCTACATAGGGCCTCCGATTGGTCCGCGCTTCCTCGAAGGCCTCTCCGCATTCTGGGCGGGGCCCGCCCGGGGCAAGAGGAGGGAGAAGGCAGGGCCGTGACTATGAGGGCGGAGGAGAGAAGTGCGGCTGTGATCTGGGGAAGGAGGGAAACCCAAGGATGCCAGCACGTGCGGTTGAGGTGAGAAGGGATCTTGCAGAACGCTTCCAGGACCCAGATTCGTATGCACGCCCTGCCCAGCTGGTCAGCCTCAGTTTCCCCATCTGTCAGTCTGGACAGTGACGCTCCCAGCGTCCGGCGAAGCCCCGCTCTTGGCCCTTGGTCCCTCCGCCTGATCACAAGAGGGTGCCGCGACGGCCGGGGACGGGTCTGGCGTGGGCAGGGACCTCTCCGACCCTCATTGAGGAAAGAATGGCGGAACCCGAAAACCGGGCCCTGGCGTCCCTCCTGCAAGGTGGGGAGGAGAGCTGGACGGCAGGATTTGGGAAGGGCTTGGGGAGCAGGGCCCCCTGAGGGTGGCGGGGGAGGCAGTGCTACCAGAACCATGGTTCGGTTGGTTCAGCCGCCTGGACCTCATCTGCTCCCTGAGGTTGGTCTTTGCTCCGCACCCTGGTGCGGCCTGGTACACAGAAGGCGCTCAGTAAACACTTGTGGATGAAGGAAAAAGAGAATTTATTGTCGTCGATTTACAGAAAACAGAATCAAAGGCCGTGCCGTGCTGGGCCCTCTGGCACCCGGCTTCACAAGCACCCAGGCCTGCCAGGAGGAGCAAGTCCGGGGCCGAAGTGCCAAGGGGCAGGGTGTACAGCAGTGATGGGGTGGGCAGAGAGAGGATAGGAGGGCACAACTCCAGCTCTGAAGAAGAGAAAGAGGAGATTGGCTGAGGCTGGGCAAGGGTGGGAGGCGTCCCCCTGGGTGGTGTCAGGCAGCCTCTTTGTTTGAAAGCAGTGGATAGGCAGGCAGACATTGGGCACCAAGGTGGTAATCAGCAGACCAGATGCCCAGCAACTCCTAGGCTCAGTCATCAGCCTCATTTTACTGCAAGAGAGAATGAGGCCCCTGGCTCCAAGCTGGTAGAGTGCAGAAGCCACAAAAGCACCTAGGAGCGAGCTGGTTAAGACGGAGAATGCGGCCAGCCCCACCCAATACCCCCAGCCCCACCCCTGGCCTCCCCAGGTCCTCCTGTATTTGTGCAGGCTATGCCACTGGCCTCAATGCCAGCTCCTGAGCATCCTTTAGGATACAGCTCCCTCCTCCAGGCAGCCTTCCTGGTCTACCCTCAGGCACAGAACATCCTCTCCCTCTTCTGTGCAACACCAGGCAAGGGCCCCTTTCTGACTCCCCTGCTTGGCCTGTCTGGGTCAGAAATACCATTGCACACCCCCACTCCCCTAGGTTGGGTGGGAGAGGGAAGCAATGAGGAGGATCTCTGAGACCCTATGGTAGGCAGAATAATGGCCTCCAAAGATATCCCGGTCTGAATCCCTGGAACTTGTGAATCTTTTACCTGACACCACAAAATGGACTTTGCAGGTGTGATTAAATTAATGATCATGAGATGGGGAGACTATCTTGGATTATTCGGGTGGGCGCTATGTACTTGTAGTGTCCTTATAAGTGAAAGAGGGAGGTAGGAGGGTCAGAGAGATCTGAAGATGCTGCACTGCTGGCTTTGAAGGAGCCAGGAGCCAAGGAATGCAGCCCTAGAAGCTGGAAAAACTAATGAAATGAATTCTCTCTTAGAGCCTCTAGAAAGAACTAGCCCTATGGGCAACTCAACTTTAGCCCAGTGAAACTGATCGTTGACTTCTGGACTGCAGAACTGCAAGATAAGAAGTGTGTGTTTAGCCAGGCATGGTGGCCCATGCCTGTAATCCCAGCACTTTGGGAGGCTGAGGTGGGTAGATTACTTGAGACCAAGAGTTCAAGACCAGCCTGGCCAACATGGTGAAACCCCGTCTCTATTACAAATACAAAAAGCCGGGTGTGGTGGCGGGCGCCTGTAATATCAGCTACTTGGGAGACTGAGGCAGGAGAATGATTTGAACCTAGGAGGCAGAGGTTGCAGTGAACCGAGGTTGCGCCACTGCACTCTAGCCTGGGCTACAGAGCGAGACTCTGTCTCAAAAAAATAAATAAATAAATGAAATAAGGCCGGCTGCGGTGGCTCAGGCCTGTAATCCCAGCACTTTGGGAGGGCAAGGCAGGCAAATCACGAGGCCGGGAGTTTGAGATCAGCCTGGCCAACATGGTGAAACCCCGTCTCTACTAAAAATACAAAAATTAGCCAGGCATGGTGGCGGGCGCCTGTAATCCCAGCTACTTGGGAGCCTAAGGCAGGAGAATCGCTTGAACCCGGGAAGCGGAGGTTGCAGTAAGCCGAGATCATACCACTCCACTCCAGCTCGGGCGACAGAGTGAGACTCTGTTTCAAAAATAAATTAAAAAAAATAAACGCGTGTTCTAAATAATTAAGTTGGGGGTATTTTGTCACAGCAGCCACAGAAAATGAATAGACCACCAACTCTGCGGCTGTCTGACCAGGTTTCTTCCCTATGAGGCTGGGCTGTGGCTGCCCAGTGACCCAGTACACTGGTCCCAGCCCCTGTGGGTGACATCGGCATGTGGGTGTGGGCAAGAACTGGTCTGGGAAGACACACTGTGGACTCCCTAGTGTTCCTCCTCTGGCTCCCACCTGGAAGCAGCAGCTCACACCAGAGCTAGCTCTAGACAGTCCTGGGCCCAGGGTGCATTCCCAGGCTGCCTGGGTCACCTGCAATTCTGTCACTCCCTTGTTTGGCACCTACTGTATGCTGGTGCTGAGGACACACGTTAACAAATCAAACAGGAGCCTCCAGCCACATAGAAGTCACGTTTCGCTTTGGAACATGCTGGGTGCCCATTCCCAAAACACAGCACTCCATCCCAGAGTGAGGTGAGGCAGGATTGGGGGGGTGGTGTGCAGGGCCTGGGAGGAAACAGAAGCCCCAGGTTCAGTCTGCACAGAGAATAGCTGCCATCTACCCCCATAACTAACCCAGGAAGACTTCTGGGAGGAAGAGGACAGGAGCCCATATGCCACCTTCCCTGGAGGCTGCTGTCTATTGGGAAGGCTCAGGGTTCACCTCGAGGTACAAGAAAGGAGGCTGGGCAGGACAGATGGAGCCCTGGAGGAAGAAGTGCAGTAACTGGCATCAAGATATTAATCGGGGGTGATGGGGACTCTGGTGGCCAGGGAAAGGGACTAGGATCCCTCTGGCTAACCAAGGAGGTCCAGGACTCCCACCCCCACCATTGTCTGCCTCTGTCTGACCCCTGGGGTGATGTTGGCCTCTGAGCCATGATAAGCACAGCTGCACCACAGCATATTGGGAGGATCCTAGAAGCCACGACCCAGGGGGAAGTGGAGGCTCCCAGAGCAGTTTGGGACTTAGGATTGGGGCGGGAGCCAGTCTTTAAGGCTCAAGTTCCTCCCCAGCCCTGGCCAGGACACCCTGTTACTTCAAGCCTGAGCCCCAGCCCCAACCAGGTGTACAGGATGGCAACTCTACACCCGGGACCAGCATGTAGACAGCTGGAGCCCACCCAGGCCCAGCCTGCAGGCAGTAGAAAACAAACTCCACAGATGGGTGGAGTGGTGGGACGTCCCCTGCAATGAGCCAGTTGGGGAGGAGGTGACCAAGGAAGAATAGCAGCAGCAGCTCTGCCCTCCAAAGATAGGCGGGCCCCTGCAACCTATGGCCAATCCGAAGGATGAGTGCTTTGGCCTCCAGTGCTGGCAAGGACGCTCCCCCAGGAATCTGTGGTGAGGATGACTGGGGGCACTCCCAGCAAGACCCGTTCAAGGATCCGTGTGGGGCTGCCCCTGGCTGGGCACCTGCATGGATGTCAGTCGGGGGCGTCCACAGCTGGACTCCTACAAGGGATGAGGATCAGGGATGCTTCCAACTGCACCCCCACGGAGTAGGGGTTGCGGAGCAGGAGCAAGCCCCAGCAGGACCCTTATAGAGGTCACGGTCAGGGCACCCTCCGCTGGACAGCCACAAGAATGGGGGTCAGGGGTGTTCCCAGAGGATCCTTGTGGGACGACTGCGGTGCCTGCTCCTTGAGAGGGTCCAGCCCCATGGTGACAATGCCAAGGATGCTTGCCCTAAGCCCCAATCTGGAGAAACAGGTAAGTGCTGCGCGCCCTACTAAGGGCCCCAGATAACACGGAGGTGCCAGGCCTGGAGGCAGGACTGCAGTACTGGCGCACTTATTGTGAGCCCCACAGCCTCCTCGCGCCCCGTGGCCACGGGGCCCAGCCGGGGCCAGCCTCTGTGCCCCACGTGCCATCCGATCGCCTGTCCAGCGTCCTCTCGGCCTCCGCCGGGTCCTCGGGGCCCGCCTCGGGCTCCAGCGCATCTTCTGCAGTTCCTGGCAGGGCCGTGTCCAGGTCAGGGCCCGTGGGGCGCGGCGTCCAGGCGGGGGCCCAGGGCGACCCCGGCGGGGGCCTCGGCGGAAACCAAGAGAAGCCAGGCGCTGGAGCGAGCGCCACGAGCTGGGGCCGCGGGGGGCCGGAGGAGGTGGCGTGCGGGATGAGGAAGAAGATGTAGACGCCCGAGACCACGAGGCCCGCGGCCACCAGCACCGCCAGCGCCACGGCAGCGTTGAAGACCCAGGCCGGGCTGGCCAGCGACAAGCGGCGCGACAGCGGGCGGCCCAGGCGCAGAGGCGGCGGGGGCGGCGGGGCGCGGGCCTTGCGCGGCCCGGGCGGGGGCGGCGGCGGCCGCAGGTAGAGAAGGCCGCGGCGCCGGTCGAAGCGCACGGAGCCCTGGCGAGAGGGCGGTGCGCGCGCGTCGCGGGGCAGGAGACCGGACTGCGTGGGCAACGCGGGGAGTCCGCGGCGGGGGGCCAGGCGCGTGGGCGCGCGGCACACCGGACAGGCCACCGCGTTGCCGCCGCCCGCCGTGGCCAACGATAGGCGCGCCAGGCACTCGAGACAGAAGACGTGGCCGCAGTCCAGGCGCTTGGGCAGCTTGAACACGCCGTCGAAGGACGACACGCAGATGAGGCACTCCACCGGGGAGGCGGGGGGCAGGATAGGGCCGGAGCCTGGGCTGCCGTCCCCTTCCTCCTCCTCCTCCTCCTCCTGGTCTTCCCCTCTGCTTGGGGAGCGGGGCGCAGAGAGCGAGCCTGGGGAGCTGGGACCCGAGCCCTGGGGGGCCCGGGAATGGCGGAGCCAGAACGGCCGAGGGCAGGGCATCCGGATGGACCTGGGAGGAGAGGAGGTCAGGCAGGGAAGGAGGCGGTGGAGCCTGGAGCGGGTTCTGAGACCAGCAGGGAATCCAGGGAAGACTGGGGACTGTACTTTAGAGAGGATCCCCCAGTACAGAGCACCCCATCCCGAGAAGGGTGTAGCTAGCGTCGAGGAGCAGGGGAGATGGGGAGGCCCGAGGCGGAGACTGGGGATAGGAATGGACCCACGGGGTACCAGTTCCTGAATTGGAAACGGAGAGACAGACCGCAGTTGAACACGGAGATGGGGAGGACCCCAGACAGGGATGGAAAGGACCTGACCCACAGAGGAGCAGAGATAGGCACCCCCCACAGAGTAATGACAGACCGCAGCCAGCCTGTGGGCGCCTTCCTACCTGTGGAAGCCTCCTCCCTCTGGCCAGTGGCGTGTCCCTGTCTGTTCCTGGCCTGCCAGCAGCTGGGCTCAAAAGTACCCTCCCAGGGGGAGGGTGCTCAACCGGCACCACCCCTCCAGGTCCCAGGTACCCGCTGGACCCGTTTGACTGCCTGCCCCGCCCCCTGGGCCAGCCCCACCAGGATGAACACCAAGCCTGTCTTGGCCAGATGTTGGGGGCGGTGGAAGGGTGATGGCACACGGTGGGTGGGCTTGGGCCCACCCCACCCTTCAGAACCTGATGAGTCTTCTACCAGAGTCACCAGCCTGTGGCCCTGGGTGGGTCCCAACCTGTCCCCAGCAGCCTGATGACACTGCATGGACACTGGCAGAAGGGAACCCGTACAGCCCACAGAAACTGGGTGTGCAGGCCCAGGGTGCAGCCACAACCAGTGTAGCCGGGGAGGTAACCAGGAGCACAACCTCGCCAGTGTGAAACCACCCCACACTCCAAGAGGGGGGTGAAGCTAGGGGTCTGAAATCGTGTGCCCTAAACAGCTGAGCTTTCCTCCTCTCCCCAGTGCTACTTCAAGGTGACAAGCCTCTCAGGATGGTCTTGTGACTACCCAGACCTCACAGGCACCCAAGCCACCCATCCACCCAGACCACAGCAACATCTCATGTGCCACGCCCTCAGAAGTTATGGATAACCCCATCTCATTTCCAGTACCTGCTGGGACACTCCAGGCAGCCTGGCCTGCATCCAGTGCCCCACCTGCTAGCCCTGGGGTGCCATGGTTCTGAGTCAGCAATACTTCCAGGTCCCCACAGGCCAACAGGTCAGGAAGGTGAGCAGCTCCCAAGGCCACCAGGGCTATGCCACCCACATCCCCCCACCGAAGACAGACAACAGCACAGGTGGCTGGGACTGCCCCAAAGGGCAGACAGGTTTATTGGGCAGCAGCTGGGAAAATCAGCGGTTGGACTTGGCCACACGCTCCAGCTCGTCCTTCTTCTTAATGGCATAGGAGTTCGAGGAGCCCTGCAAGGAGACACACAGCTCTGAATTCTGAAGGACCCCCACAAATGCCCAACTTAAGACCCCCCAACCGGAGTGCCCTCACCCACCTTGGCAGCATTGATGAGCTCATCTGCCAGGCACTCAGCAATGGTCTTAATGTTCCGGAAGGCAGCCTCACGAGCGCCTGTGCACAGCAGCCAGATGGCCTAGGAAGACAGCAGGGGTCAGGCTAGAAGGACAGACTGCGGTCCTCCAGCACCCTGGGGCCACTCCCAACTGATGCTGCCAGCCACGTTGTCACCCATAGGCCCACTGAGACAAGAGGTGGTGGCATCATGCCTGATTTGCAATCAGATAGAGGGTCACAAGAGCAAGTGTCCAGACACACACACACACAGGCTGAAGTTGCGTCCCCAGTGACAGGAGATTGAGACCTGCCTCAACAGCAAACTGCTAGACGGCCGGGCACGGTGGCTTGCGCCTGTAACACTTCGGGATGCTGAGGCAGGAGGAACACTTTGGCAGGGAGTTTGAGACCAGCCTGAGCAACTTGGTGAAACCCCACCTCTACAAACAAAAAAACCGACGACAACAAAAAAGGCGGCCAGGTGTGGTGGCTCATGCCTGTAATCCTAGCACTTTGGGAGGCTGAGGGGACAGGATCATTTGAGACCAGGAATTCAAGAACACCCTGAGATTCCATCTCAATTATTTCTAAAAAACAAGGCAATATATTTGCTTTTAACTTGGACCCAATTGACAATGCGCCACTATAAAGGGCATTCTGGCATTCTGGGGACAGATGCTAAATGGAACAACGACTATTGCTGTGAATATAAATTCCTTCCTGGGGGTGACGACGGGGGTAGGTCATCTTTGTTTTTAAAGACACCTGCAGTGTTCAGGGAAAACACAATCAAAATGTCTGCAACTGATTCTCAAAATGTCCAAGAAAAAAAAAAAAAGTACATATACACACAGTGTAAAAATATACACCCAAAGGAAAGAAAGAAGACCTCTGCCAAATGTGTTCCCGAAGAGGACCCAGAGCCTGGATCAGCCCCTATGCAGGGTGGGAATCCAGGAAGGCTTCCTAGAGGAAGTGATGCTGCAGGTAAAACATGCAGACAGAGAGGAGCCTTCCTGCCCCAGGCAAGACCCCACCCACTCCCGTGGCTGTGTCCACCCTGCCACGTGCATAAGCCCCAGGCTCACCTGGTTCACACGGCGCAGGGGGGACACATCCACAGCCTGTCGTCTCACAGTCCCGGCGCGCCCAATGCGTGTGGAGTCCTCCCGGGGACCACTGTTGATGATGGCGTTCACCAGGACCTGCAGAGGGTTCTAGAGAGAAGGGGGATATGAGCCTGACATCCAGCCCCATGCATTCCTCCCCTTTCCTCATACCTAAAACAAGAGTGACCACACCACACAGGGGATAAGCCTGACATACACTCCGTGGGGCTTTCGGGTGTACTGAGGGCACAGCCTGCCCTCACCAGGCCACAGAGCCCTACCTCGCCTGTGAGCAGGTGTATGATCTCGAAGGCATGCTTGACGATGCGCACAGTCATGAGCTTCTTGCCGTTGTTGCGGCCGTGCATCATCATGGAGTTAGTGAGGCGCTCCACAATGGGACACTGAGCTTTGCGGAAGCGTTTGGCGGCATACCGCCCTGCACTGTGAGGCAGGTACTTGGCATACTTCTCCTTCACTGCAATGTAATCCTGGGGCAGCAGGGAGCAGGAAATGAAGGGAAAATGGTCAGGAGCAGCATGGGCGTTGGCCAGACACCAGAGGAGAGATCAAGTACCCATTCGGGGTAGTCCAACAGCTGTCTGGGATCCTGGTATGCCTCAACAGGGGACTTGGATGTAAGCCCCATCCACCATGAGGAAAAAAACCCTGAACAGGTGACTTTACCAAGTCGCTAAAAAGTACACTTCCTTCGTAATGGAAGAGTGGGAATCTAAGGAGACTAGATTTTGGACCAGATAATTGTCTGGGGGGCTGTCCTGCACACTATAGGATGTTTAACAGCCATCTGGTATGCCACTGGCAACCCCTTCAGTTTTTTTTTTTTTGAGTCTCTCACTGTCACCCAGGCTGGTGTGCAGTGGTGCCATCTTAGCTCACTGCAACCTACGACTCCGAGGTTCAAATGGTTCTCCTGCCTCAACCTCCCGAGTAGCTAGGATTATAGGGGCCTGCCACCAAGCCTAGCTAGTTTTTTTGTATTTTTAGTAGAGACAGGTTTCACTATGTTGGCCAGGCTGGTCTTGAACTCCTGGCCTTGTGATCCGCCTGTCTTGGCCTCCCAAAGTGTTGGGATTACAGGCATGAGCCACTGCGCCTGGCCTAGTTTTTTTTTTCCCCCCCTTGAGGCTGAGTCTTGCTGTCACCCAGGCTGGAGTGCAGTGGCGCAACCTCGGCTCACTGCAACTTCTGCCTCCTGGGTTCAAGTGATTCTCCTGCCTCAGCCTCCTGAGTAGCTGGAATTACAGGCACGCGCCACCAAGCCCAGCTAAATTTTTTGTACTTTTAATAGAAAAGGGGTTTCACTGTTTTGAGCAGGCTGGTCTCGAACTCTTGACCTCAAGTGATCTGCCTGCCTTGTGCTCCCAAAGTGCTGAAATTACAGGCATGAGCCACAGTGCCTGGCACCACCCCGGTCAGTTTTCACATCTAAAAATGTATCCAGGCATTGCTAAGTGTTCTCTAAGACAGGAAACCAACCACCCCAGAGTAGGAACCACAGTTTTTTGGTTTTTTGTTTTTTGAGATGGAGTCTCACTGCCTTCCAGGCTGGAGGGCAGTGGTGCAATCTTGGCTCACTGAAACCTCCGCCTCCCAGGTTCAAGCAATTCTCCTGCCTCAGCTTCCTGAGTAGCTGGGACTACAGGTGCATGCCACCATGCCAGGCTAATTTTTGTATTTTTAGTAGAGCTGGGGTTTGGACATGTTGGCCAGGCTGGTCTTGAACTCTTGACCTCAGGTGATCCGTCCGCCTCAGCCTCCCAAAGTGATGGGATTACAGGCATAAGCCACTGCACCTGGCTGAGAACTTTTTTGTTTTTGGGTTTTTTGTTTGTTTGTTTTTGAGATGGAGTCTCACTCTGTCACCCAGGCTGGAGTGCAACGTTGCAATCTTGGCTCACTGCAACCTCCACCTCCTGGGTTGAAGCAATTCTCCTGCCTCAGCCTCCCAAGTTGCTGGGATTACAGACATGCGTCACCATGCTCAGCCCAGTTTTTTTTTTTTTTTTTTTTGAGATGGAGTTTCGCTCTTGTTGGCCAGGCTGGAGTGCAATGGCATGATTTCAGCTCATCCCAACCTCCACCTCCCAGGTTCAAGCGATTCTCCTGCATCAGCCTCCTAAGTAGCTGGGACAACAGGTGCACGCCACCATGCAAGGCTAATTTTTGTATTTTTAGTAGAGACGGGGCTTCACCATGTTGGCCAGGCTGGTCTCAAACCCCTGACCTCAGATGATCTGCCCGCCTCAGTCTCCCAAAGTGCTGGGATTACGGCGCCCGGCCCAGAACCACAGTTTTAAAACAATCATTTAACAAGTCTTCTTATACTTACATAGCCATCCCCACACAAAAATCTAGAAAAATGCCAAAAAGTTAACCTTGAGTATGTAAAGGGGAAGAAAGGAGCTATGTGCATTCGAAGGAGACTGCTGTTGATAGTTCCATTACAAAATGTACCCAAGGCCATTCTATCACTTGCCTCTGAGAATATACACAAAATACCTGTTTCTACAAATACAAGGAATGATGGGAAAAGAACACAGGACACTGAAACTCTCAGTACTATTTCATAGTCTGGCTGCAAGAAAAAAAAAACTCACAGTCTCGTGAAGGGCATTCACGCAGGGCTTTCACTATGCAGCAAAAAATTGCAAACACCAAATTCCCCAGGAAGGGTTTGGCCCAACAGTGGAGCCCTGCACAGGTGTTTAAAATACAGTGAACTCCCATTGATGTTTATTTCCCTAGTGGAACAGGCACTTAACAAACGTTTAATAGATCAAGGAGTTCAAGGCCAGCCTGGCCAACATGGTGAAACCCTGTCTCTACTAAAAAGACAAAAATTAGCCAGGTGTGGTGGCATGCACCTGTAGTTCCAGCTACTAGGGAGGCTGAGGCAGGAAAATCACCTGAACCTAGGAGGTGGAGGTTGCAGTGAGCCGAGATCGTGCCACTGCACTCCAGCCTGGGTGACAGAGCGACTCCATCTCAAAAAAAAAAAAAAAAAAAAAAAAAAAAAGTAACAGTGGCCAGTGTGGCCCACAAAGTCTAAAACATTATCTGGGCCTATAATGAAAATGTTTGTGGGCTGGGCGCAGTGGCTCATGCCTATAACCCCAGCACTTCGGGAGGCTGAGGCAGGAAAGTCGCATGACCCTGGGGAGGCAGAGGTTGCAGTGAGCCGAGATCGCACCACTGCACTCCAGCCTGGGAGGCAGAGAGAGACTCTGTCTCACAAATAAATAAATAACGCCAGGCGTGGTGGCTCATGCCTGTAATCCCAGCACTTTGGGAGGCTGAGGCAGGCTGATCACCTGAAGTCAGGAGTTAAGAGACCAGCCTGACCAATATGATGAAACCCTGTCTCAACTAAAAATAAAAAAATTAGCTGGGTGCGGTGGCATGTGCCTGTAATCCCCGCTACTTGGGAGGCTGAGACAGGAGAATCGCTTGAACCCAGGAGGCAGAGGTTGCAGTGAGCCAAGATCGCACCATTGCACTCCAGACTGGGCGACAAGAACGAAACTCTGTCTCAAAAAATAAATAAATAATTAAAATGTGGCCGGGCAGATCATGAGGTCAGGAGTTCGAGACCAGCCTAACCAACATGGTGAAACCCCGTCTCTACTAAAAATACAAAAATTAGCCAGGCGTGGTGGTGTGCGCCTGTAATCTCAGCTACTTGGGAGGCTGAGGCGGGAGCATTGCTTGAACCCGGGAGGCGGAGGTTGTGGTGAGCTAAGATCGTGCCATTGCACTCCAGCCTGGGCAATAAGAGCGAAACTCCGTTTCAAAAAAATAAATAAATAAATAAACAAACAAAAAATAATAATAATATTTAAAATGTTTTTGGACCCCCCGAAATAAACCCCTGAAGGAAAGAAAAGCCAAGATCTACAAGATATTCAGAGTGAAAAACAAGGCTGAATTATCCATTAGGCATAGTGCCTAAGTCCCCTGACATCTTTACAGACAACAAAAAAGTTTTCATTCTTTATAAAACAAAAGGTAGCAGGTTTGGTGGCATGCATCTTTGGTCCCAGCTAGTTGGAGTCTAAGACAGGAAGATCCCCTGAGCCCAGGTGTATTGAGGCTGCAGTGAACTGTGATCACACCACTGCACTCCAGCCTGGGTGACAGAGAGTGATCTTATCTCAAAGATAAAACTTTAATGATTAAAAAAAAAGAGGAGGAAAGTGAATAAAGTGCAACCCAAGTTATATTCATCTTTATATCAATGCAGTCACAAAATATAATTTCAAACACTTTCTTTTAATGGAGGAAGGGCTCACAAAAGCTAAAGTTCTTAAGGCCCACAAAATTCTTAATGATGCCTTCATGGGGAGGGGAAAAAAAGGGTATGTGTAAAACCGTACGGAGTAGGAACAAAGTAGGACAACTCACACTTCCCAATTGCAAAACTTAATACAAAGCAAGAAAGTGTGGTACTGGCATAGAGACAGACATATAGACCAGTGGAATATAACTGAAAGTCTGTAATGAAACCCATACATCTGGGCCGGGCGCGGTGGCTCACGCCTGTAATCCCAGCACTTTGGGAGGCCGAGACGGGCGGATCACGAGGTCAGGAGATCGAGACCATCCTGGCTAACTCGGTGAAACCCTGTCTCTACTAAAAATAAAAAAAAAAAAATCAGCCAGGTGCAGTGGCGGGCACCTGTAGTCCCAGCTACTCAGGAGGCTGAGGCAGGAGAATGGTGTGAACCCGGTAGGCAGATCGCGTCACTGCACTCCAGCCCAGGGAACAGAGTGAGACTCCGTCTCAAAAAAAAAAAAAAAAAAAAAAAACTACGGCCAGCTGATTTATGACAAGTGGCCAAGGCCATTCAATTGAGGGAAAAAAAACATCTCTTTAGGAGATGGTACTGGATAACTGGATATTCACATGCAAAAGAATGACACTGGATGTTATGTATTTTACTACAAAAACAGTAACAAAAATACCATATGTGAGATGTGATGCTCCTTCTGGTGAAGGAGTCCTCTCATGACAGAAGTTGTAGTCATCTTTGAACAGGACGTAAGAGCAGATGTGGTAGATGTGGTGGTCAAGGGATCCCTTCTTTACCTGTTATGATCTCTATTCTTGACTTAATGGCACAGCAACAAGTTTGATGTGTGCCTTCCTGGAATAATGTCCGCCCCCAGCCAGGAAGGCCAATCACCAAGTTCCCCTCACCTGCAGGGAAATGTCATTGATCTGCACATCATCGGTGCTCCACTTCCCAAAGAGCTTGATGTCTGGGGTCTCTGCCACCGCTGGTGCTGCTGTCTCCCACTCGGTCATCCTGGGACAGGGTGATGACAGGAAAAAAACGTCAGAGCTCAGCTAGCATGGAGCAAAGGCGCACTCATTCCCAACTCTGAGGCTAGCCGCCATCTAGTGATGAACTGGGGGGTCGCAAAGGACCAAGAAAGGCCGTGAACGTGTTTTCAAGCACTAGAAAAATTACTCAGCTGTCAGCAAGAAGCATCTGTCTTTCACCTAGAACCCCTGGGCCCAAGACTTGGCAGCCACCAGTCAACAGCTGCTGCACTGGGACCAAGGTATAATGGCTCAGCAGATGCCATACGTCCTCACACTGCATGGGCTGTAATTCAAACCACAATCTCGCGATTTACATGGTCTTTGACCCAAGTCAACGTTCCGTCTCGGACTGTTTCTTTGGCCGTGAGGCGGGACCGTTATATGACATCAAGGACCACGGTAGGTACCGTGTGGCACAATCAACCCAAAGGTTTCGATTCTTGACCGACAGTATGAAGGCTCTAGGGGCTGCTATTACGGGGGGAAAGTTACACAGAGCAAAAGAGGGCATCGTGTCCCTAAGAAATGGAAACTTCCTATCTCAGAGTACAACCGCATAGTTCAAACCAAGTTCCCCAAGCCCCGCTATGGGGAAAAGCTAGAAGCGGCGGAGCACCAGAAAGAAGTCAAGAGTAACTCGGCCCGCGCCCGTTTCTTCTACATTTTCTTTTCCAGAGACAGAAATGAGACCTAATGAGAAAAGGCCCAGGCCGCGGGGCACTATCCCCGAAAGACCATGAACCGTCCCTAGGATCCCCGGCCCCGCGGCGGTCTCACCTGAGAACACAGCCTGAGCGTCTCTGTCACTCGGCGTAGACCACGCGCCGCCCTGGTACAGACAGGAAGAGGCCGCGCGCCGCGGGCCAACACTTTTAACTGGGAAGAAAACTTCCGGGTCAGCACGGGTGACGCTTGCGTAAAAGGCCATCGTGTCCCTATAGACCAATCCGGAGGAAGGTTGTAGAGGAACCTTTTGGGCTAGACGGAATGGGTGCAGCCCAAGCGCATGCGCAGTTGCAGAAGCGGCCCTAGAAGCGTGCCTGGCGGATGTCCGCTACCCCGTAGTTGCCCTGTCTTGTGGGCGCCTGCAAAAGCGCAGAGATTTCCGTGAGACCAACGCAGCCATGTCTAATAAAGAAAAAAGTCTGGCCAGCGCTCGCTTCTTTGTTCAGCTGCTGACCTTAAATCCCACCTGCCGCGGGAGTAGCCAGTTCAGTTCCCTCTGACTCCTCGCCGCGGCCACAGCCGCCTCACCGGCACGCGCCTGATGCGGACCTGGGTTAGCGGAGTGAGGCCCAGTGGTCACCGCCGCCCTCCGCAGGTCCAGGTTGCCGTGCGCATGTGCCTGCCACACGCGGCCCCTCCCCCACCGCCCGGCCCAGGAGCACCACGCTCGCGAGCCCCGGATCCCGAGCCTCTGGCTGGGCCTGTTTCCCTGCTCGACCTTTCCTGCCATACCACGCTGGGTTCCCCCACAGCCTCCGCGCCCTTCACCTCTGCTATGCAGTAATCTCGCCCGTGGAAGAGGGGAGACCGCCGGCACGAGGGCCCGGGGTTGCGGCGGCGGGAGCAGCGCGACCCGTCTCTGGGTGGAGCGCGGAGGTAGCCTACAGGCTACGCGCGGTGTCCGGGAGGAGGGGGTCGGCAGGTCGGGGACCCTTCGTGTTTGTCCTTGTGTCCTCCACGGCCGGGGAGCCCGCGCGAGGGGTTGCAGCCCCCTGCCCTCAGGGCTCACGTCACGAGGCCCTCGTGTCTGCAGACGTGGCTCTCAGGGGTGCCTCTTGAACTGGCCGACCTCTCCAAGGGTCAGAAACGTAGGTTTCTGGCCAAAGGTTGAAAGGAGGGATGGAAGATTTAGCCATGAGATGAAGGAGATTATTCCCGCCAGCACACAATCCCCTGCCCCCCAACTTCTGTCCCTTCCCCCAGCTGCCTCTGAACAGGTAGGGCCTCTGAACAGCTCAGCCCTGGCTGGGAGCAGACAGCGAACCCTCTCACAGGGCCTGAACTATTGCGTGGGATTGAGGATGTGGGCCTTCGACCCGGGGTCCTCATCCGTGCGTGGGGTTGGCACGGTAGTGAGTGCCCCAGCTCACTCTACTCACTTGGCCACCCTGGCAGCCAGTGTGGACAGTCTGCCTGCCCATGACCCCTTCATACCCCTCTGCCTGTCCCAGCCTCTTAGATCTAGGCTCATGAGCAGAACTGGGACTTTCCAGAGGTAGCAACTACTTTGACTGTGTCTCTGCCTGCAGCAGGCATAGACATAACCTTTACGAGGCGACTCCAGGACCACCTGGGGCCGCCCTGTCTCTGATGCCCATCTCTGCCTCCAAGGGGTTATCCCTCCAACTCGGGATCCGAAGGGCCCAGCCACCTGACCCAGGTCCCAGGGCTGGGCCTGCCCCCTACTCCCATCCCTGAGGCGTGCACATAGCAGGTGCCCAGCAGCTGTGTTTCTTCACTGCCTGACTGTAAAGGCTCTTCTTACCCCAATTCTGGGGCGTTTCTGTCCAAATATGCTGAGGACTCCCCACAGTGGGCCCTTGGACTGTGGTCAGTCACAGCTCATGAAAGGACACATGCCCTGAAGCTGGGCTGGTCAAGGGGTCAGACCTCAGCCTCTGGTGAGGGGCACGGCCTACTGCCACCGCCTAATGGCCTTTACCCCTGCCCTCCATCCTGTGCAGAGTAGCAGCCTTGGGGCTCCCACTGGGGTCTGTGTGGTTGCAGGAGGGGCTAGGTGGGCTTCTCCCTGGTCTTGAGTGAGGGGCATGGGGGTGCTGGTTGTAGGGAGGGTGGGAGAAAACAGGCAGCACTCATCAGGACAGTGAGCCCACCCCTCTGAACCTGTTTTCCCCTTCAGTGTGGAAATGAGAATGCAATGAGGCAACGTCAATGTGAACCCTGTGGCCTGGCTACCATGGTCATTTGATAATGGACATCTTTACAGACCTCATGAGAATGACTCATCGTGCTGCAGAGGGCAGGTGCCCTCAAGTGTGGCGTGGTGAATACTGCAGAGCCGAGACTCATGCACCCCCCACCCCCGCCACCAGGTCCAGGGTGGTCCAGCCTCCCCAGGTCCCCAAGGTGCTACGATAAGATGCAGAGTCTGACCTCATAGATCTAGGGCTGCTGGTGCTGTGTTCTTCAGACTGGATGAGGACCCCAGAGACTCTGCAGAGATCTACCTCACTTCTGGTACATTGTGTCCATCCTGAGTGGCCGGCCCCAGACTGGACTCCTCACTTCTGGGAAGGCACCCTCTGGGCCCTGCTGGGCCACCTGCCCACTCTCCAGGCAGTCACTTTGCCTGTCCACCCTACCAGCCACAGTCTTACTGTTAGCTGATCTTACATCCTTGTGATGGCTCCTTTTTTTTTTTTGTGACGGAGTCTCACTCTGTTGCCCAGGCTGGAGTGCAGTGGCGCAATCTTGGCTCACTGCAAGCTCCGCCTCCTGGGTTCATGCCATTCTCCTGCCTCAGCCTCCCGAGTAGCTGGGACTACAGGCGCCCGCCACCACGCCCGGCTATTTTTTTTGTATTTTTAGTAGAGATGGGGTTTCACTGTTAGCCAGGATGGTCTCGATCTCCTAACCTCGTGATCCGCCTGCCTCGGCCTCCCAAAGTGCTGGGATTACAGGTGTGAGCCACCGCACCTGGCCGTGATAGCTCCTTAATGCCTTTACTGGCACCTTGGTTGTCTGTTGAAGTCCCCAGCCTGATTATCAACTCGTTTGGAGTGTGCTGGATTCAGTCCACCCAGTTGCCTGGCAGAGCCAAGCCTGGCCCTGCCGCATCCCAAACTTGATCTTGTGCCCATGGCTGATACTTCATGGGCTACTTTGGCCTAGCCACTGTCTGCTTCTATGGGATGCCCACCTGTAATGGATTGAATGGTGGCCCCCAAAAAGGTAAGTTCATGCCCTAATACCCAGACCCAGCGAATGTGACCTATTGGAAAAAAATCTTTGCAGATGTAATTTAGTCAAGGATCCCAAGATGAGAGCATCTAGGATTAGTAGGGTGGACCCTAAATCCAATGACAAGTGTCCTTATAAGAGACAGAAGAGGGCCGGGCATGGTGGCTCATGCCTGTAATCCCAGCACTTTGGGAGGCCGAGGCGGGCACATCACGAGGTCAGGAGATCGAGACCATCTTGGCTAACACAGTGAAACCCCATCTCTACTAAAAATACAAAAAAATTAGCCAGGCGTGGTGGCGGGCGCTTGTAGTCTCAGCTACTCGGGAGGCTGAAGCAAGAGAATCACTTGAACCTGGGCGGTGGAGGTTGCAGTGAGCCAAGATCGCACCACTTCACTCCAGCCTGGGTGACAGAATGGGACTCCGTCTCACACACACACACACACAAAGATTCTTAAGGAAATGTGGCCGAGTCATCCAGGATGCTTCAGCCACTGGGGTTTGCTTTCGTGGCTCACCAGCACCTTCTCCCCTCCTGGGAACTGCCAACTTCCATTTCTCCTCTGTTCTTCCAGATCCTACAACCAGGATTCTGTGTTGGGGGCCAAGATGCCCTGCTGAAGCCTCTATTCCCTGAGGCTGCTTCGCAGTAAGCTACCCCAGGCCCTCAGGAGAGGTGTGAAATGGAGCAGAGGCCCTTTGCTGAAGACAGCATAGAGCCAGAGGGGGACCTCTGCGGAGGGATGGCCGGTAGCAGGACAACTCTCCTGGGTGCAGGGTCCCAGGCCTACAGACATAGAATGAGCCCCAGACTGGGGACCTGTGGGATTGGTAAAGTTGGACCCCTTGGGTGGGAGCCCCACTGGAGCTTCCTCTCCAGGTCCTTGCCTGATTCAGTCTCATTCCTGAAATCGCTCCTGTGTAACCATTGTCACAAGATGCTTCTCTGGTGCTGCCCCTGCATGAACCCTGCAGGGTCCACTTAGACAACAGGCTTGTGTAGAAGTGAAGAAAGCCTACAGACTGTCACAGCCCCCATAGCCGGTCCCCTCCAGACAAGTCCCCCGCACCTGTGCCTGCCAAGTGGTTAGGCCTTTCATTGGTGCTTCAAACTCCACTCCAGGGCTGCCAGTCACCCCATGCCAGCCCTGCAGGGACAAGGCCTTTGTGTGGTGGCCAGGCCTGTGGTACCACCAGAATCTTCACTCCAGAGGGAGGCCCTTTCTGTGCCTGGGAGTGGGAAGTTCTTCCACATAGGCTCAAGACTCCTCCAGTAGCAGTGCATCCACAGGTGTGAGAAATCCTACTTGTGTCAGGCCGGGTGCAGTGGCTCATGCCTGAATCCCAGCACTTTGTGAGGCCGAGGCGGGTGGATCATGAGGTCAGGAATTCAAGACCAGCCTGGCCAAGATGGTGAAACCCCATCTCTACTAAAAATACAAAAATTAGCCGGGCGAGGTCGTGGGCACCTATAATCCCAGCTACTCGGGAGGCTGAGGCAGAGAACTGCTTGAACCTGGGAGGCGGAAGTTGCAGTGAGCTGAGATCGCGGCCACTGCACTCCAGCCTGGGCAACAGAGCAAGACTGTCTCAAAAAAGAAAAAAAAAAAGAAATCCCACTTGTGTCCCAATTGGGGCCAGTGGCTGAACCTGTCAGACATCTGCACACCCACACAGAGCCAGCAGCTGCACTCCTTTCTCTGTGACAATTGTCAAGGCCTTCCTGTGCAACTCT
This sequence comes from Homo sapiens, assembly GCF_000001405.40. Classification (NCBI taxonomy): domain Eukaryota; kingdom Metazoa; phylum Chordata; class Mammalia; order Primates; family Hominidae; genus Homo; species Homo sapiens. Next base: position 58,382,452 of record NC_000019.10, on the reverse strand, counting down.
CTTCAGCCACCAAGGGACCCACAAGGCGGGCAGCCCTCCAAGTGCCCTTCAGCCTCCTGCTCGCCCTCAATTAGCTTGGTAAGCCCTGAGTTTTGTACTTGGGCAGGGAGATAGACCTCCTGACAAGGCTTTCGATGTGCAGACACCCAAAGGATGGAGAAAGGGAGTGGAACAGTCCCAGCATCCCTGAAGCAGATGCAGTGGAGGCAGAAAGGTGGGGCAAACTGGGTCGTTACATGCAATATATGTGCTGGACTGGCCAACAAAATTAGATGTCCCTATTGAGGGCAGGAGCCACACAATAGATGGGGGCAAGAGCTGGGGGTTACAAATGGGTAGGAGGCGTGACCAGTTCATCCTACCTGGGAGGGCCCGTAGAGTCAGCAACACCCAAAGGGGCTGGGGAGGCTGTGGTTCCCCAATGGGGCCGCACGTGTTAGAATCAACTAGGAGCCGGACTAGGGGCCTGGCGCAGTGGCTCAAGCCTGTACTCCCAGCACTCTGGAAGGCTGAGACACGAGGATCGCTTGAGCCCAGGAGTTCCAGACCAGTCTGGGCAACATATGGAGACCCTATCTCTAAAATAAATAAATAAATAAAAATAAAAAAACTATCCAGGCATGGTGGCTCCCACCTATAGTCCCAGCTATTCGGGAGGGTGAGGTGGGAGGGTCGCTTCAGTACAGGAGTTCGAGACCAGCCTGGGCGACATAGTGGGAGGAGGAAGGGAGGGGGAGAAGGAGGGGGAGGGAGAGAAGAAAGAAAATTAGCCGGGCGTGGTGGCGCGCGCCCCTGTTAACAGCTACTCTGGAGGCTGAAGTAGGAGGATCGCTTGAGCTCAGGAGGTCGAGGCTGCAGTGAACCGTGATGGTGTCACTGCATTAGCCTGGGCGACAGAGCGAGACCCCGTCTCAAAAAAGCAAACCAAAAAAAATACAAAAAAATAGACTTAACTGAGGAGTTTTGACGCGCATATGCTCGGGCCCAGTCCCAGATTCTGATGTTATCGGTCTGACTCGCAACGCGCTCACCAAGACACTTCAGAGCTCCCCAGGTGCTTCCCAGCCCAACTCTCCCACCCGAGGGGAGCCTGCGAACCGCAAGTCGGTTCCGGGTTGGGACCTCTTAGAAATCAGATTGGGAGAGGAGGCTATCAATCATAATCATGACCAGTCACCCGCTTTCACGAGAAGGAATGGGCGGGACCCTACGTCCCCGTCCAGAACGCCGTTTCTTTGGCGACGACTTAGGTCCACGCCCCGCCTTTTAGGTGTAGCCGGCCTCTGTTTCTATGATAACCGAAGCCCAAGCCTCTCCCTACACCGCTTTCTCCGCAGCGTCAAAGCGGGACATGACGGGACTACGTTTCCCAGCAGTCCCCGCGCGGGTTCCCGCCTGCGCTTGCTGTGGCCCGGGTCCCTCAGTGCCGCGGCGGCCCGGAGGTGGCGGGAGGACGGCTCCGCGCTGCATGCGGGGCGGGGACCAGGGACCCGTGCGGGCCGCCTCCAGAGAGTAAGTGGCATTCTGCGCGGACCCGCAACCTCGGCCTGCGAGGCGGGGACCTCCCGGCGCATAGCGCGGCCACCACCCCAGTCCCCTCTCCACCTCCGCGCGCGGGGTCCGGGGCAGAGGCGTGACGCCGCGCACTTCCGGTCCTCGCGCTCCGGGTCCGGACCGGCCACACAGCACTCGCGACCTTGAGTTCCGGGCGGGACGGGCTTCTGTAGTTCTGGCCCCCGCGTTTCCGTGCTGGGTGTCATTGAAGCCCGCGAGGGGAGGCTCCAGGCCCGGGACCCATCCTGGCGGCCTGCGGCTCTCGGAGTCAAGCCCACCTGCTAGCCGAGGCCGACGCCGGCCTCCCTACCGTCTCTGCCCCCGCATCCTGGCCTTTGCACTTTGCTCTTTCCTTGTCTGCAGACCGGTTTCATGCCCCCTCTTCACAGAGGCCCGAAGAATCCGCTGCCTCCCTCCCTGGCGCCCTCGCGCTGCTCCCTGTCTGATGTTCTTCACGTCTTTTTCTCTCTTAAACGGTCTCTTGTTCATTTCTTCTTGTCTGCGGTCCCCTCCTTCACTCACTATTAGAGCAGGATGCAGCACCGTTTGGCCCTGACACAGTGGATGTCCTGCGAGGGTTGAAGCTTGCTAATCCTTGAGGGTGGAGGCACTGTCGGGAGGACAGACACAGAAGGGAGCTGTGCCTGCACTCAGAGGACATTTCTTCTGCTGTACAGTGCATGATGCACTGTTCTTCCCATTGCGTGCACAGTGTAGAATTGGACATAGGGGCTAGAGTCTGTGTCCCCTGGGACTGTCAGTGTGGGTGAGGTTGGTCTGTGGCTCAGAGAGGTGGAGCCACGCTGAGCTGGGCACTAGCCTGTGTCCTCCACACCTCAGAGCCACCAACGTTGACTTCCCTGCACATTCTGTTTTTGTTGTTGTTGTTGTTGTTGTTGTTTTGAGACGGAGTTTCGCTCTTGTTGCCCAGGCTGGAGTGCAGTGGCGCGATCTCGGCTCACTGCAACCTCCGCCTCCCGGGTTCAAGCGATTCTCCAGCCTCAGCCTCCCGAGTAGCTGGGATTACAGGCATGCACCACCGTGCCTGGCGACTTCCCTGCACATTCTCTTGGGCAAATAAGACCTCATTGTGCCGTGTGCAACCTCCATGAGGATGTTGAACCTCACTAGCTTTCCTGTGTGTGCTGTTGCTCTGCAGTTCTGCAGGGCTCAGCCTTGGCCACGTTAACCTCTCAGTCCCCCTAAATTGGTAACTCTGCATCCTGTTCCCAACACCAGAAGCCCTAAGGACAACTAGAAAGGCTGGGCGAGCACCCAGGTGCAAGCATGCTCACCTGGGGCAGGTGGGAGGTCACTGTAAGAACAGCCTGGGAGAGCTGTAATGCACCATCAAGGACGGGCTCCTGGGACCTGGGACCCAGAGCCTCGATTGTGTTTGCTGTGCTCAGCCTCAGATCATGGGTCCATGGCTGGAATGCCACCCACCTACAGGTGGGATAGTTGGACAGTGCATCCTGGGAGCAGATCAAGGAGACGAAGAGACTCGGCCATGGTCCACAGCTCCCACCTGCTGTGTCTGGTGCTGGGAGGCAGGTTCTTGTTGCAGCAGAGGAGCCACCCCTGGGAGCAGGGCATCTGGGGACCAATCCGAAGATGCTGTTAGCACATGGCTAGCAGGTGCCCCTCAGCCCCCACCTCCCACAAGTTCAGGGTCCCTTTCTGCCAAGTGGGGACTGCTGGTTCTTCAGGACAACCCAGCTTCCCCAACCCTCTGTTCAGACACTAAGCAGTCCTCTGACTCCCCATCACTAGGGATCAGGAGAGCCCCTTACAACACACACATTCTGTCGAGGGTGCTAGACCAGTCTCTATTAGTTTCTGTGGCTGCTATAACACACTACCACAAACTGGGCAGTTTAAAACAACAGAAATTTACTCTCACAGTCCTGGAAGCCAGAAGTCTGAAATCAAGGTGTCAGCAGTACTGTGCTCTCTGACGGCTCTGGGTGGGGGTCTTTCCTTGCCTCTTCCGGCTTCTGGCGGCTCCGGGTGTTCCTTGGAGTGTGGCTGCATCACTCCAATATCAGCCTCCATCTTCACATGGACCACTCTTCTCCGTGTCAGAACTCCCTTTGCCTCCTTCATAAGGACACCTGTCATTGGAATTAGGGCACACCCAGGTTATTCAGGGTGATCTCATCACAAGATCCTTAATTATGTCTGCAAAGACCTAATAAGGTCACATTCTGAGAGTTCCGGGGTTAGGACATTGGATATATCTTTTGCAGCCTCCTTCAGTGGAACCTGCCTGATCCTGGGTGACCTCATGTGCCCATCCATTCTTGGGCCTGTCCACTGATTCCATGGTGATCAATTGTCCCTGTTTGGCCAGGCTGTCCCAGGTATGGTCTTTCACCCTGGGAAGTCCTCAGCCCCTAAGTCCCTAGAGTTCTAGGAAGTCATGCTGAGTGCTGGTCCTAGCCCTGCTCATGCCACCAGCTGTTGTACAGACTGTGACATGAAGCCAGCAGCCTTGGAGCTAATAGCAAGGCAGGTGCCCAAGTCCCTCCATCCCTGACATCTGGGTCTCTGTGACCTGGAGTTGTGTCAGAGAGGTCCAGATCCTGGCTGTGGGGCTTCTGGGATGGCACATTGTGAAAGCGGGGCCCCTGACCTCCTGCTGCTCAGCATCCATAGTGGCATGCTCCCTCCTCCGTGTAAAGGGCTGGAGTCCACACTGGTACCCCCATCAGAGTCTATGGCTGGGGAGTTCCCTGCCCTATGTGTGGGGACCTCAGATCCCAGCCTGGCAATGACCCTGGACCAACCCCTTTAGCAGTGGGTCCTGGTGGCTTTCTCAGGAGCTCTTCAGTCAGCCTGGCCTCTCAGAGGTAGACGAGGGAACACTACAAAACCTGCAGTGCTCAGAGACAGAGGCTTGAGAGAGTGTGGGGAGGTGGGCAGGATGGGCCTGCCCCGAATAGCCAGGTCCACGGCCAGCAGATGGACTCGAGAGAGAGAAGCCGACACCTGTGAGAAACGCCAGATACTGTGTGTGGTGGTTGGGAGCCAGCAGGCAGCCTGGGTGTGGACAGAGCTCCATGGTCAGACAGACCAGAATGTGTGTCTCCATGTCTTGTGTCCTGCCCTCAGTCTCCTCCCTCCCGTCACAACTTCCCATGTGGTGGCAGCAGTGCCCTTGGGTGTGTGCCCCTGTAAGGAATTGCCCTGTGCCCTGAATATCATTCCCAGCGAGCATGTTCAGTTTCTAATGAAGAGTTTTCTTTGCTTTCTTTTTTTGAGATGTGGTCTCACTGTGTTGCCCAGGCTGGCGTGCAGTGGTGCAATTGTAGCTCACTGCAGCCTCAATCTCCCAGGCTCAAGCGATCATCCCACCTTAGCTTCCTGACAGCTGGGGCTACAGGCTTGCACCACCACACCTGGATAGTTTTTTTTTTGAGATGGAGTCTCGTTCTGTCACCCAGGCTGGAGTGCAGTGGCAAGATCTCGGCTCACTACAAGCTCCGCCTCCCGGGTTCACACCATTCTCCTGCAGGCGCCCACCACCACACCTGGCTAATTTTTTCTATTTTTTAGTAGAGACGGGATTTCACCATGTTAGCCAGGATGGTCTCAATCTCCTGACCTCGTGATCTGCCCACCTCCCAAAGTGCTGGGATTACTGGTGTGAGCCACTGCGCCCAGCCTTTTTTTTTTTTTTTTGACGGAGTCTCGCTCTGTCGCCCAGGCTGGAGTGCAGTGGCACGATCTTGGCTCACTGCAACCTCCGCCTCCCGGATTCCAGTGATTCTCCTGTCTCAGCCTCCCGAGTATCTGGGATTACAGGTGCGCGCCACCTCGCCTGGCTAATTTTTTGTATTTTTAGTAGAGATGGGGTTTCACCATGTTAGCCAGGCTGGTCTCAATCTCCTGACCTCGTGATCCACCCACCTTGGCCTCCCAAAGTGTTGGGATTACAGGCATGAGTCACCACGTCCGGCCATTTTTTTTTTTTTTTTTAATAGAGACAGGGTTTCACCATACTGCCCAGGCTGGTCTCTAACTCCTGGGCTCAAGCCATCCACCCACCTTGGCTTCACAAAGTGCTGGGATTATAGGCATAAGCCACTACACCCAGCCAAGTTTTCTCTTTGATATGAGTGAATTAACAGACACCTGGTTAAAGAAAATGCTTTTACCCCAGAGCTTAAGCCTCTGATGTGGAAACTATGCTTGGTACTCTGGTATGCAGTTGACTTGGCTGTGTGTGAGAAATTATTTTATTTTTACCTAGAGATTTAAAAGAACTTGTTTTTCTCTTTTTTTTTCCTTTTTTCTTTTCTTTCTTTTTTTTTTTTTTTTTTTTTTTTTTTTTTTTTTTTTGAGACAGAGTCTTGCTCTGTCACCCAGGCTGGAGTGTAGTGGCCTGATTTTGACTTATGGCAAGCTCTGCCTCCCGGGTTCAAGCCATTCTCCTGCCTCAGCCTCCGGAGTAGCTGGGACTACAGGCGCCTGCCACCACACCCGGCTAATTTTTTGTATTTTTTTTAGTAGAGATGGGGTTTCACCGTGTTAGCCAGGATGGTCTCGATCTCTTGACCTCGTGATCCGCCCGCCTCGGCCTCCCAAAGTGCTGGAATTACAGGCGTGAGCCACCGCGCCCGGCCAAGAACTTGTTTTTCTCAATACAAATGTATTGCTTAAAAGAAACCACCTTCGGCCGGGCGCAGTGGCTTGTGCCTGTGATCCCAGCACCTTTGGGAAGCTGAGGCAGGGGGATCACTTGAGGCCAGGAGTTTGAGACCAGCCAGGCCAACAGGGTGAAACCTCATCTCTACTGAAAATACAAAAATTAGCTGGGCGTGGGGGCAGGCACCTGTAATCCCAGCTACTCGCCAGGCTGAGGCAGGAGAATTGCTTGAACCTGGGAGGCAGAGGTTGCAGTGAGCCGAGATTGTGTCACTGCACTCCAGCCTGGGCAACAGAACGAGACTCTGTGTCAAAAAAATAAATAAATAATAAAATAAAAATAAATAAATAAACCACCTTCATCCCATGCAGTGCTTTCGTGTGACCAGGGCTCAAATGACATCCTGGATGTTGCAGGGTGGGCCGACGCCTGACAGGCTGCAGGAAGGAGCACTGTGGCATGGGTGCATTCTGCTTTAAAAAAAAAAAAAAAGATATAAATCAGCTGGGCGAGGTGGCTCACACCTGTAATCCCAGCACTTTGGGAGGCCGAGGCAGGCGGATCATGAGGTCAGGAGTTCGAGACCAGCCTGACCAACATGGTGAAATCCCATCTCCACTAAAAATACAAAAATTAGCCGTTCTTGGTGGCACATGCCTGTAATCCCAGCTACTCAGGAGGCTGAGGCAGGAGACTTGCTTGAACGCGGGAGGCAGAGGTTGCAGTGAGCTGAGATCACACCACTGCACTCCAGCTTGGGTGACAGAGGGAGACTCCGTCTCAAAAAAACAAAACAAAACAAAACAAAACAAAAATATATAAATCATGTAACAAATGAACCATTTTACAATTCAGGTTGGGTTTTAGTATATATATATCTCTAATATATATTTACATTCTATATAAATATATACTCTTAAGTATATATGTAATTTTATATATATATATATATATATATATATATATATATATATATACTTTTTTTTTTTTTTGAGACAGATTCTCGCTCTGTTGCCCAGGCTGGAGTACAGTGTTGTGATCTCGGCTCATTGCAACCTCCTCCTCCCAGGTTCAAGCAATTCTGCCTCAGCCTCTCAAGTAGCTGGGACTACAGGCGCCTGCCACCACACCTGGCTAATTTTCATATTTTTAGTATAGACAGGGTTTCACCATGTTGGCCAGGGTGGTCTCGAACTCCTGACCTCAAGTGATCCACCTGCCTCAGCCTCCTAAAGTGTTGGGATTACAGGCGTGAGCCACTGTGCCCGGCCATGTTTTTGTGTGTGTGTATATATATATATAATTTTTTTTTTTTGAGATGGAGTCTTGCTCAGTCGCCCAGGCTGGAGTGCAGTGGTGCGATCTCGGCTCACTGCAGCCTCCACCTCCCAGGTTCCAGTGATTCTCTGCCTCAGTCTCCCAAGTAGCTGGGACTACAGGAATGTGCCACCACACCCGGCTAATTTTTGTATTTTTAGCAGAGATGGGGTTTCGACATTTTGGCCAGGCTGGTCTCGAACTGGCCTCAAGTAATCTTCCCACCTTCGCCTCCCAAAGTGCGGGGATTACAAGTGTGAACCACCGCCTGGCCAGGTTTTAGTATATTTTTTAGGTTTTAATATATTCACTATGTTGTGCAACCATCACCACTATAATTTCCAGAACATTTTAATTACCCCAAAACTTGATACCCGTAAAGCAATTACTCCCCACTCTTTCCCCTCAGCCCCTGGCGACCACCAGTCTACTTTCTGTCTCTGTGGATTTGCCTATTCTGGATATATCGTATAAATGGAATTATGCAATATGTGGTCTTTTGTGACTCACTGCTTTTACTTTCCATGTTTTCTAAAGTCCATGTTGCAGTATGTGTTAGTACTCATCCATTTTTATGGCTGAATAATATCCCATTCTATGGATATACCACATCTTATTTATGCATTTGTCATTTTATATACTTGGCTTGTTTCTCCATTTTGGCTACTGTGAACAGCGCTGCTCTGAACATCTGTGAGCCAGTGTTTGCTTGAATGCCTGAGTTCATTTCTCTTGGGTGGATACCTAGGGGTGGAATTACTCGGGGTGTGGTAGCTCCATCTTTACCTTTCTGTGGAGCTGAAGGTTTCCACAGCAGCTGCACTATCTATATCCCCACCAGCCAGGTGGGAGTGTGTTCTGTACTTTCCTCTTTTTTGCCATGTCTTCTTGTCCTCAGGGCAAACACTGAGCATGGATGGTGCCAGCTGAGGCCAATCAGCTCACCTGCAGTGGGGGAGCCCCATGATAGAGCTTACTGCCAGCAGCTTTGCCAGTCCTGGGTGTATGAGTGGTGCTTTTTGAAATCTTGTCCCGCCCCCTCCAGCTCATTTACTTTATTCACACAGTGAGTCCGTACTCCACATTCTGGAGAAAGCTTCCCTTGTCTCCCTGTGGGGGCCTGTGAGAACCCCATCCAGACTCAGGGAGCCCAGCTCCCTCTACTCTGGTGTCTGTGGGTTAGATTCATGTCCACCTGCTGTTGGGACGGTCAGTGCCCATGAGCAGGTGAGGCCTGTGGCTGCTTGCCTCCCCATGTGCCCATATCATTCCCCATCCTGTTCTTGGGAAGCTGCATGGTCAAGACCTGAGGGCAGAAGGGACAGAAAGAGAGTAACAAGCTACAACAGCAGCCAACCCCTCACCTGGAAGGAGTAGCCTCAGACTCAGATCCACAAGTGTTTGGGAAGGGGATGTTTGTAACTGAGTGCCCATTCTCTCTCACACCCTTCCACCTGCGTGGGAGGTGACAGGTCACTCTAGGTGCCCTGTGCACAGTCCAGGCCACGGGGCAAAGCATGCTGGTGTTCAGCACCACCCAGATGTCCTCGTACTCAGAGAAGTTCCTTACTTCCAAGCATGCCTCCTTGAGTCCCAGGCTCCAGCTGGCTGATAGGTGGAGAGACCAAGGCATGAAGTGGCAGAGCCCACAGTGGGGGGAGGTGATGGATTTTCTCTAAATTAGACCTGATTAGTGCCACTCTTGAGGGAGGGAGATCGAGGAAGGATCGGCGCCTTTGGGAGTCTGCATCTGGCTCCGGGAAGTCTCAGGAAAACCCAGACCCCGAGTGGCTTTAAGGTGCAGAGGGAGAGGCAGCCTCACCTTTCCTGTCTCACACAGGCCTGGAGGGGACAGGAGGGTTGTGCAGTTATCACGTGTGACAAGTGAGGCTGAGAAACCTCACATCACACCAGAGTCCCCTTGTCCTTACTGTCACCCTGGCTTATTAGCAAATGCCTGGCCTGGGACTGGTACTTGCTGAACCCTTGGCACTGGGCCTTTCTGCTCTCCAGCTCAGGCCAGCAGCCTCCCATACAGCAGAGCAGGAACCGGGCCTGGCTGCTTCAAAGGCCTTTCGTGACCTGCAGAACTTGTCCAACTCTGCATTTTTGTCTTTAACCAGTTTGGTATGTTTCATTTCCACTCAAAAACATTCATCCCCAGAGTGCTGGCCATCAATGCATTTCTGCCATTGTGGTCATGATGTCCAAGAAGGAAATAACCCCCCAGGGGCAACTGGCAGCAGCTTCCTTTGGAGAACTGCAGCCAGTCGCTCTGAAGTGTCCTTGGCTGAAAAGTCAACATGTAGAGTCTTGGTTAAATGCTTCGTGAGTCCTTTTAGTTCCCGGTCAAGTTATTTCAGGCCACCAGGTGGCCCAGGGCAACTGCCTGTTAGAAATCTGCAAAACAGACAGAAAAAGTGACATCAGGTCAAGGACGTCTCACCATGTTGGCAAGGATGGTCTCGATCTCTTGACCTCGTGATCCGCCCCCCCCGGACTCCCCAAGTGTTGGGATTACAGGCATGAGCCACCACACCCGGCCCTCTGAGACATTTAATAAATGGATATCGGCTGGGTGCGGTGACTCACGCCTATAATCCCAGCACTTGGGGAGGCCGAGACGGGTGGATCACCTGAAGTCAGGAGTTCAAGACCAGCCCCGTGAACATGGTGAAACCCCGGCTCTACTAAGAAAAAAATACAAAATTAGCCGGGCTTGGTGGTGAATGCCTATAATCCCAGCTACTCAGGAGGCTTAGGCAGGAGAATTGCTTGAACCCAGGAGGCGGAGGTTGCGGTGAGCTGAGATTGTGCCACTTCATTCCAGCCTGGGCAACAAGAGTGAAACCCTGTCTCTAAATAAATAAAAATAAACAAACAAACAAACAAATAAATAAAGGGATATCTGGCCAGGTACGGTGGCTCACGCCTGTAATCCCAGCGCTTTGGGAGGCCGAGGTGGGCAGATCACAAGGTCAGGAGTTCAAGACCAGCCTGGCCAGCATGGTGAAACCCCATCTCTACTAAAAATACAAAAAATTAGCCAGACATGGTGGCAGGCACCTGTAATCCCAGCTACTCAGGAGGCTGAGGCAGGAGAATTGCTTGAACCCAGCAGGCGGAGGTTGCAGTGAGCTGAGATGGCGCCACTGCACTGCAGCCTGGGTGACAGAGAGAGCCTCTGTCTCAAAAAACACCAAAATAAATAAAATAAAATAAGAGGATATCTGCCTTGCACAGAATAGGGAACACAGGACAAAAGGAGAAGAATCTGAGCTCCTGTGCCGAGTGAAGCAGTGATTTACGAGGGTGCCACAAGTGTGTCCATCTCACGCTCTGCATATGATGTTAGCCATCCGGGATTCAGAGTCTAAAGGCTGTGCTGGACAGATCCATCTTTGTTCTGGAAACAATGAGATCTAGGGAGGGGACAGGAGGATTGTGCACTTATCACGTGTGAGGCTGAGAAACCTCACATCACATCACAATGAGGAAAATATTTATTTATTTATTTATTTTTGAGACGGAGTCTCGCTCTGTCGCCCAGGCTGGAGGGCAGTGGCCCAATCCCAGCTTACTGCATCCTCCACCTCACAGGTTCAAGTGATTCTCCTGCCTTAGCCTCCTGAGTAGCTGGGACTACAGGCATGCATCACCATGCCCGGCAATTTTTTTTTTTTTTTTTTTGAGACAGAGTCTCGTTCTGTCGCCCAGGCTGGAGTGCAGTGGCGTGATCTCGGCTCACTGCAAGCTCCGCCTCCCGGGTTCACACCAGTCTCCTGCCGCAGCCTCCCGAGTAGCTGGGACTACAGGCGCCCGCCACCACGCCCAGCTAATTTTTTGTATTTTTAGTAGAGACGGGGTTTCACCGTGTTAGCCAGGATGGTATCGATCTCCTGACCTCGTGATCTGCCCACCTAGGCCTCCCAAAGTGCTGGGATTACAGGCGTGAGCCACCGCGCCCGGCTCCCCCCCCCCGGCCTTCACCCCTCCCTCCCTCTCTCTCTCTTTTCTTTTTTTCCTTTTCTTTTTTTGAAAGAGTTTCACTTTTGTTGCCCAGGCTGGAGTGCAATGGTGCGATCTCGGCTAACTGCAACCTCCATCTCCCGGGTTCAAGTGATTCTCTTGCTTTAGCCTCCTGAGTAGCTGGGATTACAGGCACGCACCACCATGCCTGGCTAATTTTGTATTTTTAGTAGAGACGGGGTTTCTCTATGTTGGTCAGGCTGGTCTCAAACTCCTGACCTCAGGTGATCCATCTGCCTCGGCCTCCCAAAGTGCTGGGATTACAGGCGTGAGCTACCGTGCCCGGCCGTCCTTTGTTTTCACTTGCTATTCAATTGCTTGCTTAGGAGATGAATATTTATATATGCACGTGTGTGTATCTCAGCAAAGTCCACTGTTGTAAGCAGAATAATGGCCCCCTGAAAGATCTGCACGTCCTGTTTCCTAGAACCTCTGACTATGTTACTTCACAAGGCAAAAGAACTGAGTGTGATGAAGTTTTGGATCTTGAGATGGGGAGATTCCTGGATTATGTGTGGTTGGCCTAGTGTGATCACAAGAGGCAGAAGGGTCAGAATCCTATAAGGAGTATAAGGAGATTTGACAACAAACCCAGAAAGAGAGAGATGAACATGTCTTACTGCTGGCTTGAAGATGGAAGAAAGAAAAGTAGGTGGCACCTAGAAGCTGGAAATGGTCAGCAAACGTCCTCCCCAAGAGCTTCTGGAAGGAACCCACACTACTGAAACCTTCACTTAGGACTTACGACCTCCAGAACTCTGAGATAACAAGTTTGCACTGTCTCAAGCCACTATGGGGTGGCAGTTTGTTAAAGCAGCTTTAACAATAGATAACTAATACAGCCACAGTGTAATTTTAAAATAGTAATAGCAGGCGCCAGGCGTTGCTAATGTTCACACTTGCTTGAATGATCTGGGCTGCCTGTCTCCCTACTCAGCTGGTTATACTTACCGTTATCATACCCATTTTGTAGATGAGGCTGCCAGCCTTGAGAGCACCACCGTTACCTGGTTGAAGAGGGGAGGGGAAGTCCAGCATTGGCCTCTGCAGCGTGGATCTCCCGGCCAGGCTCTCAGCTGTCAGGTGAGTCTCACCTCACACCTCTCAGAAGACATGGACAATGGCAGTGAATGGAGCCAGGAGGACCCGGAGTGTCGGCTTGCCACTGAGAAACGGAGGGCAGGAGTAAGTGAGATTTTGGGGAGCTGGCAGCTGAGCAACGGGGGAGTCCCTGTTGCTTGGGGAAGGGGGACCAGGGAGGGCCTTAGCCAGGGGCACAGTGTTTTAGGAGCTAGTGTTGGGGAGGAACGGTGATGGCGGGCAGGCAGAGCCTGGGAAGCTGTTCTCTGGGGTCTGGGTGGTGACAATTTGAAGAGGGGCAGGACGGGCTGCCTATGTCACTCCATTTACCCTTTCGCATCTGCAGAGAGCTGGGGGCCGCCCAGTAGGTGCCAGCTGTGGGGTGGTCGCTCGTTGGCCCAGTTCTCCACTTCTCTCCTCCTGGGAACCGCCAACCTCCATTTCTTCTCTGCTCTTCCAGATCCTACAACCAGAACTCTGCGCCCCAGGATGGAGGCTCCAGCCCAGAAGGCTGGGCAGGGAGGACTCCCCAAGGCCGATGCCCAGGGTGCCTCCGGGGCCCGGGAGAAGAGGCCCGAGGAGCCGAGGCCCCTCGAAGAGGACCGAGCTGGGAGCCGCCCCACTCAAAAGGGGGACCTGCGTGGAGCGGCGGGCGGTAGGACGACTCCCCCAGGCGGGGGCTCCCGGGGCTGCAGCCTCGGGGTGAGCCCCGGCCCGGGGACCCGGCACAGCGCCGGGACCAGACCCCTCGTGCGGGAGCCGTGCGGCCCCACCTCTTCTCAGAACCCTGAGCTGGTTATCCCCGAGGGGCTGCAAGCCCGGGAGGGCCCCTGTAGGAGCCCAGCGCGTGGCGGGGACTGCAGCAGGAACTCCTGCCTGGCGTGGCATCGCGGGGCGCCCGCTGGGGAGACGCCACCCGTGTGTGACCCCTGTCCGGAGCGGATCCAGAACCACCCCCGGACTCAACTGTGTGAGGTCCACACGGACTGTTGGCCGTGCCAACCAGGGACTGGCGCTCCGACCTGCCCGAGGACCCCAAAGCCGACCTCCCGCGGGAGGAACCCCTTGGTGGAGCAGCCCCGGGCTTGCGCGTGCGGCGAGGCCTTTGCGTGGAGGGCCCTGCGGATCCCCCAGGAGAGGCTGCAGGCGACGGAGGAGCCCCGTCCGTGTGCCCGGTGCGGGAAGCGCTTCCGCCCCAACCAGCAGCAGCAGGCGGGCAAGAGTCCCCCAGTGTGTCCTGAGTGCGGCCAAACCTCGCGACCTCGCCCTATTGTCCCCGACCCCCCGGCCCAGCGACTGTACGCTTGCGACGAGTGCGGCAAGGCCTTCACGCGCACCTCCAGCCTGCTGCAGCACCAGCGCATCCACACGGGCGAGCGGCCCTACGAGTGCGCCGAGTGCGGCAAGGCCTTCGTGCGCTGCTCCGGCCTGTACCGCCACCAGAAGACGCACTCGGCCGAGCGCCACCGGCGTGGCCCCGTCCTGGCGCGGCGCGCCTTCCGGCTGGGGTGCCCGCCCTGCGGGGACTACAGCGAGCGGAGTCCCCGACGGGGGTCGGGAGCCGGGGAGAAGCCGTACGAGTGCGCCGACTGCGCCAAGGCCTTCGGGCTGTTCTCGCACCTCGTGGAGCACCGGCGCGTGCACACCGGCGAGAAGCCCTACGCGTGCCCCGAGTGCGGCAAGGCCTTCAACCAGCGCTCGAACCTGAGCCGGCACCAGCGCACTCACAGCAGCGCCAAGCCCTACGCGTGCCCACTGTGCGAAAAGGCCTTCAAGGGCCGCTCGGGCCTGGTGCAACACCAGCGCGCGCACACCGGCGAGCGGCCCTATGGCTGCTCCGAGTGCGGAAAGACCTTCCGCGGCTGCTCCGAGCTGCGCCAGCACGAGCGCCTGCACTCGGGCGAGAAGCCCTACATCTGCCGCGACTGCGGCAAGGCCTTCGTGCGCAACTGCAGCCTGGTGCGCCACCTGCGCACGCACACGGGCGAGCGGCCCTACGCGTGCGGAGATTGCGGCCGCGCCTTCAGCCAACGCTCCAACCTCAACGAGCACCGGAAGCGGCACGGGGGCCGCGCCGCGCCTTGACTGCAGGGAGCCGAGAGTCGACGCGTCGCCCAAGCGAACCCTGCGTCGAGGAGGGGCCTTTGTCCCGGAAAACCCACCAACGTTTGTAACTTTGATTAAACTTCACTTTGTACACATGGCGTCCACAGGCTTCCCCTAACTCGAGTTTTATTTGACCTTTTCTAACCGGGCGCACAGCATCCGGTTGCAGGCATAAGCAGTAATAATCTCGAGTGGGCGCTGATACGGCCCAGACGCTGTGTCCACGATCTCTAGGGTCTTTTTCTCCGCAGAGCCGCGGAGCGTGTTACTGGGCTCTCTGGTATGCGAGGAAACGGGGCAAAGTGACTCTCCTGAGGCACGAACATAAGACGATGGAGGCAGGATTCGAACCTAGGGTCTCTCATATCCCTTAGGCAGCTTCAGGAGCCTTGGGACCGCGGGGTATTTGCACACCCTCTACCGTAGCCGGCCTGGCACAGCTCGTAACCCTCCAGAGGTGAGACCTCGGGGCAGGCTTCTGCCTGTCCCGGCCCTGGCAGCTCGGTAGTCGCGGCAGAAAGGGTTCCCTTTGGTGAAGTGTGAAGCCCTGGCAAGCTTGCCCTGGTCTGACTGACGAGCGGGGTCGCCTTTATTGTCGCCCCCCGCTGGACTCCAGACTGAACCGCATCTCCCCAAGCCTCCGCGGTGTGAGTGGAAGTGGGTGCCTGAGGTGTCGGCACAACGTCCCCAGCACCGCAGAGGTGAGAGTCCACCGGGATCTACCACAGCATGCCTCTTCCCAGCTATGTGAGTGGCTGTCCATGGCTATGATTCCAGTTTCTCCCTGCATTTCATCCACACTGGTTCCAGACAGACCCAAGGCTCCCACTCCAGAGGCCGAATGGGGCAGGCTGACTAGGGACATATCTGTGTGGAGCACCTTGCCCTTTGGCTGTGGTTTCCTCCTCACACCAGCTGGGAGGGCCGGGAGGATGCTTGCACGTGGCTCAGCTAGAGCCCTGGAGAGGGCAGAGCCCTGGGCCCTCAGGGCCTAGACCTTGTTGCTTCCAATAGGGTTCCCCAAGTGTGGCCTGGGACCCCGAACAGAAGAATCCTAAGTGGCCCCTGCAGCCACACTGGGGACCGCATGTGATGGTCACTGACATTTACCACACTCTGTGGCCCTCATGCTACTGTGCAGATGGGCACCGTTTACGCCCCAGACCTTGGTGACCCTCCATGGAGTACCTCTTATTTGCCCTTGCCAAGGTCAGACCAGGGAAAGCGTCCCTGAAGGGTAGATGCTCAGAGCTTCCAGTGGGGCAGCCAAAGGGCAGGGCCTGAAACCAGCCTCAGAGGCCCCTGGGGAATCCACCCAGGAGAAACTCACCTCACAGTGTCCTCTGTCCTCTGCACCCCCCAAAAGGCTCAGGTCTTGGTTAATCCAGGACTCACCCACCAGGGGCTTAAATCCCTCTGTTGTGGGGAAAGCATCCTGATGAGGGAGGCCCTGCCCATGGTTCCTCCTACCTGGTAGTCTCCTTGATGCTCTCCCCAGCCTCCAGGAGAGGGAGAGCAGTGCTTGCCCTGCCCCTAGTCCCCCAGGACTCTTCTCACACAATTTCCCCAAGCAGCAGCCCTCCTGGTGTTCTGTCGCTTTTATGTTCTGCTCAGTCAGGTGTGGCCAGAAGAGGAGACACAGGACAAGCTCAGGAAAACAAAGTTCATCATGCTCACAGATCCTGGAAACAGGAGGCACGGCCCACAAGGAAGGACACATGAGAAAAGCACCAGCATCTGTCAGAGGCAGCAGGGGCAGGACCAAGGGGGAGCTCTAAGCCAGAGCCTTTACTGGGGTTTCCAAGGGAAAAGCAAGGCAGAGCAGAGCCTACAGCACAGGACTGGCTAGCTGGAGTAATTCCTGTGGGCTTTCAGCTGTGGGAGTGTTCCCCAGCTGCTTGGCTCCTGTTCCGGGGATGATTAAGACAGAGGAATACTGTCTCCTGCGGTGTGTGGACCAGGTAGAGGGGTGAGGCTCTGGATTGGTTAGTTTGCACATCAAGGGCATGCTCCAGGCCAAGCGTGGTGGCTCAGGCCTGTAATCCCAGTGCTTTGGGAGGCTGAGTTGGGCGGATGGCTTGAGCTCAGGAGTTCCAGAACAGCCTGGGCAACATGGCAAAACCCCGTTTCTACTAAAAATACAAAAATTAGCCGGGCATGGTGGCATGTGCCTGTAATCCCAGCTACTTGGGAGGCTGAGGCACAAGAATCCCTTGAACCTGGGAGGCAGAGGTTGCAATGAGCTGAGATCGCGCCGCTGCACTCCAGCCTAGGTGAGAGAGCAAGACTTTCTCAAAAATAAATAAATAAATAAATAAACATTTATCATCGCAAACATTTTCTGGGGGTGGGGAATTCGTGACCAGCTTGGCCTGTGGTTCTGGCTCAAGGCCTCTCACGAGGTTGAAGTCAACATGGCAGCCAAGACTGCAATCATCTGAAGGCCCCACTGGGCTTGGAGTATGCACTGCTCCACTGCCTCTCCACAGGACTGCAGACCTGAGTTTCCTCATGTCCGGGCAGCTGAATTCTTCCAGCATGGGTGATCCAAGACTACAGGCGCACACCACCACGCCTGGCTAATTTTTGTATTTTTGGTAGAGACAGGGTTTCACCATGTTGGCTAGGATGGTCTCGATCTCTTGACCTCGTGATCCCCCCGCCTCAGCCTCCCAAGTGTTGGGATTACAGGCGTGAGCCACTGCGCCCAGGCCTCCCCCCCTTTTTTTTTTCTTGAGACGGAGTCTCGCTCTGTTGCCCAGGTTGGAGTGCAGTGGCATGATCTCAGCTCACTGCAACCTCTGCCTCCCAGGTTCATGCGATTCTCCTGCCTCAGTCTCCCAAGTAGCTGGGATTACAGGTATGTACCACACACGGCTAATTTTTGTATTTTTAGTAAAGACGGGGTTTCACCATGTTGGTCAGGCTGGTCTCGAACTCCTGACCTCAGGTGATCCGCCCACCTCCACCTCCCAAATTGCTGGGATTACAGGCCTGAGCCACCCCACCCGGCCAATAAAAATTTTTTTAAAGCTAAAATTGACTCTCATGCAAATAAGATAAAATGAACATATGTTAAATATTTTAACTTAATGAGAGAAATAGTAAGATGTTACCAGTTACTTGATGATGGAGGAAAGGACGAAAAGCCAAGGAATACATGGAATGCAGCTCTAGGTGCTGAAAAAGGCAAGGAAAGGTTCTACGTTAGAGCTTCCAGAGGGAGCTCAGCCCTGTCAACATCTTGTTTCAGCTCAGTCATATCGATGTTAGACTTCTGGTCCCCAGAACTGGGCGGGAATATATTTCTGCTGTTTTAAGCCACCAAATTTGTGGTAATTTGCTGCATAACCACAGGAAACTAACACACCATCCCTCAGTTCTGCTTTTCTGTATGGACTCCATTCTCTTAACAGATTCATCCTTCAGCGGGGCAAGAAGGCTGCAGCTGCCCCAGCTGACAGATGCTCACAGCCTCAGGTTCAAAGCAGATAGAGGCCCTAACAGTTCAGAGAGAAGTCCCACGATGCTCACAGGTCCAAAGTGACCACTGCCAGGGCCAGAGGGATGGACTGCCCTGTGCTGTGGACCTGGGCCATGTACCCACACCTGCCCAAACCACCTGGGCTGAGGTGAGAGCTCCCTAGTACAAATTGGGAAAAATTGGTACAAAAAGAGCTCGTGGAGGCCGGGTGCAGTGGCTCGGGTCTGTAATCCTAGCACTTTGGGAGGCCAAGGTGGGAGGATCACTTGAGCCCAGAAGTTCAAGACCAGCCTGGGCCATATAGCGAGACCCCGTCTCTAGCTATTCATTTATTTTAGCTTACAGCATCTGGTCTATGTTGTTTTTTGAGACGGAGTCTTGCTCTGTCACCCAGGCTGGAGTGTGCAGTGGCACGACCTCAGCTCACTGTAACTTCTGCCTCCCCGGTTCAAGCGATTCTCCTGCCTCAGCCTCCCGAGTAGCTGGGATTATAGGCACACGCCAACAAGCCTAATTTTTGTATTTTCAGTAGAGACGGGGTTTCACCATGTTGGTCAGGCTGGTCTCGAACTCCTGACCTCGTGATCTGCCCGCCTCGGCCTCCCAAAGTTCTGGGATTACAGGCGTGAGCCACCGCGCCCGGTTTATTTATTTATTTTAGCCAACAGCACTCGGTGTTCCCAGACGGTCTCCCAAGTACTAACCAGGCCCGACCCTGCTTAGCTTCTGAGATCCCGACTCAATTTTTTTTTTTTTTTTTTGAGACGGAGTCTCGTTCTGTCGCCCCAGGCTGGAGTGCAGTGTCGCGATCTCGGCTCACTGCAAGCTCCGCCTCCCAGGTTCAAGCGATTCTCCTGCCTCAGCCTCCCGAGTAGCTGGGACTACAGGCGCCCGCCACCACGCCCGGCTAATTTTTTGTATTTTTAGTAGAGACGGGGTTTCTCCGTGTTAGCCAGGATGGTCTCGATCTCCTGACCTCGTGATCCGCCCGCCTCGACCTCCCAAAGTGCTGGGATTACAGGCGTGAGTCACCGCGCCCGGCCCCCGACTCTATTTTAAAAACCGCGTGGATTCCAGCTTGGTGGGTGTTCCACA
Source organism: Homo sapiens (assembly GCF_000001405.40). NCBI lineage: Eukaryota > Metazoa > Chordata > Mammalia > Primates > Hominidae > Homo > Homo sapiens. The sequence goes on along the minus strand of NC_000019.10, from coordinate 58,363,136 downwards.
GCGCGTGGGTGTGAGACGCAGCTCAGTGGCGTCAACTCAGCAAGGTTCCAGGGTGGTAAAGACGGCCTGGGGCCGGAGGAGGACCGCCAGGGAGAAGCTACGTTGGCCCGACTTGCGTCCGCGACCCGGGCAGCCCCAGGCGCCTGTGTAGCTGTTGGGTGTGTGCCGCAGAGGCTGGCCGGGTGCAGGAAGGGGCGGAGCGCATCCATGGCAACGCAGGACGCCCGAGTAGCTTGGCTGTGGCGCCGTCCCCATGGGAACCAGAAGGCGCGCGCCCGCAGCCGCGGCATAGTTACGCAGGCGCAGTGGGGAGAAACGCGACGCCTTGGGCCGCTCTGCCGAATGCAACCGCGCCCCCAGGAGACCCGGTGCCCGCCCTCCTACCATTCCACGCGGCTCGAGCCCGCGTGCGGGCCTCTTTCAGGCCGCTCCTAGTGGACGCAGAGGCGGGCCGAGGACGGTGAGTGACGCCGACGGACACCCTCGGCCAGGCACAGATCCGCCCTCCGGCTCCAACCACTCCCGCCGCGCGGGGCAGGACGGGCCTCGGCCCTGAGCTGGGCCCTCTGGGACCACCGAGAGATAGGCCTCCGCGCCGTCCAGAGCGGCCCGGAAGTGGCCCTGCACGGGCCAGAGGCGACCGTGGTCGGGACGGAAATGGCTCCCGTTTGCTGTTCTCTCGGTGAACGCGAGCCTTATGGCGATCAGTTCTGTGGCATCGTTCCTCCTGCTCGTTTATTCTTTCACTCATTCACTCATGCCCTGCCGCGCCATCATTTCTTCCCACATTCATTTATTCGTTCATCAGTCCCCAGCCCCGGGTAGTTTCGGAGCTCACCAGGCTGGGCTCGCCTCCCAGCCTCCGGAGCTGCCCGCACAGGCCTCGCGCCACCTGGCCGCAGCTTCCTCCCCTTTATCCACTCCGTATTTGTTTGTCCAGCCTAGGCCTTGGGGGTTGTGGGGGAGACACAAGTACCCGTGACTGGTCGGACAAGTGCCCGTTGTTGGGGGCGTGGGCGCTGGGACTGACGCGGGAGGTGGCTCTGATCATGTCGAGGTGAGGAGGAGGCGTTGAGGCTCAGAAAGGGCACGCAGCGTGGACGTGAGGACGTCGGGGAGGCTGGAGCAGTGAGGCCGACAGGAAGGACCTTACGGGGCTCACATGCTATCCCACGACGAGGACGGACTCAGGACGGCAGCCCTGATAGATGCGGCTGGGGGCTGGCGGGTCGGGGTCGCACACCACAGGATGGAGGGGCAGCGGTGCCTGGCTCCGCCTTAAGAAACATGGGCCCTTGGGGGACCCGGATTTCTGATACTTCAATACACAAATATGGATTTTTATTGAAATCAGATGTCGTTTTTTTAAAATTTAACTTTTGATTTGAGGTAATTATAAATTCACATGCAGTAACAAGTAATGCATACCCTATGTACGCTTTACCCAATTCCCCTAAAGGTGGCATCTTGAAAAACTAGAGGCCAGGTGCGGTGGCTCATGTCTGTAATCCCAGCACTTTGGGAGGCCAAGGCGGGTGGATCCCTTGAGCTCAGGAGTTAAAGACCAGCCTGAGCAACATGGTGAAACCCCATCTGTACTGAAAACACAAAAATTAGGCGGGTGTGGAGGCTGGTGCCTGTAATCCCAGCTACTCGGGAGTCTCAGGCAGGAGAATCGCTTGTACCCAGGAGGCGGAGGTCGCGGTGAGCCCACATCACGCCACTGCACTCCAACCTGGGCAACAGAGCGAGACTCTGTCTCAAAAAAAGAGAAGAGAAAGAAAAACTAGAGTACAATATCACAACTGAGATGCAGAATATTTCCATCACGAAGGATCCCCGTGTTGCCCTTACAGAGCCGCATACCCTTCCCTCCTACCTCTGCTCCCCGTTAACCTCTTTTTGTCAACTAGTAATCTGTTCTCATTTCTACCATTTTGTCATTTTACGAATGTTGCATAGGCTGGGCGAGGTGTCTCGCGCCTGTAATACTAGCACTTTGGGAGGCCGAGGCGGGTGGACCATCTGAGGTCAAGAGTTCAGGACCGGCCCACCGGCCGGGTGCCGTGGCTCACGCCTGTAATCCCAGCACTTTGGGAGGCTGAGGCGGGCGGATCACGAGGTCAGGAGATCGAGACCATCCTGGCTAACACGGTGAAACCCCGGCTCTACCAAAAATATAAAAAAATTAGCCGGGCATGGTGGCAGGCGCCTGTAGTCCCAGCTACTTGGGAGGCTGAGGCAGGAGAATGGTATGAACCCGGGAGGCAGAGCTTGCAGTGAGCCAGGATAGCGCCACTGGACTCCAGCCTGGGCGACAGAGCAAGACTCTTCTCAAAAAAAAAAAAAAAAAAAAAAAAAAAAAAAAAGAGTTCGGGACCAGCCTGGCCAACATGGTGAAACCCCATCTCTACTAAAAAATAAAATAAAATAAAATAAAATAAGCCAGGCCTGATGGCAGGCATCTGTAATCCCAGCTACTGGGGAGGCTGAGGCAGGAGAATCGCTTGAATCCTGGGGGCAGAGGTTGCAGTGAGCCGAGATTGCGCCACTTCATTCCAGCCTGGGTGAAAGAGCGAAACTCCGTCTCAAAAATAGAAAAATAAAAAATAAAAAAATTAGCTGGGTATGGTGGCACGCACTTGATGTCCCAGCTCCTTCGGAGGCTGAGGTGGGAAGATGGCTTGAGCCTGGGAGATGAGATTGCACCACTGCACCCTAGCCTGGATGACAGAGCCAGACCCTGTCAAAAGAAAAAAAAAAAGAAAAAGAAAAAGAAATGGAGTCATACAGTTTTTAAGCTTTTGGGATTGGGTGGTAACTTTTTTAAAAAACATAAATACCATACAATTCATCCTTTTAAAGTGTGTAATTCAGTGGTTTTTGGTATATTCAGTGTTGCACAGTCATCACCACTAATTCCAGAATATTTTCATCACTCCCACGGCTGTATCTCCCATTTCTCTCTTCCCTGCAGATCCTGGCAACCGCTGATCTACTTTCTGTCTCTTACAGACTTATCTGTTCTGGACATTTCACATAAATGGAATAACATAATATGAAGTCTTTTGTGTCTGAATTTTTTCATTTACACTTAGCATAATATTTTCAAGATTCATCCATCTTGTAGTATGTATCAGTATTTATTCTCTTTTTTTTTTTTTTGAGACAGAGTCTCACTTTGTCACCCAGGCTGGAGTGCAGTGGCGCGATCTCGGCTCACTGCAACCTCCACCTCCCGGGTTCAAGCAGTTCTCTGCCTCAGCCTCCCGAGTAGCTGGGATTACAGGCGCCTGCCACCACGCCTGGCTAATTTTTGTATTTTTAGTAGAGACGGGGTTTCACCATGTTGGCCAGGCTGGTCTTGGAATTGCTGACCTCGTGATCCACCCACCTCGGCCTCCCAAAGTGCTAGGACTACAGCCGTCAGCCACCGCACTTGGCCTAACTTAAATTTTTAAAACACTTCCTGGAGGGGACAAACAGGACCCATCTGCTGGTCTGACTCTGGGTGTCCTGTTCACAGTCTCTGTCTTAGTTGTTCTGTGTGTGGGATGAAGGGTGCCAAGGAGACAGGGCAGGGCAGGGACCCTCAAGAAAAGCGGGGAGGCGGGGGGAAGGGATGGTACAAGCAGCCATGGCACCTCAGTGTGTCCCTCAGGCACCTGGACACACAGGTGGGCAAAGATGCTGACACTGGGGGCCAGAAACGCCGATACCCCCATTCTTCCATTTTTACTCAGTCTCAGGTGGTCCCAAGGAGGGGACCTTCGTGGCCTTGCTGTGCTCACAGGCTCACCTTTGTGTTTCCAGCTGCAGAGAAAGTACCCTGGGCCATGCAGCTGCACTCCCCTCCCAGGAAAGGGGCAGGATGGCTGCCCAGATGAGTGAGGCATCAGCCCTGGCCCCCCAGGTCTTCCCGAGTCCACTGGAACTGATGGTGGGTGAGCCCAGCTCCAAGAGCCCTGGCCAGTGCTTCTGGGGGTTCTGCTATGAGAAGGCAGCAGGGCCCCGAGGGGCCCTGGCTCAGCTGCGTGAGCTGTGTTGCCAGTGGCTGATGCCTGAGGCCTGCTCCAAGGAGCAGATGCTGGAGCTCTTGGTGCTGGAGCAGTTATTGGGCACACTGCTCCCAGAGATCCAGGCCTACACGCAGGAGCAGTGGCTAGGCAGCCCTGAGGAGGCCACTGCCCTGGCAGAGCGGCTACAGCAGGAGTCAGCTGGGCCAGGACTCCAGATGAGTGGGGGCTGGTCTGGGGGCTGGGTGTGCTTCCCCTGCTCACGACCCCAGCTGAGCCAGCACTGGGGCCAGTCGTGGGTTGGTGGCTGAGAGGGCCTGGGGGCTGTGGGAAAGTGATGGTGACAGGTGGGAGTTTGGTGGTCTTGGCTTGGACGGCAGAGTCAGAGATCTCCAGTCCACACCTGTGTGCTCCGCATTGTGTCCTGAGAACTGAAGGTGCAGAGAAGGGTGGGTCATGCCACCGCATGCCCCTTGTTTTCTCAGATCTGCTAGGCTGAACACCTCACCCTGCCCTGCTGCCTTCCTGTCCCCAGGTGCCAGCCCCCAGGCCCCAAGAGGAGCTGGTCCCCAGGACAGAGGAGGGAGAGGAGCAAGAGGCTCCCCTGGGCCCCTTCCAGGCCCCACCTCCAGGTATGGCACCATCTACACACTTGTCCCTGCCCTGCCTTGGCAGCGGGGCTGGAGACTACACAAGGATGATAAGGTGCTCAGGGCAAATGAGGATGGGTTTTGCTCGCTGTAGAGACTTCGCTGTGGGAAGGATCGGCTGGACAGGCAGGCATGGCCTTAGGACCAAGGAGGCCCTCCCACCCTTGGCCTCTCTCTCTCTCAGGGATCTGGGCTGCACAGCCACCCCATGCCTTGGACCACCTGGTCTGACCTGCACAGAGGCCTGGTGTGGACATTGCCTGGGTAACAGCCACTGAGATCCTCCAGCCTGGACATGCTGCCCATACTGTGTGGAGGGGACTACCCAGGGATCCGGCCAGGGTGGAGTGGGTGAGGCAGACATAGCTGTGTTTGGGTCAGGCGGTGTCCTCCAGCCTTCAGGAATGGAGACGGGTCCATCGTGTTCCTCACAAACTGGAGTCTCCACCTTCTTGACACTTGGGGCCCCACCCTGTGAAGCAAGGAGAGGAGAGTGGTGCCACAGTAGGGCCAGTGCAGGTGCGTGGGCAACTTTGAGTCCTTCTGCGATGCTGGCGCCCCCTCCCCTCCTGCTGGGCCGGGCCGGGTGTGGGGATGTGCACGTGGCCCTGTCAGGCAGGCCCAGAGTGCTGGCCCATCCCCCGAGTGTCTAGCCCGCCTGCTGGCCTTCCTGCTCCAGGCTCCAGAGGGCATTGGGCATCCAGGGACCTGGAGGAGAAGAGTGGGGGATGACAGCCCACCCACCGTCGTGTCCCCCTCAGGCCCTCTGTCTGGTGTTCTTTGTATTCTCTAAGGTACTTGCCTTTTCTCTCCTGTTTTAGGTCACAGGCGCGAGATGGAGTCCCCAAGAGGGTGGACCCTGCAGGTGGCCCCAGAGGAAGGCCAGGTCCTCTGCAATGTGAAGACTGCCACGAGGGGCCTCTCTGAGGGGGCTGTGTCTGGAGGCTGGGGGGCCTGGGAAAACTCCACGGAGGTTCCGAGGGAGGCAGGGGACGGCCAGCGGCAGCAAGCCACACTGGGGGCGGCGGACGAACAGGGAGGCCCCGGCAGGGAGCTGGGCCCCGCAGACGGTGGGCGGGACGGGGCTGGGCCCAGGAGCGAGCCTGCAGACCGGGCGTTGCGCCCTTCGCCTCTCCCAGAGGAGCCGGGCTGCCGGTGCGGGGAGTGCGGCAAGGCGTTCAGCCAGGGCTCTTACTTGCTGCAGCATCGGCGCGTGCACACAGGCGAGAAGCCGTACACGTGCCCCGAGTGCGGCAAGGCCTTCGCCTGGAGCTCCAACCTCAGCCAGCACCAGCGCATCCACAGCGGCGAGAAGCCCTACGCTTGCAGGGAGTGCGGCAAGGCCTTCCGCGCGCACTCGCAGCTCATCCACCACCAGGAGACACACAGCGGCCTGAAGCCCTTCCGCTGCCCGGACTGCGGCAAGTCCTTCGGCCGAAGCACCACGCTGGTGCAGCACCGACGCACGCACACGGGCGAGAAGCCCTACGAGTGCCCGGAGTGCGGCAAGGCCTTCAGCTGGAACTCCAATTTCCTGGAGCACCGGCGCGTGCACACGGGCGCGCGGCCGCACGCCTGCCGGGACTGTGGCAAGGCCTTCAGCCAGAGCTCCAACCTGGCCGAGCACCTGAAGATCCACGCGGGCGCACGGCCACACGCCTGTCCCGACTGCGGCAAGGCCTTCGTGCGTGTGGCGGGGCTGCGGCAGCACCGGCGCACGCACAGCAGCGAGAAGCCCTTCCCCTGCGCCGAGTGCGGAAAGGCTTTCCGCGAGAGCTCGCAGCTCCTGCAGCACCAGCGCACGCACACTGGTGAGCGGCCCTTCGAGTGCGCCGAGTGCGGCCAGGCTTTCGTCATGGGCTCCTACCTGGCGGAGCACCGGCGCGTGCACACGGGCGAGAAGCCTCATGCGTGCGCCCAGTGCGGCAAGGCCTTCAGCCAGCGCTCCAACCTACTGAGCCACCGGCGCACGCACTCGGGCGCCAAGCCCTTCGCCTGCGCCGACTGCGGCAAGGCCTTCCGCGGCAGTTCCGGCCTGGCGCACCACCGGCTTTCGCACACGGGAGAGCGACCCTTCGCCTGCGCAGAATGCGGCAAGGCCTTCCGCGGCAGCTCCGAGCTGCGCCAGCACCAGCGCCTGCACTCTGGCGAGAGGCCGTTCGTCTGCGCCCACTGCAGCAAGGCCTTCGTGCGCAAGTCGGAGCTCTTAAGCCACCGGCGCACGCACACGGGCGAGAGGCCCTACGCTTGCGGCGAGTGCGGGAAGCCTTTCAGCCACCGTTGCAACCTCAACGAGCACCAGAAGCGGCACGGGGGCCGCGCTGCGCCCTGACCCGAGGACGCCCTGAGCGGGAGGTCGCGGACACACGGCATTGCGGGGTCTCGGGCGTGAGTGCGCTGTCTGCTGGCCCAGACTTTTTCGGGCCGCCGGTGCGGGCGCCCTCCTGCTGGGAGTGCAGGGGCGGCCTTGGGTGTGGAGAACCCTGGCTGCACAGTCCCTTTGACGATAGTCCACCGGCCACCCAGGCCTGTCTGGGGACATGTAGGATGGGCTCTTACCCCAGGGAGGGCGGCAGGCTCCACTTCGGCGAGAGGTTCGTCCATGCAGAGGTGGGCAAGAACTGGGGTCTCCGACAGGTGTGGCTATTTCTTTGAGTTCTCTGGCACTGTCAAAAGCAGCCAACCCACCCCCCAGTCCACATGGTCACCACTGCTGCTACCAGCTGCTCAGTGCAGTGGCCACTGTGTCTCCTAAGGTGCTCGCTTCAGTCAGCACTTCATCTCAGGCAACCACAGGTGACAGTTAAACATGATGAAACCGCATGCTATGGCTTTCTAGTGTCTCATATTCTGTTGGCAAGAAGCTCAGCACTGCATTCCTGACCGAGGTCAGAACCAGATCAATCTCAGAATCTCACCTGTGTAGGTCTGTTTCATGGGACTTTTCTTTTTTGGGGGAGGGGGCAGGGTTTCACTCTGTCACCCAGGCTGGAGTGCAGTGGTGCAATCACTGTTTATTGCAGCCGCGACTTCTTAGGCTCAGGTGATCCTCCCACCTCAGCCTCCCAAGCAGCTGGGATGACAGACTTGCGTCACTACACCTGGCTAATTTTAAAATTTTTTGTAAGGACAGTGTCTCACCATGTTGCCTAGGCGGGTCTCAAAACTCCTGGGCTCAAGTGATCCTCCTGCCTCAGCCTCCCAAAGCGTTGGGATTATAGGCGTGAGCCACCGCACCTGGCCAGGGAACCTTCTTTATACCAAGTACCACACCAGTCAGAGTCAAGTCAGGAAATAGAAACCACACTAGGTATTTCAAACAGAGGGGATATAAGTTAGGGACTGATTGTGCAGGTTTTGCAAGGCTCAGAGAGCAAAAGTGGATGTTGCAGAATCTCAGAGCTGGATACTTGCAGGAAGCTGCTACCACCCTTAGGGCTGGAGAACCCAGGGAAGCTAAGAGGAGGGTGCAACGAGGCTGGTGTTGGGACTGCCAAAGGAAACACAGAATGACAGCTCCATCTCTGCAGACCTCAGATTTGACCAGGCCTCTGGCTGCCTGGGCAGCCTCATTGCCAATGGGCTGAAAGGTTCTGTCACTGTTCAGTGGTCTGACTTCTGAGTTCTGTGCACACCCTGAGCTCTGCTCCTCTGGCCTGGCCACCAGTCCTTGTCTGAGTGCCCCAGGTCTGGTTATGACTTCAGGCCTCAGCACCTGGTTGTCTCTTCTGCAAAGAATGCATTCTCCCCCAGTCCACCCAGAACACACAGCCTCCATCCAGGTACTGGCTCTGAGCAGGACAGAGAGCATGCAGCAGGTGCTCAGCAATATGGAAATGGGACCAAACAGAGGGAGTCTCCACAGCTCCCCGTCCCTCACAGCAGAAGCCAGAGCCGCTGCAGTGCCCAGCTGGTCTTCATCACGTCTATGAGCTCTGCAATCGCTCTGCAGTCGCCTCAACTCCTGGTCTCCTCTGCTCCTTCTCACTGCACCCGCATCTCCCATGTTTGCACTGGCTGTTCCCTCTGCCTGGAATGCTCCTTGCCCAGTTATCCCACTGTCTTCTTTGCATCTGGCACACAGTAGATGCTCAATAAATGCCTGTGGAATGAATGAGTGGGGAGGATGCAGTGCAGGGGGCAGATGAGGGCTAGGCGGTTGCCCTGGGCCCTCACACTCGTAGCGGAGCTAGGCTGGGACACCCAGGGTGGGGACCAGACCTCCCCGGGTGGGAATGACAGGATGTCCATGGAGGCTGAGTGTGAAAGCACCACGGTCTCACCCCTGTCCTGTTCCATCCCAACAGGCTGTGGTGAGGAGAGGGGGAGGCAGGGGAAGCGGGAGGCCTGGCCTCCAGGCAGCAGGCTATAGCCACATGAGTGACCACCAGCAGCTCAGGTAACTGAGCACATGTCACGGGTAGGCCTGGGAAGCGCAGGTCTCAGCTGAATGACCTGGGTGGAAATCCGACTCCAGAGCCGTGGTGGGTCACACCATGCAGAATGAACCAGTGATGGAGAAGGAACCACAGTCCTCAGGAAGAGTGAGGGTGCACCTCCAGACAGCCCATGTGAGGGCAACCGCAGAAAGTCTGAAAAGAGGTGAACCCCACCTTTGGTGTCACATGTGCAGTGTGGTGTGACAGGGAGGGGCTCGCTGGGCTTCAGCCCCGGCACTCTCCACTTGACCTCAGCAGCTCCAGGTAGAGTGGGGAGAACTCAGCGTCTCCTTCTAGAACAGGTTCTAGGATCCATCACTGAAATGAGGATGAGGTGGTTTTAACATCATTTTATCACTCTTGATTTAGTTTATTAATCATACATGATTATTGATTATAATTGTTGCTGGGCATCCTGAGGCCTCAGAAGTTCACCCTTTGCCCTGACCCCATGGGGGCCCTGCCCCCGCCTTCCGGGAAGGACAAACACGGGAAGAGGTCAGTGCCCGAGCCACCCCACCGCCCTCCCTTGGGGCCTCATTGCTGCAGACGCTCACCCCAGACACTCACTGCACCGGAGTGAGCGCGACCATCATGTCCATGCTCGTGGTCTTTCTCTTGCTGTGGGGTGAGGCCTCCTGGGGTCTGGGTCCCTGGGGCGGGAGGGGGCGGGAACAGGAGCCTTACGGGGGCTGTCTCCGCAGGTGTCACCTGGGGCCCAGTGACAGAAGCAGCCATATGTGAGTGCAGGGGTGAGGTCTGGGAATGGTGGGCCCAGGCCGGGGGGGAGCCCTGTCTCTGTGGCACTGAGCTGATCCCAGCCACCCCTTGCAGTTTATGAGACGCAGCCCAGCCTGTGGGCAGAGTCCGAATCACTGCTGAAACCCTTGGCCAATGTGACGCTGACGTGCCAGGCCCACCTGGAGACTCCAGACTTCCAGCTGTTCAAGAATGGGGTGGCCCAGGAGCCTGTGCACCTTGACTCACCTGCCATCAAGCACCAGTTCCTGCTGACGGGTGACACCCAGGGCCGCTACCGCTGCCGCTCGGGCTTGTCCACAGGATGGACCCAGCTGAGCAAGCTCCTGGAGCTGACAGGGCCAAGTGAGCCGGGGCATGAATTGGGGGCCAGGAGGCAGTGGGTAGGTTGTTGACTGGGGGGTCTCCCTTCCTCCAAGTCACCCGATGTCTCTGAGCCCCAAGCCCCAATCTTCCCATCTGTCAAATGGGGATGATGTCTGTGTTGTAAGGAATACATGGTTGTGTCCCCAGCAGGCCCGGCATGCCGTACAGCTCCCACACACTCTTTTTCTCTTGCCGTATGCCTTGTTTCCACTGGTGCCTGCCTGCCTTTTCCCAGCAATGCCCTCCATCCCTGTCTCCTTCACAGTCTTATGAGTGTGGGGCCCAGGTTCTGCTGGGCTTCCCACGTCTCCTGTTATGCAGAAGCACTCTTCAACTCCACCCCACCCACAGAGTCCTTGCCTGCTCCCTGGCTCTCGATGGCGCCAGTGTCCTGGATCACCCCCGGCCTGAAAACAACAGCAGTGTGCCGAGGTGTGCTGCGGGGTGTGACTTTTCTGCTGAGGCGGGAGGGCGACCATGAGTTTCTGGAGGTGCCTGAGGCCCAGGAGGATGTGGAGGCCACCTTTCCAGTCCATCAGCCTGGCAACTACAGCTGCAGCTACCGGACCGATGGGGAAGGCGCCCTCTCTGAGCCCAGCGCTACTGTGACCATTGAGGAGCTCGGTGACTGTGGGAACCATCTCTGGGGGCTGCTGGGGGAGGAGGATACAGGGGGCATGACCACATTCATCCTGACCTCCATGCTGAATGTCCTTGCCCAGGACCAGGTCCAGGAAGCTGGCCACACGGTTGCCTGGGTCTGATGGTTGCAAAGGAGTTTGGGCAGAGGATGCCCAAAGAATGGAAGGGTGAGGCCGGGTGCGGTGGCTCACGCCTATAATCCCAGCACTTTGGGAGGCTGAGGCCAGCGGATCATGAGGTCAAGAGATCGAGACCAGTCTACCCAACATGACGAAACCCCGTCTCTACTAAAAATACAAAAATTAGCCAGGTGTGGTGGCAGGTGCCTGTAGTACCAGCTACTCAGGAGGCTGAGGCAGGAGAATCCCTTGAACCTGGGAGGCAGAGCTTGCAGTGAGCTGAGTGGCGCCACTGCACTCCAGCCTGGGCAACAAGAGCGAAACTCCGTTTCAAAAAAAAAAAAAAAAAAGAATGGAAGGGTGTTCCTGGGATTGCCACCCGGAGGGCAGAGGTCTGGGGACTGGGCAGAGGGCAGCTCCAGGGATGGGGCAGCCTAGTAATGCTGCCTGCATTGCAGCTGCACCACCACCGCCTGTGCTGATGCACCATGGAGAGTCCTCCCAGGTCCTGCACCCTGGCAACAAGGTGACCCTCACCTGCGTGGCTCCCCTGAGTGGAGTGGACTTCCAGCTACGGCGCGGGGAGAAAGAGCTGCTGGTACCCAGGAGCAGCACCAGCCCAGATCGCATCTTCTTTCACCTGAACGCGGTGGCCCTGGGGGATGGAGGTCACTACACCTGCCGCTACCGGCTGCATGACAACCAAAACGGCTGGTCCGGGGACAGCGCGCCGGTCGAGCTGATTCTGAGCGATGGTGAGCCGGGGCCAGCAGGGACAGGGACGCGGCTGGGTCCCTGGGGAGCAGGAGCAGTACCAGGTGTAGAGTCTGGGGAAGTGCAGTGCTCTGGGCCAGGGTCCAATACCAACTTTATCCGCCCACCCGCCGATTCAGGGTCCTAAACTGCAAATATGATGATGAGCGTGACAACCTTCAGGCCCCACAGGGAATAACTGGGTGAACAGGTCTGGCCCAGGCCACAGGGGGCACCACCTGGCAGGTCCCATCCCAGCTGCCAGGTCTAGGTGAGCACTGAGGGCCTCTGCTGAGGCAGCTCCTCCGCTCGCTTGCCTTGGACCTGATGGTATTTAGCAAACTCTGAGCACCGGACAGCGAACCCCATGCCCAGCGGACCACAGGGGCCCCTCCGTGGGGCGGGCATTGGGGCGGTGCTCAGAAGACGCTCGTGGAGCAAATCCACTACTGAGCGGCATCGTGCACCAGGCATCAAGCCATGCACAAAACATGTCCCCGTCCCCGCTTCCCGTCTGTGTCTGTAGACAAACAAATTACTAAGAAACAGTGAAAGGGTGCGTGTGAGATATCCAAGGACTGGGATGCAAAGGTGGGGCGGGCCCGGAGGAGGCGAGGGAGGAAGCTGGCCAGGTCATTGCGGGCAGAAGACTCAGCCAAGGCAAAGAGCGCGAGGCCAGACCACGCGTTAGGGCCGAGCCAGCCGCTGGGCGCCCGGGTCAGCCCGTGTGCTGCTCCGCAGAGACGCTGCCCGCGCCGGAGTTCTCCCCGGAGCCGGAGTCCGGCAGGGCCTTGCGGCTGCGGTGCCTGGCGCCCCTGGAGGGCGCGCGCTTCGCCCTGGTGCGCGAGGACAGGGGCGGGCGCCGCGTGCACCGTTTCCAGAGCCCCGCTGGGACCGAGGCGCTCTTCGAGCTGCACAACATTTCCGTGGCTGACTCCGCCAACTACAGCTGCGTCTACGTGGACCTGAAGCCGCCTTTCGGGGGCTCCGCGCCCAGCGAGCGCTTGGAGCTGCACGTGGACGGTGAGCTGGCGGGGCACCAGCGAGGGCGGGCGCGGGTTCAGTGCCCCTCGGGGCCTCCTGTCTTTCCCCTCTTTCCTTGGGCGTCCGACGGCGGCGCTCTGGGCCTTGGTTCAGCCCCCATCGCCTACCCCGGCGGGGAGCAGGCGATCGGTGGTCGAGGGTCTGGGGACGCCTGGAATTTCGGCTTATTTCCCACGGACGCAAGCCCGTAGGTCACGTGTAGCGTGGTGGTCGGCAGCAGGGAGGCTGGCCCCAGGTTTTCTTGTTCAGATCCCTGCAGCTCTGTGGCTGCCTTGTTTTATTACTGGCCATGTCAGTCGTCATACTGGACCCCCCGCCCCGGCCCCGGTCCCGCAGGCGCACGGCTGATGTGTCCTTCTCCCCATCCCCGCCGTCCCCAGCTCTGTTTGTCCCTCTGATTTCCTCATCGACGTCTCCAGGACTCAGAGCCCAGCAGAGCGTGAGGGCACAGGTCTGACCTCCAGATCTTGAGGTCGTACCCTTTGCTGGGAGCACCGTTTTCTCTTTTCTTTCACTTTCTTTCTTTTCTTTCCTGCCTTCCTTCCTCTTTCTTTCTTTCTCTTTCCTTCTTTCTTTCTTCCTTCCTTCTTTCTCTCTTTTCTTTCTTCTTTTTTCTTCTTTCTCTCTCTCTCATCTCTGCCCCCCAACCCCATCTCTCTCCTTCATTCCTCCCTTTTCTTCTCCTTTTTGTTTTTTTTTTGGATAACTTACTTTTATTCTTGCAGGCCGGAGTGCAGTGGTGCAGTCTCAGCTCACTGCAACTTTCGCCTTCTGGGTTCAGGCAGTTCTCCTGCCTCAGCCTCCTGAGTAGCTGGTATTAGAGGCGCATGCCACCATGCCCACCTAATTTTCGTATTTTTAGTAGAGACCGGGTTTTGCTATGTTGGCTGGGCTGGTCTTGACCTCCTGACCTTGTGATCTGCCCGCCTCTGCCTCCCAAAGTGCTGGGATTACACTTGTGAGTCACCATGCCCAGCCTATTCTTGCAGTGTTATAAGCCACCATCCACAATTGATGAAAAATGTTTAATCTTGGCCAGGCAAGGTGGCTCACGCCTGTAATCACAGCACTTTGGGAGGCCAAGGCGGGTGGATCACAAAATCAGGAGTTCAAGAGCAGCCTGGCCAACATGGAGAAACCCTGTCTCTACTAAAAATACAAAATTAGCCAGCTGTGGTGGCACATGCCTGTAATCCCAGCCACTTGGGAGGCTGAGGCAGGAGAATTGCTTTAACCCGGGAGGTGGAGTTTGCAGTGAGTCCAGGTCATGCCACTGCATTCCAGCCTGGGCAACAAGAGCAAAACTCCATCTCAAAAAAAAAAAAAATGTTTAATCTTTAAATTGTACATCTATATCCTATGACTCCAAATTTTATTTATCACTCTCCTTAAAGTCTGAAGAAAATGATTAATTTACTAAGCTCCAAAGACAACACAGTCCCACTGACATAACATTTAGTATGATGTCCTACTCTCCTGTTAGAATTAAGAACAGCCAGTATCAAACTGGCCTGAAATCTGATTGGGTTCCTGGGCTCAGAATAACTGTAGTAAATTTGTAAATCCACACTAAGACACAAAATTAAACTAGGATGTGTATATCTATCTTACAAGAAAACGTTTCACAGTAAAAATTAACATTATGATTTTACCAAATTTCAACATTATAGTTTGTTAATCCAATCAAGCTTTCAAAATTCCTGATTAGCTTACAATTAATTGCAAATAACTTCATGTAGTTTGGCTAGCATTTCAAAATGGATAGGGAATATAACTTTTAAAATGCGAAAGTATATTATACATATTGCACTTTTCTGCTAGGCTGGGCTAGTATCTTCCATGGCAAGATACTCAAACTATTGAATAAAATACACATTTAAATCAAGCACTTACATGTACTTCATTAATTTCCCTGAAATTATCAACAGCATTACCAAAATCTTCCAGGATTTTGTAACATTTGATTCCTTACAGTTTTGTTTTGTTTGTTTGTTTTTGAGACGGAGTGTCACTCTGTCACCCGGGCTGGAGTGCAGTGGCGCAATCTTGGCTCACTGAAACCTCTGCCTCCCAGGTTCAAGCAATTTTCCTGCCTCCACCTCCCGAGTAGCTGGGATTACAGGCGCACGCTGCCACGCCCGGCTAATTTTTTGTATTTTAGTAGAGACGGGGTTTCACCGTGTTACCCAGGCTGGTCTGGAACTCCTGAGCTCAGGCAATCCGCCTGCCTCGGCCTCTCAAAGTGCTGAGATTACAGGTGTGAGCCACTGCGCCCGGCACCTTAAATACACTTTTAAAGTTAAACTTATGGAGGGAAAACCCTCATCTATTGACATAGATTGTATGTCCTTTTTTGGTCCCTCCATGAAGGAGCACCGTTTTCTCCATCATTTCTTCTTCCCTTCACCCGTCAGAGTGACCGAGGCTGGGGACCCCAGAAGCCCCAGAGCAGGCCCGAATCTGGGACTTCCACGGTCCTGGGGGAGGGGTGCGGGGACACTCACGTGTGGCGCGGATGTCCGGGGTGTGAAGGCAGCGGGCGCAGCTCGGCGGCGCCGGAGGAGCCCTCTGCGCCCAGGAACAAGACAGGGAAGATGAAGCCGGGGCTGAGGCGCAGGCGCGGGCGCGGCCTGGGGTGTGGCCTGGGGTGTGGCCTGGGGCGTGGCCTGGGGCGTGGCCTGGCCCGACCACCCGCCCGCTCCGCCCAGGACCCCCTCCCAGGCCTCAGCTCCGGGCGACGTGGAGTGGGGCGGTCCTGGCGGGCCGAGATGCCGTCCTGCGCTGCGAGGGACCCATCCCCGACGTCACCTTCGAGCTGCTGCGCGAGGGCGAGACGAAGGCCGTGAAGACGGTCCGCACCCCCGGGGCCGCGGCGAACCTCGAGCTGATCTTCGTGGGGCCCCAGCACGCCGGCAACTACAGGTGCCGCTACCGCTCCTGGGTGCCCCACACCTTCGAATCGGAGCTCAGCGACCCTGTGGAGCTCCTGGTGGCAGGTGACGTTTCCCTGGGTCCCGGGTGCTGGTTCCGTCTGCTGATGTTTGCCTGGGCTGTGCCCACCTCCAGGAGGGCCTCTCCCGGCTCCTCCCTTGGGCACCCCTGGTTAGCGCTGGGTCTCCCCAGGGCTCGTGGGGGAATTGCGGGCGAGGAACCGCCCAGCAAAGGCCCTGCAGCTGGAGGCGCAGATGGGGGTCTCGGCTGGCAGCCGACCACGCGCTTCCTTCCGGGGGGGCGTCAGGGAGGTCGGCCTTGATTTCCGCGAGGAGGAGGGCATAGGATTTCCCCTCCTCCACCATTTCTCTTTTCTCCCGTTGTCTAGAAAGCTGATGCAGCCGCGGGCCCAGGGTGCTGTTGGTGTCCTCAGAAGTGCCGGGGATTCTGGACTGGCTCCCTCCCCTCCTGTTGCAGCACAAGGCCGGGGTCTCTGGGGGGCTGGAGAAGCCTCCCTCATTCCTCCCAGGAATTAATAAATGTGAAGAGAGGCTCTGTTTAAAATGTCTTTGGACTCCCAGGGCTGAGTGGGCTGGGATCTCGTGTCCTCAAAGTGGATGGGTTCTGGGGTGGCTCCTGAGGTAGAGGAGTGGAGAACTGGCTCTTAAGAGCACAGTTTTCTTTTCTTTTTTCTTTTTTGAGACAGGGTCTCACACTGTCACCCAGGCTGGAGTGCAGTGTTGCAGTCCGGCTCACTGCAGTTTTGACCTCCCAGGCTCAAGCGATCCTCCTGCCTCAGCCTCCCAAGTAGCTGGGAGCCTGGGCATGCATCGCCACGTCTGGCTAATTATTATTTTTTGTAGACAGGGTCTCACTGTGTTGCCCAAGCTTGTCTTGAACTCCTGGCCTTAAGTGATCCTCCCACCTCAGCCTCCTGAGTAGCTGGGACTACAGGCATGAGCCACCATGCCTGGCCAACTCACATTTTTCTTTCTATTATTTATTTTTTGTAGAGATGAGTCTCACTATGTTGCCCAGGCTGGTCTTGAACTCTTGGGCTCAAGTGATCCTCCCGCCTCAGCCTCCCAAAGTGTTGGGATTACAGGTGTGAGCCACAGCACCTGGCCAACCAACACTTCTCAGGGCCTCTTTCATCTGTGCTCTTCCAGGATGCTGCCTCTTACTCCCTGGGCACCTCGGCCTGGTCCCAGCAGGTATGGGCAGTTGCTTGAGGCTCCAGACATACTCACCTCTACCTCGACCACATCAACCCCATCACCAAGAGGAGGTTCAGGGAAGCTGCATTTTGTGGTCTTGTCCTCCCAGTCCAGGGTGGTAGTGCTGGGCTGTTCCCAGCCTCCCACAGCAGAGCTGGACGCTGTGGAAATGGCTGGATTCCTCTGTGTTCTTTCCCATTATCCCTCAGCTCTGAGTCCTCTTGTGCCATCTGACATCTGATGCCTTCCCAACCACTGCCGAGTTTCTGCCTGGAGCAGGGCCTCAAGGCCCTGGCACACAGAAGATGCGTATCAGTATTATCAACCAATAGTTGATGAATTGTGTTTTTCAACGAATTTGCTAGTGATCTGGTTTACTGCCTTAGTAATATCTAGTTCCTAATATGCCTATGCCTTTTAATGTCTGCACAGTCTATGATGATGTCACTTCTCTCAAGCCTGATGTGTCCTCTCTCTCTTTCTTGCTAGTGGTTTATCAATTTTTAAAACCTTTTCTTGTTTATTTGTTTTTGAGACAGAATTTTGCTCTTGTTGCCCAGGCTGGAGTGCAATGGCGTGATCTTGGCTCACAGCAACCTCTACCTCCTGGGTTCAAGTGATTCTCGTGCCTCAGCCTCCTGAGTAGCTGGGCTGACAGGCACCCACCACCACACCCAGCTAATTTTTATGTTTTTAGTAGAGATGGGGTTTCACCTTGTTGGGTGGCCAGGCTGGTCTCCAACTCCTGAGCTCAAGTGATCCACCCGCCTCAGCCTCCCAAAGTGCTGGGATTACAGGGGTGAGCCACCACGCCCAGCCCCAGCTTAGTTTTTTAAAAAGTTTATTTTAGCCATTCTAATAGGTATGTAGACATATCTAATAGTGGTTTTCCTTGCGTTTCCTTAATGTCTGATGATGTTAAGCATTTTTTCCCCAAGTGCTTAGTTGCCATCTATATAGCATCTTTGATGAAATGTCTGTTTATATATTTTGCACACTTTAAAATATTGGGTTGTTTTCTTTTTTCTTCTCTTTTCTTTTTTCTTCTCTTTTCTTTCTTTTTGAGAGAGTCATGCTCTGTTGCCCAGGCTGGGGTGCAGTGGCATGATTTCAGCTCACTGCAACTTCCGCCGCCCAGGTTCAAGCGATTCAACTCCCTCAGCCTCCTGTGTAGCTGGGATTACAGGCATGTGCCACCACACTGGCTGATTTTTGTATATTTAGTGGAGAGGGGGTTTCACCATGTTGGCCACACTGGTCTTCAACTCCTGACCTCAAGTGATCCACCTGCCTCAGCCTTCCAAAGTGTTGGGACTACAGGCATGAGCCACCGTGCCTGGCCTGTTTGTTTTCTTACTATTGAGTTTTGTTTGTTTGCTTTTGCTTTTTTTTTTTTTTTCCCGAATCTCACTCTGTTGCCCAGGCTGGAGTGCAGTGGTGTGATCTCGGCTCACTGCAACCTCCGCCTGCCAGGTTCAAGCAATTCTCCTGCCTCAGCCTCCGGAGTAGCTGGTACTACAGGCACCCACCAGCATGCCCGGCTAGTTTTTTGTATTTTTAGTAGAGATGGGGTTTCACCATGCTGTCCAGGCTGGTCTCAAACTCCTGACCTTGTGATCCCAACCGCCTCAGCCTCCCAAAGTACTGGCGTGAGCCACCGCACCCGGTCATTTTTTGTATCTTTAGTAGAGACAGTATTTCGCCATGTTGGTCTCAAACTCCTGAGCTCAAGTGGTCTGTCCACCTCAGCCTCCCAAAGTGCTAGGATTACACTGCACCTGGCCTCCAGCCACATTTTTTTTCTTTTTTTTTTTTTTTTTTTGAGACAGAGTCTTGCTCTGTCGCCCAGGCTGGAGTGCAGTGGCGTGATCTCGGCTCACTGCAAGCTCTGCCTCCCAGGTTCATGCCATTCTCCTGCCTCAGTCTCCCAAGTAGCTGGGATTACAGGAGCCCACCACCACGCCCAGCTAATTTTTTTGTATTTTTAGTAGAGATGGGGTTTCAACATGTTAGCCAGGATGGTCTCCATCTCCTGCCCTTGGGATCCGCCCACCTCAGCCTCCCAAAGTGCTGGGATTACAGACGTGAGCCACCGCGCCCAGCCGCCTCCAGCCATATTTTAAAGATAAAATAATTGTGCAATCTCTATTACTATCATTTAATTCCCAAAGTTCCCGCTTTCCCTCTGGTATCATTTCCCTTCTACCAAGAGTTTCCTTTGGCATTTCTTTTCAGGCAAGTCTGCTGGCAAGAAATATATATCTTAGGTTTGTTTCATTTGAGGATGTCTGTATTTTGCCTTCGTTCTTTAAGTGTGTTTGCACTGGATATAGAATTCTGGGTTGACGGGAGGCGGAGCTTGCAGTGAGCTGAGATCACACCACTGCACTCCAGCCTGGGCAACAGAGCGAGACTCCATCTCAAAAAAAAAAAAAAAAAGAATTCTGGGTTGAGTCTTTTTTTTGTTTGTTTTTGAAATGGAGTTTTGCTCTTATTGCCCAGACTGGAGTGCAATGGTGCAATCTCGGCTCACTGCAACCTCTGCCTCCTAGGTTCAAGTAATTCTCCTGCCTCAGCCTCCTGAGTAGCTGGGATTACAGGCACCCGCCACCACGCCCGGCTAATTTTTTGTAGACACGGGGTTTCACCATGTTGGCCAGGCTGGTCGCAAACTCGTGAACTCAGGTGATCCACCCACCTCGGCGTCCCAAAGTGCTGGGATTACAGGTGTGAGCCACTGTGCCCAGCCTTTTTTTTTTTTTTTTTGAGACAGAGTCTCACTCTGTTGTCGAGGCTGGAGTGAAGTCACCCAATCTCGGCTCACTGCAACCTCTGCCTCCCAGGTTCAAGCAATTCTCCTGCCTCAGCCTCCTGATTAGCTGGATCTACAGGCGTGTGCCGCCATGCCTGGCTTTTTTTTTTTTTTTTTTTTGAGACAGAGTCTCGCTCTGTTGCCCAGGCTGGAGCGCAATGGTGTGATCTTGGCTCACCGCAACCTCCGCCTCCTGGGTTCAAGCGATTCTCCTGCCTCAGCCTCCTTAGTAGCTGGGATTACAGGTACACACCACCACATCCAGCTAATTTTTTGTATTTTTAGTAGAGACGGGGTGTCACCACGCTGGTCAGGCTGGTCTCGAACTCCTGACCTCGTGATCCGCCTGCCTTGGCCTCCCAAAGTGCTGGGATTACAGGCGTGAGCCACCGTGCCTGGCCAATTTTTTGTATTTTTAGTAGAGAAGGGGTTACACACCATATTAGCCAGGATGATCTCAATCTCCTGACCTCGTGACCTGCCTGTCTTGGCCTCCCAAAGTGCTGGAATTACGTGTGATCCACTGTGCCCGGCCCAGGCTGGCTAATTTTCGTATTTTTTGTAGACAGTTTCACTATGTTGCCCAGGCTTGCCTCGCACTCCTGACCTCGTGATCCGCCTGTCTTGGCCTCCCAAAGTGCTGGGATTACAGGTGGGAGCCACCGCACCCGGCCTCTTCAAATGTTTTCTATCATAAAGAACGTGTTAGCACTTCCAAGTACACTTAAGGTTTCGTCAGTTTCTCACTGTGATTCTGTTCTACAAGACTCATATTATGTGCCTGGTTTTGAACTATTACATCTTCCTAATAGATTGTTTCTTTTATAAAAACATAGTGACCCCATGATTCTTAAAATGCTTTTATACCTTAATGTCTGTTTTGCGCGACTAATGCAGCTCCATCAGCTTTCTTCAGTTTCATGCCTACCTTGTATATCCTTTTCTATCCCTTTGCCCTCAACTTCCCATATCCTTGTTTTAGGTGTATCTTTTCTAAAGAACATATGGCTGGTCCAAAAAGAAATTCAGTCTGTTAGAATTTGTCTTTACACTTGGTTTGTTGAGTACAGTCATGTTTATTGAAATTGCTGACATATTTGGATATGCTGTCAAATCCTAGTGCTTCCAGTTCCTGGCAGTGTGACTTTGGTCAGTTACATTCTCTAAGCCACTTCCTCCTCTATAAAACAGGGATGGTTGTGTGAGGACTGAGATGTATATAAATTATTTGGTAGACTGGGCAGCACACACAGGCTCTGAGTAGATTCCCTTTTTTCTCCCTCATCTCCTCCCCTTTTAGACAGACATGGACAGATATGTCTCAACGACCAAATGGGTGAAGATGCTCAGAGCATCAAGGGGATGGAGATCCAGTTCTTGTGACAGAGACTGAGCAAGTAGGAGGCAAAGAGAGGTGCTGATGATTGCTGTGAGTCAGAGACAGTGTGCAGGGCCAGGCTTTGGGTCAGGCACTACACAAGGTGGGTCCTGTCCCTGGTTTACATATGAGGAGGTCATGGAGGTTCAGGAAAGTCACTTATCTTAGGTCCCAAAAGTAGCCACAGGGAGGAGTCAGGCTCTGCAGCCTGAATTCAGGCCCATGCCTTTTCTGTTCCCTCCAGCATGCTGGAAGCCTGTGCAATTTCACTAGGAATGTGCATCTCTCCTCTCTGAGTTTTCCCCTAAGCCTGTCATCCCTCTCAGTCTCTCAGCCTCTGGCACACGATATGTGGCCCTCTCTGCCTGTGTCTGGGACTCCCTCAGAGATACTTCCACAAAGTCTCTGTCTCCCTGAGTCTTACCTTCATGTTATGAACGTTTCTCATCAGTCTCTGTGCCTCTATTTACTCTTGACATAGAGGGAATGGGCCCGAAATACAGGGAGATACATATGGAGAGATGGTGACGGTGACTAGTACACAATACGCCAGGTCAAATGGTTCACATATGATGAGACCATCACAGAAACAGAGGCATGAAGAATGATACACTAACAGTAATGAACAGAAGCTGCAGCATCCAGTGATAGACAGGGACCCTAAAAATGGGACAGGGATGCAGCATTGTGAGAGAAGACCAGAGAACACATGGACAGAATGCTGGCAAAGACTAAGTCCATGACACCAGGGGATCTGGGGCCCTAGAAAATGACTCAATACAGTCACATTTTATTGAGGCCACTGCATGCCAGGCTTATTTGGGTGCTGGCCCCCAGGAAAATCAGATTATTCTTGCTCTCCAGGGTTCAAGCTGCTGGGGAGACATCCATGTAAACATACATAAGGACAATGTGGGGCAGAGACAGCACGGTGACTGCCTCCTGGGGGCACCAGTCACATTCATGTAAGAGACATCAGTCAGGGCCTACTGAGTCTTGTGTGTTGTAGATACTGAGAGTAAGACATGGCCCCTGCTCTCAGGAGTTTATGGTATCCTTGGAAAAGGCAGCTCTACAAGGAGCAAATAAGTAAAACAAGGTGGCAGGAGTTGTAAGAGAGGTATCTAGGAGGTGCTCTGGAAGCAGAGAGGGCAAGCTGAAGTCTGCTCCCGGAGAGCAGGGAGGTTTCTTTGGGCAACATTTGAAACACCTTAGATGAAAAAGGAGGGCCAGGTGCGGTGGCTCACGCCTGTAATCCCAGCACTTTGGGAGGCCGAGGCGGGTGGATCACGAGGTCAGGAGATCGAGACCATCCTGGCTAACATGGTGAAACTCCATCTCTACTAAAAATACAAAAAAAAAAAAAAACTAGCTGGGCGTGGTGGCAGGCGCCTGTAGTCCCAGCTACTTGGGAGGCTGAGGCAGGAGAATGGCATGAACCCGGGAGGCAGAGCTTGCAGTGAGCCGAGATCGCGCCACTGCACTCCAGCCTGGGCGACAGAGCGAGACTCCATCTCAAAAAAAAAAAAAGAAAAGAAAAGAAAAAGAAAAAGAAGAGGAGGGTTCCAGGCACAGGTACAAAGGCACATAAGTGGGAAAATGTATGGCTCCTTCAGGGACCACAGTAGTTCCGTGTGGCTGGTGTATGGAAGGTGGAGCCATGGTATGAGATGAGGCCATTTTCACTGCACGCACAGAAAAATGACAGTATTCATACATGCATATGAGGATAACTGGAGAGGTTGCTCGGGGCCCAGAGCAGCCTGCATCTCAGCATACTTATACCCTGTTCAGGAAGCTGTGCTGTAGAAGATGGGTTGGAGAGCTTTCCACCTTGGAGTGACACAGTCAGATCTAAGTAATATCAAGAGTCCCCTGGAGAGTGATACAGGGGCAGAGAATAAAGGCAGGAAGTGGTCAGGAAGGAGACCCCGGCTATAATCCAGGCAAGAGGCAATGAGGGCTCACATAAGGTAGCAGTGGTGGAAAAGGAGGTGAATTACAGATAAGCTTTAGGTTAAAACAATAGCGCTGGTGACTGGTGGGATGTGGAAGGAAAAGGAGAGACAGGAACATGCTGGGCAGGTGTCAAGCAGCACCACTGATTACGACAGGAAACCATGAGAGAGGCAGAGTGTAGAAAAGGCATCGTGGAAGAGGCAGTCTCAAAAGTCAGCCTTGCAGTTAGGCACAAAATAGTCTGGAGTGGAAATAGTAGGTGCCAAGGCACAGAGGTGGGCATGGCAGGTGTCCGTTCTGGGCTAAGCAGCAGAAAAGCAGGCAAGAAGAACCACATGAGAACAAGCTACAGTTGGCCCGCCCAGAGCGTCTTGGGACGCTGAGTTCTGAGAGACATGCGCCTTCATTTGCCCTGGCCCTCAGAACCAGTCTAAATCCTCAGTTCGGCTGCCTTCTCTCTGGGACAGCCCTGAGTGGGAAATAGAGGGTAGCAGTGCAGGGCCCTTCTGGAAGCTTCTCCAGCTGGCCTGAATCACCTTGTGCTCATCAGGGTTCCTCAAATGCAGAGTGGTTCCTAGACAGCCCGAGTCTGCCCTCAGGCACCTATCATTTTGACAACTCATCAATCACCCACCCTGTCTGTGGCTCTTCAGGAACTCAGCGTTTCTCTTAGACCTCGAGCCTCCGAGAAGACGCTGTGCTACGCCCCCAGGGGCGACTTCCGGTCATTGCAGCACCGTGATGTGGATCCGCAAGTGAACCATCAGGGCTGAGCTACGACTGAAGGCCTTCCCACAGTCGCTGCACTTATAAGGCTTCTCTCCCGTGTGGATCCTCTGGTGCTCAATGAGGGAGGAGCTCTGTGCAAAGGCCTTCGGACAAACCTTACACTGATATGGCTTCTCTCCAGAGTGGATTCTCAGATGTCGGATCAGGGCTGAGCAGTCGCTGAAGGCTCGGCCACACGCGTCACACTTGTAGGGCTTCTCCCCGGTGTGGATGCGCTGGTGTTGAGTCAGGTGCGTGCTCTGGCTGAAGGCTTTCCCACACGCGTCACACTCGTAGGGCCGCTCCCCCGTGTGCACCCGCTGGTGCTGGGTGAGGTGAGTGCTGCGGCTGAAGGTTTTACCACATTCCCCACATTTGTAGGGTTTCTCTCCAGTATGAATCCTTTGGTGCTGAGTCAGGTGGGTGACTCGGCTGAAGGCCTTCCCACATTCCTTACACTCATGGGGCTTCGCCCCTGTGTGGACAACCTGGTGCTGGGCGAGGTGAGTGCTCCGGCTGAAGGCTTTCCCACACTCGCTGCAGGCATATGGGGTCTTCCGAGAATGGGTCTTCTGGTGTGCCTCGAGCGCCGAAGCACTCTGGAACATCTTCCTACACTCGCGACACTTGGAGGACCTCTTCCCTGAGTAGGTGTATGGAGGCTCTGTCCCATAAGCATCCACCAGATCAAATTTGTCTTCTGAAGGAGGCTTCTCTTGGGAGGTGAGGTTTGGCCACGCACTAGAACTGTTCCTCGAGGCACCAGATTCACGGCCACGCTGGTCTGTGGGGACATCCTTGTAAGGCCCTGAAGTTTTCTTGAAGTGGATCTGTTGGGTGACAGACTTTGTCCAGATCTCCCCTGATAGTCCAGACCTCTCTGAGCTGCCCTCAGGTTCACATGCCTTGACAAAGGCGGGTCCAAGGGAAACACCTCCCATGAGGGTCTCAGTGACATTTGATGGCTCTGACTCTCCCAGGTCACTCTGCTTGCAGCTTGCCTCTGTGGGCTCGGCTCCTGGATCCCATCCTGAAACAGTCCGAACCACACTGTCACTCCTCCTACCACACCAAGCCTCCCCTACTCTGCCGAGGGCCCCGGTCACACTTTGTAAGGGGAGATGTGGCCCGTTCCTAACATCTGGCCCCAGTTCCAAGGGGAAGTTTCTCATTTGGTGTCTTGGATGACAAAGGGTGCAGGGCTGTCCTCCCACACCATCCAAAACTACACCATGGGTTCTGATTTCTCCTCCTCCCACCAAACTCGCCATCTTTCAAGGCTCCCAATTTTGGCTCAAGAGTCAAGAGGAGAAACCCTGATGTGGAACTGATCTGGAGACAGAGAGAGAGGGAGGGTCTGTCCTTGTCAGGACCCTGAGCACATGCACCCCTGCAGGCTCTGATCTCTGTGGGGTTGCAGTTCTGTCCCTCACACTCAACACCTTGCGTCTAGGCCTGGATGTGTCCCCTGCAGGCTCTGATCTCTGTGGGGTTGGAGTTCTGTCCCTCACACTCGACACCTTGCGTCTAGGCCTGGATGTGTCCCCTGCAGGCTCTGATCTCTGTGGGGTTGGAGTTCTGTCCCTCACACTCGACACCTTGCGTCTAGGCCTGGATGTGTCCCCTGCAGGCTCTGATCTCTGTGGGGTTGGAGTTCTGTCCCTCACACTCGACACCTTGCGTCTAGGCCTGGATGTGTCCCCTGCAGGCTCTGATCTCTGTGGGGTTGGAGTTCTGTCCCTCACACTCGACACCTTGCGTCTAGGCCTGGATGTGTCCCCTGCAGGCTCTGATCTCTGTGGGGTTGGAGTTCTGTCCCTCACACTCGACACCTTGCGTCTAGGCCTGGATGTGTCCCCTGCAGGCTCTGATCTCTGTGGGGTTGGAGTTCTGTCCCTCACACTCAACGCCTTGCGTCTAGGCCTGGATGTGTCCCCTGCAGGCTCTGATCTCTGTGAGGTTGCGGTTCTGTCCCTCACACTCAACACCTTGCCTCTAGGCCTGGATGTGTCCACAGGTGCTCAGTGAATTCTGGCTGAATGAGGGAATCCATCCAGAAGCCCACGATGGTGAAAATTTCTGCAAGTAGAACCCCAGGTAGAATATGGCTGCTGGGGGTGAGTACATGAGGTACCCATCTGGCCTCTCAAGCCCCTACATTGTAAAGTACTATGAAGGCAGAGTGTGGCGGAGGTGCTCTTGGAGATCAGAGTGTGCATGAGGTAGAGGAATGCTCGCACTGACCTGCCCTGCATGGGTGCAAAGGACACATAATCTGGCACATCTACTGGATGGATTCCAGGGAGGAGGCAGAGACAGGTGGAATACCCACTGCTCAAGTCCACAGTGGGGCTCAGCAGTGCAGAAACTGGACTCAAACCCCAGGTCTACCACCTTAATCAGTCCTGCCCTCATCTGGGACTCAGTCTCCCCATCTGTAAGCCATGGATGCTGTGCCGCTGGCCTTCCAGGGCCACTAACCACTATCAGGCTCTTGTCGTGCTGGGCCCCAAGCACAGTGGGTGACTTCCATCGCCTCATTTCAGCTTCGACCTGCTCTCAGAAGGAGGTACTGCTGTGATTCTGTTGCAGATGGGGAAACTGAAATCCAGCTGAGGGAAGGTGTTGAGTAACTGGTACAGGATCACAGTTAGCTAGTGGCCCAGTTGGGATTTCAGCTCCAGAATGTTCTCCTCCAGGTCCACAGGCAGTCTCCCCTGCTCCCCCAGCCATCTGCTTGGCCCTGTCTCCCCCTTCCTTCCTCTATCCAGAAACATCACACCACCTGCTTTTACCAGAATACACCAGTGCAAATCACACTGCCAGGCCTTTGACCCCACCATTCCCTCTGCATTTTACCCTTTCTCTGAGCTTTGGCCAACCCTGTGGGAGGATGGGGCCACTCCCTCCTTCCTCTCCCTGTCTCTGTGACATCTGCTTGGGCATAGACCAACCTCTGTTCCAGAGAGGCCTGTTTCTCCCAGAGCTGAACAAATTATCCTAACAGTTGCAGTTACCATTTATTTAATCTGTGCCAGGCACCATTTCAGGTGCTGCACGGGTATTGCCTTGTATCTCGCAACACCACTAAGGTGGGCGTTTTTATTACAATCCCCATTTTACCCATGAGTAAACTGAGGCACAAGGGAGTCACATGGCCAGGAAGAGCAGCAGCGGTTGGATCTACTGAGCCTTGATGATGCAGCTGTATCCAGACTCCACATTCCTCCTGCACACTGCACGTTTCCTCCCAGTGTGTGGTATGCCCACCTCCTATCTGTTGCCAATAGGCCAGGCCAAGCCCATCTGAGACGAGCCACCACTCCCTGCTCTGGATTGTCCCAAGGCTGGGTCTTCCCTGCATCCCACTGGACCTCCCTGGGTTGGGATGTTTGTGTGGGTCTCTGTGAGTAACAGTGCCCAGCTGAGCCTGGGGCAGGTCTGACCCACCCAAATCCTGGAGGCCAGCCCAGGGTGGGCATAGAGAAGGTACACAGGGACATCTGGTATTTCCGTCACCCCCAACAGCCACCCCAGGCACCCAGGCCCTCGTCTGGTTTCCTCTGAGAAACAGCCAGTTGCTCACTGTTAGTCCCTGGGATTTGGTTGGCCAAACACAAACATAAGATCCCAACCAGGCCAGTGGGGGCTCAGACCAGGGACCTCTTATTGTTATTACCCCGGGGTTTCTACATTGGTAAGACATAAGCCTGGGGTTCCTGGCTATCTTTAACCCCTTTGGAAAGAGAACCTAAAATAAGAATGAAGCTAACACAGAAAAAACCAACTGAGAAACAGAACAAGAGAGGAAGAAGAGAGTTCTGATGCTGTCAACAGATCTTCTGGATATAGCCGTATCTGCTGCCTCCTTACCCTTCTTTGCTTCAGCCCATTTCAGCTCGCTTTTGGTCACCTGCAACCAAAACACACCTGTCTACAACAGTGTGTGAGAGTTACGGTAAAGTACAAATGTGAGAATGGGTGCATGAGCAACCCCAAACCAGAGCCCTGTGCTCCCATGTTCCTGTCCAGGGTGTATCTCTGGTGTGCCGTGAAGCTGCCCACGGCGCCCCTTTACCTCTCTTGTCCAGCACCTGAGTCAGATCCTCCACCAGCACAGCGGCTTCCTCTCCGCTCTTGGGACTCTGGGCTCCCACCCAGGCTTGGATCTCTGGGGGCAGCGCACCCAGGAACTGCTCCAGCACCAGCAGCTCCAGTATCTGCTCCTTGGAGTGCGCCTCGGGCTGCAGCCACTGACAGCACAGCGCTCGGAGGTGGGCCAGGGCCTCGTGTGGACCAGATGCCTCCTCATAGCGGAAGTGCCGGAAGCGCAGGCGTGCAGCCTCAGAGTGAGCAATGTGGTCATGGCTGGATTCTCCGCCCTGGGAGAGGCTGGCTTCCTCTTCCTCCTCCACCTTCACTTGAAGGAAGCTGTCCTCTTCCCACGGCACTGGGCTCAGGGAGTGCTTGGGGATGGCCATCGGGCAGCAGTGCTCAGTGAGACACAGGATGCCGGAGCCTTGGAACTGGGCCTGCAGGAATGTCAGAGCTTCAGCATCACATGGAACCTGGGCCCTGCCTCATGCCTACAGAGCAGGGAAAACACAGGCTTGTGGCCCGTGAGATGTGAAAGACTCTCACAAAGACATAGACAATCCTCATAATTAGGACAGCACCCACTTGGTGCTGAGCACTGTTCTAAGCTACTACTGCTTGCATGTAGACTCATTTAAAACTTACAACAAACACCATCCTGGCTAACATGGTGAAACCCCGTCTCTACTAAAAATACAAAACAAATTAGCCAGACGTGGTGGCGGGCACCTGTGGTCCCAGCTACTCAGGAGGCTGAGGCAGGAGAATGGCGTGAACCCGGGAGGCGGAGCTTGCAGTGAGCCGAGACTACGCCACTGCACTCCAGCCTGCGCAACAGAACAAGACTCTGTCTCAAAACAAAAACAAACAAACAAAAAACTTACAACAAACTCAGGAGGTGGGACTTTCTACCTATTTTATGGATGGAAAAACAGACACTCAGGAGGAAAATATTTGCCCAAAGTCCCTCAGCTAGTGAAGGGTTAACAGAGAGCTAAGCTACAAACCCACGCAAACCTACAGCCAGCCTGTTTAAGGCGTGCTCCTCCCCAACAGAGCCAAGTCTTTCTCCCTCTGTTCCCCAGGTAGCCACATGGTCATTCTCTCACTTTACTTGCTAATTATTTTGTAGTGTTTGAGATTGATACATAATTGACTTTCGCCTTTCCTCTTTTCTAATGCACATATTTAAGGCTATAAATTT
The DNA here is from genome assembly GCF_000001405.40 of Homo sapiens. Lineage (NCBI taxonomy): Eukaryota > Metazoa > Chordata > Mammalia > Primates > Hominidae > Homo > Homo sapiens. Next base: position 58,333,984 of record NC_000019.10, on the reverse strand, counting down.
CTCTCTAAACACAGCTTTAGCTATACATCACAAGTTTGATATGTTGTATCTTCATTATCATTTAGTTAAAAATATTTTCTAATTTCTGTTACAATTTCTACCTTACTCATTAATTATTTTTTAAAATTTATTTTATTTTTTTGAGACGGAGTCTCCCTCTGTCGCCCAGGCTGGAGGGCAGTGACGCTATCTCGGCTCACTGCAACTCCGCCTCCCGGGTTCAAGCAATCCTCCTGCCTCAGCCTCCCAAGTAGCTGGAACTACAGGTGTGCACCACCATGTGAGGCTAATTTTTGTATTTTTAGTGGAGACGGGGTTTTGCCATGTTGGCGGGGCTGGTCTCGAACTCCTGACCTCAAGCGATCTGCCTGCCTCGGCCCCACAGAGTGCTGGGATTACAAGCATGAGTCACCATGCCCAGTCCCATTGGTTATTTATTTAAAACTCTCCTGCTTCATTGCCAAACAACTGGGGGTTTTCTAGTTGTCTTTTTATTACTGATGTCTAGATTAAGTCTGTTGTGGTCAGAAAACATGCTACAATGGATTTCGATCATTTAAAATTTGCTGAAACTTGGTTTGTGACCCAGTGTATGGTTAATTTTGGTTAATGTTCCATGAATACTTGAAAATAATGCAAAGCTGTCTTAGCTATGACACCAAAAGCATAAGTAACAAAAGAAAAAATAAATAAACTGGACTTTATCAAAATTAAAAGCTTTTGTGATTTGAAGGACCACATCAAGAAAGTAAAAAAGCAGCCCACAGAGTGGGAGAAAATATTTGCAAATCATATATTTGATAAGGGACCTGTATCTAGAACAACTCCATAGTAAAAAGATGAATAATACAATTTTAAAATGAGCAAAGAATGTGACTAGACATTTCTCCAAGGAAGATACACAAATGGGCAATAAATACATGAAAAGATGCTTAACATCACTAGCTACCAGGGAACTGCAAATGAAAACCACAATGAGATAGCACTTCACACCTGCTGGGATGCCTATAATCAGATAACATGTGTAGGCAAGGATATGGAGAAACTGTAATCCTCATATGCTGCTGCTGGGAATGTAAGATGGGATAGCCACTGTGGGAAGTACAGTCTGGGAGTTCCTCAAAAGCTTAAACAGAGTTACCCCATGACCTAGCAATTCTACTCCTACGTATAGACCCAAGAGAAATGAGTATATGTCCTCACAAAACTTTATACATAAATGTGCATAACAGCATTACTCATAACAGCAAAAAAGGAGAAACAATCCAAATGTCCACCTGATGAATGGATAAAATGCTGTATATACCTATAATGGAACACTATTCACCATAAACAGAAATGAAGTACTGATTAATGCTACAACATGGATGAACCTTGAAAACATGATGCTAAGTAAAAGAAGAAAGACACGGCAGGGCACGGTGGCTCACACCTGTGATCCCAGCACTTTGGGAGGCCGAGGTGGGTAGATCACCTGAGGTCAGGAGTTCAAGACCAGCCTGGCCAACACAGTGAAACCCCGTCTCTACTAAAAAATACAAAAATTAGCTGGGTGTGGTGGCAGGCACCTGTAATCCCAACTACTCAGGAGGCTGAGGCAGGAGAATCTCTTGAACTTGGGAGGCAGAGGTTGCAGTGAGCCGAGAGTACACCACTGCACTACAGCCTTGGCGACAGAGGTAGACTCCATCTCAAAAAAAAAAAAAAAAAAAAAAAGCATATTAGTGTTTGTCAGAGGCTGAAGAGAGACAAAAATGAGAGTGGTTGCTAATAGGTTTGGGAATTTCTTTTGGGGATGATAAAAATGTTCTGGAGGCCAGGCGCGGTGGCTCACGCCTGTAATCCCAGCACTCTGGGAGACCGAGGCGAGTAGATCACGAGGTCAGGAGTTCAAGACCAGCCTGACCAATATGGAGAAACCCCATCTATACTAAAAATACAAAATCAGCCGGGCGTGGTGGTGCATGCCTGTAATCCCAGCTACTTGGGAGGCTGAGGCAGAAGAAACCCTTTAACCTGGAAGGTGGAGGCTGCAGTAAGCCGAGATTCTGCCATTGCACTCCAGCCTGGGCAACAAGAGTGAAACTCCATCTCAAAAAATAAAATAAAATAAAAATACAGCTTTTAAAAAAATAATGTTGGCCAGGCACGGTGGCTCATGCCTGTAATCCCAACACTTTGGGAGGCCAAGCTGGGCCGATCACAAGGTCAAGAGATCGAGACCATCCTGGCCAACATGATTAAACCCCGTCTCTATTAAAAATACAAAAAAATTAGCTGGGCGTGGTGGCGTGTGCCTGTAGTCCCAGCTACTTAGGAGGCTGAGGCAGGAGAATCTCTTGAACCCGGGAGGTGGAGATTGCAGTGAGCCGAGATCACGCCACTGCACTCCAGCCTGGCAACAGAGACTCCATCTCAAAATAATAATAATAATAATAATAATAATAATAATAATAATAATAATAACGTCAGCTGGACGCGGTGGCTCACACCTGTAATCCCAGCACTTTGGGAGGCTGAGGCAGGTGGATCACAAGGTCAGGAATTCAAGACCAGCCTGGCCAGCATGGCGAAACCCCATCTCTACTAAAAATATGAAAACTAGACAGGCGTGGCAGCGGGGGCCTGTAATCCCAGCTACTTGGGAGGCTGAGACAGGAGAATTGCTTGAACCCGGGAGGTGGAGGTTGCAGTGAGCAGAGATTGTGCCACTGCACTCCAGCCTGGCCGACAGAGTGAGATTCTGTCTCAAAAAAAAAAAAAAAAAAAGTGCATTTGATAATTGTTGGGTGTTCTCTCCCTTATTTAAGTCAGGCCTCTACACAAAAGACGCCTTATCAGTAAGTCTCTGTGCTTCTACACTGCTTTATTTGCTCTTTACCACCTGATGTGTGATACACGTATGTGGTTACTTGTTTATTATTTACTTGTCCCTGTTGGAGTATCAGCACATTAAGGGCAGGGGTTTTTGTTTAGGTCTTTGCTTTATCCCCAGTGTCTACAGCATTGCTGGGCACATACATCAATAATAATACTTTTGTTCAGCACAGCCCCATTAGGTGCCTACTCTGTGCCCAGCACTGTACTAGGAATGCAAATACGGGGAAGGCATGGGTGCTGGGCTCAATGGCCTCAACGGAAGGACAGCGACCAACACATGATAAGATAATTATGATGATGGATATGGGTATAGTGTGCAACAGGAATAAAAGAAAATGGGAACAGACAGTCAGTGGGAACCTACCGGCTACCAGGCCACACTAGCCTTTGGCATCTGTTATCCCATTCAAGCCTTAGCTCCACCCTGTGAGTCAGTATTACCACTCCCATTTTCCAAGTTGGGGAAAGTCAGCTGCTAGAGTCATCTGGTCAGTAGGAACAAAGCTAGTGTTTGAGCTCAGGCTATCTGCGATCTTTCCTCCACACTCAAAGCCTTTCCAAATTCTAGAACTGTGAGCACTGAATGCTGGTCAGGGACAGCAAAAAACTACTTTCATGTACTATTGGTGAGGGCAATCAATTAGAATATCTTTGGCAAACAATTTGGCAGTATGTTGTAAGAGCTTTAAAATGACTGTGCTCTCTGCCTCAATATTAATTCTACTTCTCAGAATCTAGCCCCATTTCTAGATGGGGGTGCTACCGACATTCAGAGGGAGATAATACTTTCTTTTTGAAAAAATTCTTTTTTTCTCCAGACGGAGTCTTGCTTTGTCGCCCAGGCTGGAGTGCAGTGGCGCAATCTTGGCTCACTGCAAGCTCTGCCTCCTGGGTTCACGCCATTCTCCTGCCTCAGCCTCCCGAGTAGCTGGGACTACAGGCACCCACCACCACACCCAGCTATTTTTTTTTGTACTTTTAGTAGAGACGGGGTTTCACCGTATTAGCCACGATGGTCTCGATCTCCTGACCTCATGTTCCGCCCACCTCAGCCTCCCAAATTGCTGGGATTACAGGCATGAGCCACTGCGCCTGGCCGCATGTAGGCAATGCTTAACTTTTTAAGAAACTGCCAGGCTGTTTTGCAAATTGGCTATACCATTTTGCATTCCCACCAGTTGTGGATGAGGGTTCCAATTTCTCTACATCCTTACCAAGGTATTTTATACTATGGTAGTTCCCCCTTATCTGCAGGGGATGTGTTCCAAGACCCTCCAGTGGATGCCTGAAACCATGGATATTACTGAACCTTATATATTCTATATTTTTTTCTTATTATATACCCTTGATAAAGTTCATAAGTTAGGCATAGTAAGAAATTAACAACAATGACTAATAAAATAGAACAATTATAACAATACACTGTAATAAAAGCTATATTAATGTGGTCTTTCTCTCTCTCTCAAAATATTTTATTGTACTATATTCACCAAAACTGAAGATGAGGGGTGACTACTGTATTACTTTTCTTGACATTCTCTACTTCCCACAGTGAATTTGTTTTCTCTTATAGTCAGGAAGAATACCCTAAATTAAGTGTAACCTCTCCTAGGAGACCTCGACACTTTGCTTTGGCCACATACTACTCCTTACTCAAAGACTTAGCCTCTCCCTCTCCCATCCACGACTCCCACAGTTTTAAGTATTTGGAGTTCTTTTTCCTTTCCTTCAATGTCAGCCAGGACGCTCAGTGTGCCTGGAGTCTCTGCTCAAGGAAGTCACCCTGGACAGAGATGCAGGAGGCCTGAGAAAGAGCAATGGCCTTGGGCACAGGAAGAAGAGAACGTTACTCTAAAACAAGACCCCAATCCTGAAACCTTTTGGTGACCGCTGGTGACCTCTGGTGGCCTCTGGCCAAGCTGCGTTTAAGCCCCTTCGCCGCACTGTAAAGTTCTCCTGGGTCTCTTGTGGCCTTTCTAAGCCCCTTGTCGCCCCTGCTGCTCTCGAGTTCTGAAATCCGTCTCTGACGGATTCCTCTGGGCTCTCTAGGCCTCATCTTAGCTGCCACTTTCCTCAGGTGTCATCCCAGATACCTGGTACTAGTCTAAGTCCTCTTCCCAGAGTGCCCTGGGTAACTCTTTGCTAGTTCTGTACTGTTTCCTCAGAGAGGCTGGGCTGTCCTGGAGCCACAGCACACAGGACTTGCCCTATAGCAGGTTCACAATAAGCAGGCATTAAGCAAATGGAATGACCAGTAAAGGCTGAGCATGGTTACCCAAGAATGTAGGGAATCATGAGGGGAAGGAGGAGCAAGGGTGGCAGGGATGACAATAGATGCTGCAACAGCTTCCAAGTTCTCTTTTGCACCCCTGGAACACCTGTTCTGGAGAAATCCCTCATGACGGTCTCTGAAATACATGTATGTGAAACTTCCTCAGCCTCCTCAGCCAACCTCAACTCCTATCAGGTTGAGGTTCCCCATCCACAGCTGCTTTACCAACCAAGGAGGGTGGTTCTTTTCATTTCTCACACATGGATTATACCAAGCCTGATAATGGTACCTACCTCAGAGGGTTGCTATGAGATTATGTGAGGTGATTTATTATAAGTGTCCAGCACAGGCCTGGTGCACAGTAAACATGCAGTAGATGTATGGATACCATAGCCCCCTGCTACACGTAAGCAAACACTGGGGGACATATCCATAAGCCCAGCTGAATGACCACTAGTCACTCAGTTTCAGCTGCAGACATGGCAAAGCACAAATCCTCTCTCATATGCTTGGTAAACTGTTTGTGGATCACCCAAGTTTTAGTCTCCCTGATAAAAATCTCAGTCAATCAGATATTAACACATATTATCTCAGGTACAGTCTGTCAGCCACAGCCTTCAAAATACCCAGACACAGGAAATATCTCAATGTCACCTATAATCAGTCAAATAAACACAGGCCTGGCCAGGCATGGTGGCTCATGCCTATAATCCCAGCACTTTGGGAGGCCTAGGCAGGTGGATCACCTGAGGTCAGGAGTTCCGGGCCAGCCTAACCAACATGGTGAAAGCCCGTCTCTACCAAAAATACAAAAATTAGCCAAGTGTGGTGGCCGGTGCCTGTAATCCCAGCTACTCGGGAGGCTGACGCAGGATAATCGCTTGAACCCGGGAGATGGAGGTTGCAGTGAGCCGAGATTGCGCCACTGCACTCCAGCCTGGGCAACAGAGCAAGACTCCGTCTCAAAAATAAACACAGGCCCTCGCAGCATTTCCATCACACAGTATTATTCTGATCACAGTCATTCATAATCTTAGTCACCATCTCAAGGACACACAAAGAAAATCAGTCACACTTGAAATCCCACCGTCACACGCTCACCCTCTCACAGTATCTCACAACCCACGTAGGAAGTCTCAAACGGCAACCATCTCTGTCAGTCACACACTCCATGGTTAGTGTTACACTCAACCTATCAGAATCACACACTCCAACCCGTCAGATACACACACCCAAGAGGTGTCAGACACAGAACCGCCTATCAGACACATAAACGGGTCCGCCCCACACCCTCCCAGGCCACTGGTCCTACATTTTATCTGTTATCTGTCCGCCCGCTCCACACTTCGTCCGCCCCACACCCGGTCAATCAGTCCATCCGACACACACTCCGTCAGTCCGACACATTCTCCGTCGGTCCGTCCGGCACTCAGTGTGTCATTCCGCACCACATTCGGTCCGTGAGTCTGTCCACACCGGGTCCGTCAGTCCGTGCACACACGGTCCGTCCACGCCTGGTCCGTCAGTCCGTCACATCCTCTGCGCGTGTGTCCGGCACTCGCAGTCCGTCTACTCACGTCCCCTAGTCAGCCTCTCACTCTCTACCCGCTGGGCGGTACCCCGCATCTCGCTCTGGCCGCCCCAGAGGTTCGCGGCTTCTGGACCTGCTGTGCCCCTCTCCAGCCTGGATCAGGACGGAGAACACCCCCGAAACCCACCTCACCAGCACAGCCGGCGGACCCTTCCGGAGGTGGCCGCAGAGACTAGCCAACTTGCGCGCCCGCCGACCCGGACCACAGCTCCCAGCACACCTCAAGGGCCCACGCCCGCCAGGACTACAATTCCCGGCGTCCTCCGGAAGCTCAAGTGTACCCAGGCGCGGTGCCTGCTGGGAATTGTAGTTGACGTTGGTCAGCACGGAGGCCACAGGATCCCAGCCCGGCCTTTGTGGGACTGAGGTGGCGCTGAGTGGGAGAGCAGCAGGCGATGCGCGAAAGGCGGGACTTGGAGGTGAGGGAAATGTGAAGGCTGAGGGTGAGAGTGCCTGTGTGAGGCTGAGGGTGCCTGTGTGAGGGTGAGGGTGAGGGCGGCTGTGTGAGGGCTGAGGGCTGAGGGTGCCTGTGTGAGAGCTGAGGGTGCCTGTGTGAGGCTGAGGGTGCCTGTGTGAGGCTGAGGGTGAGGGCGGCTGTGTGAGGGCTGAGGGTGCCTGTGTGAGAGCTGAGGGTGCCTGTGTGAGGCTGAGGGTGAGGGCGGCTGTGTGAGGCTGAGGGTGGCTTTGGGAGGGCTGAGGGTGTTTGTGTGAGGGGTGAGGGGTAAGGGTGAGGCAAGAAAATCGGGTCTGGAGGCAGGGAACCTAAGGACTTCCTAGAAGTAAATCAAATGGAAACTGCAGCTATGGTAGGAAATATCCTCTCCATTTATGCAGGGCGTACATGGAGTAAATCACTTTGTAACTTTACTTCGTCCTCTTCATTTACATAGGGCATATACCAAGTAACCAATGGAAACCTCTAGAGGGTATTTAAACCCCAGAAAATTCTGTAACCGGGCTCTTGAGCCCCTATGCTCCGGCCTGCTCCCATACAGTGGAGTGTACTTTCATTTTCAATACATCTCTGCTTTTGTTGCTTCATTCTTTTCTTTGTGCATTTTGTCCAATTATTTGTTCAAGATGCCAAGAACCTGGACACCCTCCACCAGTAACAAGGGTACCTGGGTGAGAGGTGAGGGTGCCCATGTTAGGAGTGAGGGGAGAGGGTGCCTGTCTGAGGGCTTGTGGGTGTGAGTGTCTGTGTAAGTACTGAAGGTGCCTTTGTGAGAGGTGAGCGGTGTGGTTGCCTATGTCAGGGTGTGTATTGAGTGTAGCTATGTGTGGCTCTCTGTGAACACATGTAATCATTTTTATAAATGTGTATCATTTTTTACTGAATTTGAGCTGGGCGTCTGTCTGCATGAGTCACTCTGTGACCAGGTTTGTGGGTTGTTCTGTGTGCTTACTCTGCGTGTGTGTGACCTGTGATTTAATCATCATATGTGATAATCATGCAGCTGTGTTTGCCTGCACCAGGTGTAATTGTGTCTGAGACAGATACTTAGAGGTAATGGGGTGGACCTGACACAGTATAAAGGCCCTAGACTGTGTGTGATGTTGTTACGGTGACTGTGAATGGTAGTGTGATTGTGTGATTCAGTCGATGCCTGGACTGTGTGTGAGAATGTATCTTCTCTGTGTGTGTGTGTATGTGTAAGAGACATTGAGCAGGAGACTCTGGCTTGGGGCCCGATACATAGAGGTTGGTGGCCCAGCCTATGTTCAGGTGAGGCCTTTTTGAGGCAGGGTGTGTATGATTGCTTGGTGGTGCTGGTGGTGTTTCTTGGCCCCAGCCTGTGCTCACATCCCCTATTATTCTCAGACTTTGCCCTGCAGACTGCTAGCAGCTGGAATGAGCATATATTCTTTTCCTTCCACAGATAAATACTGAGCACCCACAACAGGCAGCCAGCACCACTGCAGATTGGATACTGCAATGATGATAAGCATGGCCTGCCTTTATGGAGGTGATGTTATTGTGTGGGGAGGCAGATGGTAAACAAAGAAGTCATTTTTCTGAGAAGTTGGTATTTAAGCTGAGGCCTGAATAGAGCGAAGAACTCAGGGAGAGTAAGTTCAAGGTAGATGGAACACAAATGCCCACGTCAGGAGGAGGCATGGATGAGGAAGACTGGCTGGGGTGGATTAAGGGAAGGAGATGGGAGGGGACAAGGACAGAAAAGGGAGGCCTGTGGGGGCAGATCTTGAAGGGCTTGTGAGCCACATACGACTTTGTTTATTTATTTTTTGTAGAGACAATGTCTCACTGTGTTGCCTAGGCTGCTTTTGAACTCCTGGCCTCAAGCAATCCTCCTGCCTCAGCCTGTCAAAGTGCTGGGATTACAGGCGTGAGCCACCACACTTGGCTCACATACAGACTTTGATTTCCACCTTGAGAGAAGTGGGAGCTATGGGAGGCCTTTGAGCAGAGGAGGGCTGTGCTGTGACTTAGCTCTTCATAGGAATTCTCTGGCCGCTGCAGGAGAAGACTGTCAAGATGAGAGTGGAGTCAGGGAGACCAAAGATGCAATTGCTTTGAGAGTACTGGCACCTGAGGCAGGTAGCTCAGATCAGGGTGGTCAAACGGTGGTGTGGTAGAGATGCTAACAGGTGGTCAGATCTGGATCTGTTTTGAAGGTGTATCAGGGGTGTCCACTCTTTTGGCTTCCCTGGGCCACATTAGAAGAATTGTCTTGGGCCACACATAAAATATACTAATGATGGCGGATGAGTTTATTAAAAATCGCAAAAAAAATCTCATAATGTTTTAAGAAAGTTTATGAATTTGTGTTGGGCTGCATTCAAAGCTGTCCTGGGCCACATACAGCCCGTGGGCTGTGGGTTGGACAAGTTTGGTATAGATGATAGGGTTGATGGGTTGAACTACAGTGTCCAAGGGGTGAGCAAGGCTGACCCAGGTGCCTGATAGTGCCCTCTGATTATGGGTGGGAGGAGGGTGTATTAGTTTGCTAGGACTGCCATAACAAAATACCACAGATTTGGTGGCTTAAACGATAGTTTAAAGTTTATTTTCTGGGCCAGGCACGGTGGTTCATGCCTGTAATCCCAGCACTTTGGGAGGCTGAGGTGGGCGGATCATGAGGTCAGGAGATCGAGACCATCCTGGCTAACAAGGTGAAACCCCGTCTCTACTAAAAATACAAAATAAATAATAAATAAATAAAATAAAATCAGCCGGGCGTGGTGGCAGGTGCCTGTAATCCCAGCTACTAGGGAGGCTGAGGCAGGAGAATGGCGTGAACCCGGGAGGTGGAGTTTGCAGAGATCCGAGATCACGCCACTGCACTCCAGCCTGGGCGACAGAGCGAGATTCCATCTCAAAAAAAAAAAAATTTTTTTTATTTTCTGACAGATCTGGAGGCTGGAAGTCCCCAGATCAAGGTGTCAACAGGTTTGGTTTCTCTTGAGGCCTCTCTCCTTGGCTTGTAGATGGCTGCCTTCTCACTGTGTCCTCACATGGCATTTCCTCTGTTTGCACATGCCCCTACTGTCTCTCTCTCCTTATAAGGACACCAGTCATGTTGGATTAGGACCCATCCATATCTTCTTTAACCTTAATTACTTATTTAAAGGTCTTATCTTCAAATACAGTCATATTCTGAGGTATACTGGGGGTTAGGACTTCAATATATGAATTTTGGGGGGACACAATTCAGTCCATAACGGGTGAATGGACAGTGGCATCAGTGTGGGGATCCTTAGACCCCTTTTCAGGGAGATTCTAAGGAGGAAACGAGCGAGATAGGGCAGCAGCTGGAGGGGACTCTGGTGTCAGGGAGAGGAAGAAGAGCCCTGGTTGACATTTAATGGGTATAGGGTGACTTGGAAAGCCAATGGAATCTCTCCTCATTGGCTCCTTTTCTGCCTAGATTGTGAGTCTGTGCTGTTAGGCCTGAGAGGGGTCCTGCCCTTTACATAGCCGAGGCCAGGGTATCCTTGATGCCTTGTACAGGGCTAGGTACTAAGAGTTGGCTGAGGAATGACTGAATGACTGGCAGACCAACAATGTTCCCTTGCCTGGAGCTGCATAGCTGGATTCTCCTCATTCATCTCCTGCACCCACCATGGCACCTGTAGTCAATACTGCAGACCTTGGAAGGCCCTTTCCCTTGGCCACCCCTTTTGTGCTTGTGCTCTGTTCAATCAGCATTCTGGCCTCTGGACTCTCCTGAGTGGATGCTCCTCCTTTCCTCTCTCCCTTTGTCTCTTTCTTATCCTCTCCCCAGATTTCAAACCTTATCTTTTTCAGGGAGTATTCACTTTAATTTGGCAATTGTATCAGCTATTGCTCTGTAACAAACAGCTACGACACCTCTGTGGCCCACAGCAAAAAAAGTGCTTATTTTTGTCATGTGTCTGAGGGTTGGCTGATCTGGGCTGGGCTCAGCTGGGCTTGGCTCTAGGCTGCAGTTTGGGTCCAGGTCTGCTGTATTTGTCTTGCAAGGCTCACAGGAAAAATTCTTCTCATCCTGATGGCAGAGACACAATGGGCTTTAGGCCTGGACTCAGGACTAGCATGCTATCACTTCCACTTAGATTCTGTTGGCCAAATCAAGTCACATGGCCACACCCAAACTCAAGGAATGGGTGGGGACATCAAATTTGCCTTTACTGGGAAGAACCATAAATATGGCCGTGGGTGTATATATGCAAGGAGCAGTGAAGAATTGAGCTAGTAATTCAATCCACTACAATAATACTTTTGGTTTCTTTTCCTTCCATGTAGAAAGCCAACAAAATCATTTGTGACCCTGGTTTCTTTCAGTTCAAGGCATGTGGTGATCATGCTGCCTAAGAGTATCTTTGTTTACCTGAGGACCTTGGGCCATGCCAAGTATTTGTCAACAATGTGATTTATGGTGAGGATCTTAGGCCACACTGTAACAGTCTGACCACTAGAGGGGTGGGAGACTAAGTGACTAAAGTCAGTCAGGTGGGCACTCCATGCCCACTAGATCATCACCTAGTAAATGTCCTGAACACCAAGGCTTGGGTGAGCTTCCTTGGTTGATGCTACTCTATATTGTCACTCAGCGCTGGGAGAATTCAGCAGTCTCTACAACAGCTGTACCTCCTCTCTTCTGGTTGCTGCCCTACGCATCTTTTATCTTTGTGATTTTAATCTGTATCCTTTGACTATAAACCGTAAATGTTAAGTATATCAGTTTTCTATGTTCCTCTAGTGAATCTTCACACCTGAGGATCTTGGGGACCCCCGCATAGAGGCCAGCTAGAGGCTAGATCTCAGCCTGACAGCCAGAGAACCCCTGAGCAATGTTACAGGGGAGAGTGGGAACACATGCAGGGCTCCCAGGAAGCATTTAATCAACATCTGGATTGAGCAGTGGCTCCCAGTTACTACTTTGCGTTTGCCTCAAGTCAGCTAAATGGGTCAACTTGCTTCTTCAGGTGGAACCCAATCATTCCATTGTCTCCCATGCTCAATAGGACTTTATATTCTAGAACTGCCTCCTCAGTTCTAGAATTCCAGTAAATACCTCTGGGCATTGGTAAAAGGGAAGGAAATACTTCTGCCACCTTGGCCTTATCCATTAACTCAAGTATTTTCGTCCTGAAAAGTGAGTGCCTTTTAGCTAGGGGCACTGGGCAAGTGATTTAACCTCTCAAAGTCTCAGCTCCCTGATGTATGAAGTGGGAATAAAAATACATCCCAGGCCGGCTAAGAGGATGGAATGGGACAATCTACTTAAAGTGCTTCTAAAGTGCTCAGTAAAATCTTAACGAACATCATCACTGTCTCAACTAGTTTTAGTGACGTCCTCATGCTGAAGCTGAGGAACACACAAAATTTTCTTCTTAAAGAGCTAGACTCTGTGACACACACTTCAGCATATAAATTTTACCTTTTTGGTTCTGGGCAATAAAACCCCAAACTATATGGTCTACCTTAATACAAGGCACAAACAACTGCAAAAGCATCTTTTAAAAATATGTATTTTTTTGGGCGGGCGCAGTGGCTCATGCCTGTAATCCCAACACTTTGGGAGGCCGAGGTGGGTGGATCACGAGGTCAGGAGTTCAAGATCAGCCTGGCCAAGATGGTGAAACCCCATCTCTACTAAAAATACAAAAAGCTGGGTTTGGTGGCGGGGGCCTGTAATCCCAGCTACTCGGGAGGATGAGGCAGGAGAATCACTTGAACCCAGGAGGCGGAGGTTGGCAGTGAGCCGAGATTGCGCCACTGCACTCTAGCCTGGGCGACAAAGCAAGACTCCGTCTCAAAAAAACAAAAAAACAAAAAACAAAAAAACCCACATTTTTTAAATTTCATTTTTGTCTTGGCAAAAACTGAAATAAAGTCTTCTAGGACTGCTGAGAGGAAACCTGTTCATACCTGTGTACCTCCTACCACTTGGTTAGCATCCATGGGAATCTAATTAAAGTGGAAGTGGCCATTGTGCCCCTTGATAATTATGGAGAAGTATCTCCATGTGACATCTGAAAGACATATCCTAGGCCCACTCCCAGCTTCCTCACCCGCCCCGGTGACCCTGAAGGGAGAAATGTATAATAGGGGCTTCTCACACTGACCCTGATTTCCTCACACTCACAGTCCCTCTTCACCTGCCACCCCGGTGCAAAGGACAACACACCAAGGATAGATGGGAAGATCTCTGCCATATTTGGCACATGCCCAGTTCACTGACATACAAGAACCAAAGCGTCACTGAGGGCTTTCTGATATCCATGTATTCACATGGTTTTCCCTGGGAATGAATTCTCTGGTGCTGGGCCAGGAATCTGCTTTGGCGGAAGGCTTTGCCACACTCACAACACTCAAAAGGGCTTCTCTCCAGGGAATCCTCTCATGTAGTACAAGAGTTGTGGCCTCCTGGAAGGTTTTCTGACATATATGGCATATGAATGGCTTGGTACATGCATGCACATGCTGGTGCTGCGTGAGGTGTGTGCCACGGCTGAAAGGGTCGTTCCCCAGCGTGTACCTGGTAATACTCGGTGAGGTGTGACATCTGGATGCAGGACTTGCCACACTCATTCCACTTGTAGGGCTTCTCCCCATTGTGAGTCCTCTGATGGAGGGCGAGGGATGAGGTTTGCATGAAGGCTCTTCCACAGTCACCACACATGAAGGGCTTCTCTCCCATGCGGACTTGCTCATGCTGGGTGAGAAACTTGCTGTGGCTGAAAGTCTTCCCACATTTTCCACATGCATAAGGATGCTCGCCTGTGTGCACCCGCTGGTGTAGGACCAGGGCTGAGGAGTCACCGAATGGCTTCCTTTACTCACCACGTATGTACGGCTTCTCACCGCTGTGGATCTTGAGGTGCTGGGTCAGGTAGGACCCCTGGCTGAAGGCCTTTCCACATTCTGCACACACATAGGGCCACTCACCTGTGTGTACCTGCTGGTGCTTGCTGAGGGATGAGCTGTGGCTGAAAGCTTTCCCACATTCCTGACACGCATACAGCTTCTCTCCCGTGTGGCAGCGTATGTGCTCAGCCAGGGACAAGCTGGGGCTGAATGCCTTGCAGCATACCCGGCACTCGTAGGGCCTCTCACCCGTGTAGGTTCCGTGGCATGCAAGGAGGGCCGAGAAGTCAGCAAAGGCTTTGCTGCTCTTGGCAGGCAAATGGCTTTTCCCCGGTGTGGAATCACCAGTGCTGTACAAGGTGTGTGCTCTCGCTGAAGGTGCGTCCACACTCACCACACACGTATGGCTTCTCACCTGTGTGCACACGCTGGTGCTTGGCAAGGGATGAGCTCTCTCGGAAGCACTTGCCACAGTGGCCACACATGTAGGGCTTCTCGCCTGTGTGGACGTGCCAGTGCTTGACTAGAGATGAATTGTTGCTGAAGGTACACCCACATTCCTGGCATGCATACAGCTTCTCACTGGTGTGCTGAACAAGGTGACTTCTCTGTCCAAAGGCCTTGCCACACTCTTCGCACGTACAGGGTCTCCTTTTGTTGGGAATCTGCTGATAGCTCACAAGGCACGTGTTCTTGCCAAAGGTATCTTCCCACCCACTACATGGCAGTACACCCTCCCCAGCGTGGACTCCTTGTGGCTGATTAAGGTCTGGGAAACAGCTGCAGGCCTCCCCACATACACCCTCTCCTTGGCAGGAGCACCCCTGATCTAGGACGGAAACACACGTGAGATCGTTTTCCAGAATGTGGTTAGGGGTGGCTTGTGTCTCTGGGGGAGTGCCCTGATATTCAGTAACAAATGGATGCCAGCTGGAAATTCCTGCCAGGCTCCACTCTCGGCTCTTCATGCCACTGACTGACCATATCCCAGCTCTGGGCCTGTTTCCTAGTTTCCTCACTAAGCTGAGCACATGTACGTCTGTAAAAAATATACATGTATTTTTGAAAGCACAAAGTTTCACATCTCTGCCTGCCAGTCACTTACCAAACAACCTTTGGTTTAACTTTTCTGTGCCCCAGTTTCCCAACCTGTAAAAGAGGGTAATGATGATAGCTCCCCTTTGATTGGTTGAGAGTACCATCAAAGGTGTTTGCTGAGCAGCCTGACCTGCAGGAGGTGCTCAGGAAAGGGGAGCTGCTGCTGTCATTTGGTGGAAGTGGGTCCCCTTATTTGGCTAGCAGGGCCTGAACACTGCCACACTCCAACACATTGTCTCCACGTTAAGGAACTCAGCATCACACAGCAAGCCCTCGAGAAGCCCACAGCCAGAGGCAGTGTGGGGGCAGCAGCATAGATGGCTGTGGCTGCCTGTGGGGACCCAGCCTAGGTCCAGAGGAGGTACCCAGATGAGGTGGGGTGTCTGTGTGGACGGCTTTCTGTTTTAGAGGCAGGCGTCTGAGGCACAGCTCTTAAGCATCAAATCAGGAAGCCTCTTTCTGTGGAGCCCCAAGCCCAGTGACCCCCTTGCCTTCCTGGGAGTCAGGAGCAGAAGGAGGGTGTGCAAGTGGCATGGCTCTAGGCAGCAAAGATGCCATGAGGTGTTCGTGTTCTGTTTCACAGTCTTTCCACAGAGTGATGCCATTCCATCCTCCTGGGAGTCTGTCCCCATCATACTCACCATAACTCAAGGCATCTGCTAGCCAGATAAGGGGACCCACTTCCACCAAATGACAGCAGCAGCTCCCCTTTCCTGAGCACCTCCTGCAGGTCAGGCCACCCAGCAAACACCTTTGGTGGTACTCTCAACCAATCAAAGGGGAGGTATCATTACTCTCTTTTACAGGTTGGGAAACTGGGGCACAGAGAAGTTAAACCAAAGGTTGTTTGGTAAAGTGACTGGCAGGCGGGGACGTGAAACTTTGTGCTTTCAAAAATACATATACATGTTTTACAGAATTACAAGTGCTCAGCTTAGTGAATTTGGTAAATGCACAGCCCTGTGTAACTAGCATTCAAATTAAATTCTAGAATGTTCTGTGAGGATGGAAAAGTTCTGGAGTTGTGCTGTCCAATATGGCACCATCAGTGTCAGGTAGCTCCTGAGTACTGGAAACATAGCTGGTGTGACTGGGACATGGAACTTGTAATTTTATTTGAATTTAATCATAACTACCATATTGGACAGCGCAGGGCTAGGACATTTCAGCACCTTAGACAGCTCCCCTGTAGTAAGTAGCCCTTCCAGGAAAGGTGTCCCAGCCTAATTTTTTTTTTTTTTTTTTAAGACGTAGTTTTCCTCTTTTGTCCAGGCTGGGGTGAAATAGTGCAATCTTGGCTCATTGGAAGCTCTGCCCCCCGGATTCAAGCGCTTCTCCTGCCTCAGCCTCCCGAGTAGCTGGGATTATAGGCACCTGCCACCATGCCAGGATAATTTTTGTATTTTTAGTAGAGACAGGGTTTTGCCACGTCAGCCAGGCTGGTCTCGAATTCCTGACCTCAGGTGATCTACCCTCCTTGGCCTCCCAAAGTGCTAGGACTACAGGCATGAGCCACCGCGCCCAGCCCAGCCTCTTCTTGAACTTCATGAAAATTATGTGCCCTGTTATAGTCTGAGGCCTCAGCTCCATGCTATCAGGCTTCAAGGACAGCAGCCACAGGATACCTCTATGAGGACTATGTGAGAACAAAGTGAGATGTCAAGTGGGTGAGTGCTCTAAAGAGAAAAATTGATCATTCCTGCTGTACTGAATTCAGGTCCTAACAGAGACTCCCAGGAGGAAGGGCAGATGTGGGGCCTTTTGTTCCTTCCCACGAGACAAGAGTACTGAACAGACTATTTGGGCCCTGATTTGCCCATTACCCACACCTTCCTCCCCATCTTATTCCTAAGCTGAGAATGGCAAGTATGATGGTAGAGGCTGTCAGATCTAGGATCAAATCTTCACCACTCTCTGCTGTAATTCTGGGCTGCTCACCTCCCTTGGGGTCTGTTTCCTATCTATAAAATGGAACCTCCTGTGAAAAGCTTTTTGCTCATTAAGGAATGAATTACATTTAACAAAGTTTTGGATTTTATTAATAAAATGTATGGACATGTTTTTCTCTTGTTAGATAGGTACCTTTGTAACATTCTTGGTTTTCTCTCTGAGCCTACAAAGCTGACATTTGCTGCTTGTGTGTTTTTTGTTTGGTTTTTGAGACAGAGTTTCGCTCGTTGCCCAGGCTGGAGTGCAAAGGCACGATCTTGGCTCACCACAATCTCTATGTCCTGGGAACAAGCGATTCACCTGCCTCAGCCTCCCGAGTAGCTGGGATTACAGGCATGCATCACCACGCCCAGCTAATTTTTTGTATTTTTAGTAGAGACAGGGTTTCACCATGTTGGCCAGGCTGGTCTCATAGGCCCAACCTCAGGCCTGCCTCAGCCTCCCAAAATGCTGGGATTACAGGCATGAGCCACTGCGCCCAGCCTGCTGCTTGTGTTTTACAGAAGAGTTTGCCAACCATACTCTGATGGCCTGGGCAGTGATGGAGGGTTTAAAGAGAGGGGTGGCCTCATCAGTCAGGGGTAAAAGACCCTCTCTACCCAATGCTGAGTGGAGAGTGATGAAGGGGGCAACGGGAGGCAGGAGAACCATGAGGAGGTAGTGGTGTAGAGCAGGCTGAGGAAGGCAGGGCAGTGGAATGAAGGCAGCAGAAGCAGGGTGTGTTTTAGAGGGATATCTGGTTTCTGAAAACATCTAGCCCTGTACCTGCCTCCTGTGCCACTGTGACTGCCACCCCACCATCTACCTCACTCGGCACCTCAGGCTCCATCACCTCACCCTCTCTCTGTCTCCACATTGCTTGGCCTCAGCAGCTACAGGGTAGGGGGCACCCGAGGTCTCAGTCCTGGGCAGAGGTCCCAGGTTGCTAGTGACTCTTGCAGAGACAGGTTTGTTTCCAGGGCCACTGCCGCCTTCTCTTTGATCCTACACATCAGTGTGGCTCTAGGCTCCTGGCTTTGACTTCAGGGGCCCAGGCCTGGGATTCTGGAAAATGAAGTATGGCTAATGAGCACAGGCAGCAAGGAGTGGGTGTGGTCATGGCCATGCATACAGGCACTCCTCGGACAAACAGATACACCCAGGCCAGGCTCTTCACAAGCCTAGGTCCCACCCATGGCCTCCCCTTCCCAAATTAAAAATATACATCCACACAAACACCTGTACATGAATTTTCACAGCAGTAGCATTTATAATATCAGAGAGTTGGAAACAACCCCAATGTCTATGAACTAATGAGTAAACAAACTGTGGTATATCCATACAATGCAGTATTATTCAGCCATAAAGAGGAATGAAAAACTGATACATGCTACAACATGGATGAACTCTGAAAACGTTCAGTGGTAAAAAGCCAGACACAAGAAACCACATATTGTATGACTCCATTTATATGAAGTGTCCAGAAGAGGCAAATCTAGACATATAACGTGGATTAGTGGTTGCCAGAGGCTGGAGGAAGAGCGAATAGGCAGTGATGATAAGGGGTATGAGGGATACTCACACACCTGAGGTCACACCTGCACATACAGGTGGCATCAACACATGCAGGACTGTCGCGGTTGCTTCTGGACCGAACGAAGGACGACGAATGCAGAAATGAGACAGACAAAAGGATCTGTTTGAAAGAAGGGGTCAGGGGGCTCCTTGATATTAGGGAACAGGGACCTGAGCTTTTACAGCCCTTCATATTTATTAGGTAGAGTGAATAGGGAGGAAGGGATAACTGTCGGTCAGCTATTTGATTTAACACAGGCCCACATGATTCCTTTCTTTGTTCAACAGGTTCTGGATGTTCCTGTGGATAACCTCAAGGAGCACGGGACCTGGGACATGACTGCCCCCAGCATTCCTTCTGGCGGCAGACAGAGTTTGTCAGTTCGCCAACATCCTGCTTTCATGAGAACAGTTTGCTGTTTGCTCACAGAGCCTCCAGTGGTATACTGAGTTGGTCACGACCCTCATTCCTTCGGCCTCCAACATCTCCCCTTTTGTTTTTGCATTAATTGAATAAAGGTAATTTCAGGCTGTGCAGCTTTCAATTGCCGGTTGGTGGTTCACCCGATCCTATAGACTATGAGCAAAAAAACAGAGACATAACAACATTATTCTTGTAATTATTATAAAAGAGACATTGAAGTTATGTTTAAGGTAGGTCCAAGGGTTGAGGCTTTTTTTTTTTTTTTTTTTTTTTTGAGATGGAGTCTCGCTCTGTCACCCAGGCTGGAGTGCAGTGGCGCCATCTTGGCTCACTGCAAGCTCTGCCTCCCGGGTTCACGTCATTCTCCCACCTCAGCCTCCTGATTAGCTGGGACTACAGGTGCCCGCCACCACACCCAGCTAATTTTTTTGTATTTTTAGTAGAGATGGGGTTTCACTGTTTTAGCCAGGATGGTCTCGATCTTCTGACCTCGTGATCTGCCTGCCTCGGCCTCCCAAAGTGCTGGGATTATAGGCGTGAGCCACCGCACCCGGCCAGGGTTGAGGCTTTCTAAGCCCTGCTGGAATTCTGTTTAAGCTTCTAAAAAGGGCTGTTATTTTTGAGTTTGCTTATTCAAGTTAAGAATTTTACTCTGTAAGTTACTGATATCAAAAGTAATATTGGATGTAAAAGCTCCCTGCAAATGAGCTTTTACAAGGTTCCATGGATATTCACTTTGGTTCTATTCCAAATTGGTCACACAAATATGAATATGATTGAAATGACAGTGCAATTGCTGCTACAATTGCAAACTTTGTACCTGCTTTCCCAGCCACAGAACAGTAGCCTTTAACATTGCTACCTTTGTTTGTAATTCGGTATTAATTTTATTTTGAAGCATCCATGCCTGGTTGGCTGTACATGTCCAATTTTCTACATATTGGGCTGTTTGAATAGAACTATGTAGTGCTACTGAGGACACTACAACCGAGGTTATTAGTGTGACTAAGGAGATTACAGTAAAAATTACTATGTTTAAGGCTTTACGTGCACGATGAGTGAGCTGGGTAAGAAGGAGTTTTACAAAATGTAAAGCAGGGGTGGCAGCCCAAGGTTTGCACAAATTGACAGGGATCCATAATCCAGGGATACGACCCAGAATTATTAGAGTGGATATGTTGTGTGTTTGTATTGTGCTATGATTGAGGCAGTGATACAGTTGACAAGAGTCACAAGTCAACTGGGTGATGTTTACGTGGAGTTGGTCCTTCTTAGATGCTAGAAAAACATAGGGATTAAAAACACAAACTGGCCGGGCATGGTGGCTCACGCCTGTAATCCCAGCACTTTGGGAAGCCAAGGCGGGTGGATCACGAGGTCAGGAATTCAAGAGCAGCCTGGCCAAGAAGGTGAAATCCCGTTTCTATTAAAAATACAAAAAACAAAAAATAGCCTGGCACGGTGGCGGGTGCCTGTAATCCCAGCTACTCGGGAGGCTGAGGCAGACAATTGCTTGAACCCGGGAGGCAAAGGTTGCAGTGACCCGAGATTGCGCCACTGCACTCCAGCCTGGGCGACAGAGTGAGACTCCATCTCAAACAGTTAACAACAACAACAAAAAACCCACAAACCGTAAATTGAGTGGTAATATTTTTTACAAAGGTGATATTAAAACTGTGTTGAGTAATATTACTATTGTTGGATAATGTTCTGACCCAGATGCTGTTATTCATAAATGGGAGTGTTGCCTTCCATATCGATTCCTGAATTGGGCCTCTGTTTCCTAGATGACGTCACTGAGGTAAGGGCGGGTTAAAGCCTGTCCTATACCAAGCAAGTTGTGCAGCCAACTGGGGGACTGAATCCCAGTGTGATGTGATGAAGAGGTGTTGAAGGTCCACCACCAGTGCCAGTGAAGTTTGTGCCAAGAGGTCTGATTTTCATCTCTCCCCTCTAAATGGCCACGGGGACCCCAGTCAATGTTTCCCATTAACATAGACTGTTGTCTGGCCAAGGGGCCAAGACACTGGGTCCAAGGAGGGGGGTGAGAAATATCAAAGGGAGCCCATTCCATATAATCCATACAATTTGAGTGATGGGGCTAGGAGTGATTGGTGAACACGCCAGTAACATTAATAAAGCTGAGGCCTAATAAATACATAATTTTTCCATGGTGACTTAACCATGCCTGAGATTGGACTGCAAGACAGCTGCAGTTGAGTGACGTATCCATGGTGATACATAAAGGGAGTCCTTCCAATGGGCCGGTGTAATTGATGCTATTGCTCTGTGTCAGACGGAGTTAGGGGTCCTGGTGCCCACGCTCCCTGATCATAATATATCTCAGGAGGAGTGTCGCTCCAGAGTACCAGTCGTACTACCAGTGGGTTAGGAACATATGCCCAATATGTTTTTGCCTCTACACAGGGGAAACATACCGCACAGGACACTACAGCTAGCATGGCCAAGAACATGGAGTCAGGGGTTTTTGCCTGACCCTGGCGCTCCAGTAGTTTCTCAGCTTCTTGTGTCGTTTTCTTGATCTGTCCCCATGTTATGGGGTTGGATGTCATTGTGACTCCGGTCGGCCCTTGTTCTGTCTTTGCATTCAGATTCCGCTGGCTCATGGCTCGTACTGGAGGTAACAGGCCCACGGTTGAATACCATGGATCCCTCCGGTCTCCCGTTCCATGGTCACACACACCTGGAGGGCACCCACACGGTTTGTCCATCTCCTGTAAAAACACAAGCATACCCTCGTCCCCACGTCAGCAAATCCACCGGACCTTTCCATTGTCCTTCTTCTGGGGATTTCCATAACACTTTTGGATAAACTTGCCTCTTTTCCTCTAGCAGTTGCCAGTGTCGTTCTGCTGGGGTCTTGCCATCCGTACCAGGAGTCAAACAATTTAAAGTAAACAAGGCTAAATGTAATTTTGTTTGAAGTGGTAATTGGTCCCCTATTCTCCCTTTTTGTTTTTTCAGCATGCGTTGTAGTGTTTGATGTACCCGCTCAATAATGCCTGGCCCTCAGGGATTGTATGGAATTCCTGTTTTATGATTGATTGCCCACAATTGTAAAAAATTGGGAAAGCATGACTAACATAAGCGAGTCCACTGTCAGTTTTAAATTGTTTAGGGACCCCCATATGGGCAAATGACGACAGACAGTATCGTCAGACATGACCAGCTGTTTCCCCAGTTTGGCATGTGGCATGTAACATATGGGAGTAAGTGTCTATATTACATGAACATAGCGGAGTTAGCCAAAGGCTGCTATATATATGTAACATCCATCTGCCAGATTTCATTTGGAGCCAAGCCTCGTGGGTTGCATCCTTCCACAGGTGCAACACCAGGGACATGCTGGCAAGTGGGGCAGGCTTGCACAATAACTCAAGCCTGGCTGCGAGGCAGATGAAACATACGAGTAAGGGCAAGTTGTTCTGATGCAGTAAAGCATGGGAAGCTTGGGCTTGTTGAAATATAGAACTGATGAATTTATCTGCTCTATCATTACCTAGAGATAGTGGCCCCAGGAAGTTGTGTGTGAGATCGGATATGAGAAATATGAAAAGGGGCAGCATGAGAGCGAACAGCTTTTTGGAGTCTCAGAAATAGGTTAAGCAGTTCTGGTTTTAAGGTGCTCTTGTGTGGGCGGCAAGCCATCCAGGCGCCGAAGCAAGAGACAGAGGACACGGGCTGTTCCAGTATAATAAAATATAAAACAAGAATAGTTATACCAGATATAGATCTTAGATATGATTATATATGAATATCATTAATCATTAGTTTGTAGCAATTACTTTTTATTCCAATATTACAATAATCCTTGCTCTATAATCATAGCCTAGGAAAAACCAGGCCATACAGAGATAGGAGCTGAGGGGACATAGTGAGGTGTGACCAGAAGACAAGAGTGCGAGCCTTCTGTTATGCCCAGACAGGGCCACCAGAGGGCTCCTTGGTCTAGTGGTGACGCCAGCGTTTGGGAAGACCGTGGTCTAGCGGTAGCGAAAAGTGTCAAGGAACAACACCCGCTACTTAGCAGACCGGGAAAGGGTGGGGGGCGGTCTCCCTTTCCCTGGGGGAGGTTAGAGAAGACTCTGCTCCTCCACCTCTTGTGGAGGGCCTGACATTAGTCAGGCTCGCCCACAGTTATCCGGAGGCCTAACCGTCTCCCTGTGATTCTGTGCTTCAGTGGTCACGCTCCTAGTCCGCCTTCATGTTCCATCCTGTACACCTGGCTCTGCCTTCTAGATAGCAGTAGTAAATTAGTGAAAGTACTAATAGTCCCTGATATGCAGAAATAATGGCGTAAGCTGTCTTTCTCTCTGTCTCCTCTCCCTCTCTGCCTCGGCTGCCAGGCAGGGAAGGGCCCCCTGACCAGTGGACACATGACCCACGTGACCTTACCTATCATTGGAGATGACTCACACTCTTTACCCTGCCCCTTTTGCTTTGTATCCAATAAATAAGAGCGCAGCCAGACATTCGGGGCCACTACCGGTCTCCGCGCATTGGTGGTAGTGGTCCCCCAGGCCCAGCTGCCTTTTATCTCTTTGTCTTGTGTCTTTATTTCTACACTCTCTCGTCGCCGCACACAGGGAGAGACCCACCGACCCTGTGGGGCTGGTCCGTACACTCTTGATAGTGGCAGTTTTAATGCAACTAGCTACATTTACGACATAGGCTGAATTACAGACAATATTAATAGGAAATAAAGCTGTGAGCTTTAAAACTTGAATAACTGCCATTAATTCAGAGTGTTGAGCTGAAACTCTAGGGGTCTTTATTATTTAAGTATATTTAGGTCCATAAATGGCTGTGTGGCTTTTGGAAGAGCCATCGGTAAAATAGGTCTGTCCACCTGAAATGGGTTTGTGATGAGCAATCACAGGGGGAATAAAAGGGTGAATTTTATAAAACTGCAAAATTTTGTCTGATGGATAATGGTTATCTATTATTTCTACAAAATCTGCGAAAGTGATTTGCCATGCAGTGGACATCTCCCAGGCCGCAGCCTGTTGTTGGGAATCCAAGGTAACAATAATTTTATCAGGATCATATCCTGTAAGCATTTTTGATCTATGCCTGCCTATTGTTATAAGTTGTGTGACTAAAGCAAGATAAACTTGCAAAGATTTTACTGTTTGACTGGATAAAAAAAGCCATTCTATTACCATTATAGTTTTGTCTATGAATTGAGCTAAAAGTCCTGATGGAGAATGGGGGGTAGGAAGAATAAACAAAACCAAAGACTTTTGTGGTTGTAGCCAGGAGGCATGTCGTTGCTGAAGCATCTTTCTACAAGCTGTAATTCAGCTTCTGCCTCCTTAGTAAGTTGCCGAGGGGAATCTAATGAAGAATCTCCTTGGAGGGTTTGATAAACATGAGTGAGTTGATAAGAAGCAATACCTAGCATTGGGCGCAGCCAATTAATATCCCCTAAGTTATTCAGAGTTTGTAATTTGTTCTTACGAAGAGCTACTTTCTGAGGCTGAATACTTTTTTCAGTAACAGTAGTATCTAAGTATTGGTATGAGGAGGTTGTTTGTACCTTTTCAGGAGCTATTTTGAGATTCCATTTAGTTAAAGCCCATTTTATTTCTCTGAATAACTGGTATAATACTTGATCTGTAGGAGTGGCCAAAACAATATTATCCATATAATGAATGATGTAGGTGGTGGAAAACATATTCCGAGGCTCCTTCAATGCTTTTCCTACAAAATGCTGACATAACGTAGGACTGTTGAGCATGCCTGGGGTAATAAAACTTTTCATTGATCACAAGAGACAGGCTCTCTCTGATTAATAGAAGGCACAGAGAAGGCGAATTGAGGCTTGTCCTTCTTGTGTAATGGTATAGTGAAAAAACAGTCTTTAAGATCTATTACTACAAGAGGCTAATCTCTTGGAATGGTTGCCGGGGATGGCAGACCTTGCTGTAATGCACCCACTGGTTTAATTTGTGCATTAACAGCTCTCAAATTATGCAGCAGTTGCCATTTTCCTGACGTTTTGGGGGTCACAAATACTGGTGAATTCCAAGCACTAACTGATACTTTTATATGTCCTGCATCCAATTGCTTTCTTACCAGCTGATGGAGTTGAGTCAGTTTTCTCCTGTGATAGGGGCCATTGATCCACCCACACAGGTTTATCAGTCAGCCACTCTAGCAGCAAGGCAGTGGGTGGAGAAGAAGTATCAATGACCCCTATCAGAAATCCTGATGACCTAGCCCTTTCCTATCTGTTTGCCCAGTTACCGATACCGGACCGGGGTTTCCCTGTAGGAACTTTCCCAAGCCTTTCCCACTCTGATATCCCATTTCCTTCAATATTTTAAATCCTGGATTATCAACCTTTTCATTTGTAAGTCTCACATCCCATGCTGTAAGTAAATCTCAGCCCCAGAGATTAACACGTATATTTGCAACATAAGGTTGAAAAGTACATGGCTGTCCATCTGGACTGACACAAAGTAAAATTTCAGCACTCTGTTAAACACTTTGAGCTGTTCCTACTCCCACTAAGGATGCAGAGGTTAGTAGCAGGGGCCAATTGTTTTTGGATATTACTGAAACATCTGCTCCTGTGTCCATACACCCACAACACTTCTTTCCTTTAATTTGCACTGCACAGGTGGGTCAATTAGAAGCTATGGGTTGGGATAGGTAAATTTCCTGTGTAGTTGTACTCCCAAATTCTTGATTTCCTCTTTTCTCCTTTCGTGAAGAAGGGTGTAATTTGCAGAGAATAATAATAAGCAATAGCTGAGCAATATATTTCCCAGGTTTAAAAACCCAAAGATCTTGTGACATTACAATTACTTGAATTTCTCCTTCATAATCAGAGTCAACAATCCAGGGATCACAGTAATGCCCTGTAAGTTCAGATGGCTTTGGCCTAAAATTAATCCTGTATATCCTGTTGGCAAAGGTTCCCAAATGCCTGTGGGAATTCTGGTGGGTTTGTCTCCTCCAACTAACGTGACCCATTCTCTGACTGAGCGATCTAATCCTGCACTCCCCGGTGTTCCAGAGGAGAGGGAGTCAATGTTCCTCCAGGAACCCACCCCTGTAGCAGGGTTGTGGCCTGGATGGGGAATGCCCTCATTGTTTGAGGGGCCCAGGCCCCATTCTCATTTCCTGAGAGCGGGGTGCCATTCTGATGAAATTTTGAGCAACACTGATTAGCCCAATGATTTCCTTTATTACGGCGAGGGCAAAGTCCTGGTGTTTTTTTTTCTGTGTGTGTGTGTTGGGGGGAGCGGGGCGGGGAGGGGGGGGCGGTATTGCATTGTAAGATCCCTTCTGCCCAGAGGTCTGATGGTATTCTTTTTTGAAATGTCCAATTTTTCCACAATTATAACATTTTCCCACTTTAGGGCTCAACCCTTGGCCCTTTTCAGATTTGTTCACTACTAAATTAGCTATTACTTGAGCTAACACAGTTGAACGATGGAGTTCAGTTCCCACATCCTGACAGGCTTTGAGAAAATTTCCCAAGCTGTTTGTACATCTCACGGGTGCTAATGCACATTTACAATCTGCATTTGCATTTTCAAAAGCTAGGGTCAAAGTAAGCATTTTCGCAGGAGCAGTATGAGGAATCTGATGCCTCACTGACTGTTGTAACTGTGCAATAAATTGTGCAAAGGGCTCCTGTGATTTTTGCATGATATGCGGAAAAGATTTTATTGAGACCCCTTTCTCAGGAATGGTGGCCCAGGCACGCTTAGCGGCCAGGCGCACTGATGGTAAGCAGCATCTGGAAGTGTCAATTGTTGCACCAGATCTGAATAAGAGTCACTACCCAATAGCATTTCCTCTGTAATGTTCCCATGTCCAGCGGTGAGATTCTGTCTAGCCTGGTCTGCACACATTTCTTGCCAATTTAAATTCCATGTCAAATATGCACTAGCAGAGAAACAAGTGCAAGCTAAATGCTTTATATCCAAGGGTGGGAGGCGCATAGTGCTGAATACAGATTCTAACAATCCTAAAGTAAATGGGCTCTGTATTCCATTATTAACCACACTAGCTTTTAATTCTTTCAATAATTTAAATTTTACTGGAGTGTGTTCATGAATAAACTGCTGTGGATTATTTGGATCAGGCCTTAAGGTAATAGGAAAAGTGCAAGGTCCTAGTGGCTCGCCAGCTATGGCCACAGCATGTAGAATTTTTTGTACTGGGGTCTCTATTTCTGCTACTGGAGGGGACAGTACAGGCCAGTTCTCATCCTCCCTCTCCTGTTTATCATTTTCAATGGGCGCTGCTGGTGAGACAAAAGATTCTTTCAATTTTTGAGATTCAGAACATAGCACCTGCTGTCTGGCAGAATAAGAAGAGGACAATGGCAGGAGGACAGTACAGACCAAACCCCAAGCAGAGAAAATAGAAGGATCCACTTTAAGAACTTTCTGATGAGCTCGTTTCAATCTTTCTCCTACTCAGTCTCAATTTTCCACAGCAAGAGTACCTGTCTGCAGAAACCATGGGTTATGTGTAATAACCTCCTGCAGAAGCTTAATGTTTGAGAACTAACCCGAGCACCAGATTGTTTAAGTAAAACTTTAAGCAGCTGCACATAATGTTGCTCCTCAACAGACAGATTCTGCCCCATGTTACCCTGATTCAGAAACCTCCCGCTCCCGATACCTTCTCAGGGAACTGACCTTATATTCTCCGCCGGCAGACTCTCCCGTCCAGGGGTTCGTAGTTCGTCTGATCAGTTTCACTTTCTCTGCTCTGGCAGACCTTCCTCGTTCAGGTCCCTGGTCGGGCACCACTTGTCACGGTTGCTTCTGGACCAAACGAAGGAGAACGAAGGCAGAAATGAAGACAAAGACAAAAGGATCTGTTTGAAAGAAGGGGTCAGGGGGCTCCTAGATTCTAGGGAACAGGGCCCTGAGCTTTTACAGCCCTTCATATTTGTTAGGTAGACTGAATAGGGAGGAAAGGGTAACTGACGGTCAGCTATTTGATTTAACACAGGCCCACATGACTGCTTTCTTTGTTCAGCAGGTTCCAGATGTTCCTGTAGATAACCTCAAGGAGCAGGGGACCTGGGACATGACTGCCCCCAGCATTCCTTCTGGCGGCAGACGCAGTTTGTCAGTTTACCAACATCCTGCTTTCATGAGAACAGTTTGCGGTTTGCTCATAGAGCCTCCAGTGGTATAATGAGTTGGTCACGACCCTCATTCCTTCTGCCTCCAACACAGAATGCTCCCCTCCCACGGGCGCATAAGCGGTGACACCCGGCAGGACATGGCAGGTCGCGCCCTCACGCACCGCGCGCCTCTCTGCCCGCGCCGACCCGGGGTCGCGTTCCCCTCACAGGTCCCACCCGTCCACTCATTCACTCCCACCATCAGCACACTTAGGCCACGGGCGCCTCTCCATCCCTCACAATCACCCTCGCCTCTCCTCCACACACCACTCACCACTGTGGCAGCCTCCTCAGAGAGCCTAGCCGCCCGATAGTCCGCGCGCCCGTGAGCGTCTTACACACTGCCGCCGGCACTTCCGGTACGCACTTCCGCCTGGTGGCCAGCGGCCGCCCAGGACCTCACCTCCCAGAAGGCCCTTCGCCTTCCTGCCTGGAAACGGCCATGCACGGGATACAAGGCCTTCTGGGAAATGGAGTTCACAGCGCTGCGGGGCCGGAAGGGGAGCGTGGGAGCTGCGGATCGTCAGAACCTCTCGGTTCTGCGCAGGCAGCGCACCGGAAGGGAAGTATATTGACATCCATGGTTTTATATGTTCTTTGAAATATACAGCGTATGTACTTTTTTCTTTCTCTACGCGCACACATGTACACACATAGATATAAAAGTATATCGTTTGGAGATATTTTTCCCCCCTGAACCTTGTATATCCTTAAGCAGATGTCCCCTAAGAACACGTACATTCTTCAACTCACCCAAGTAACGACATTGAAGCCTGTACCCAATCCCCAGCCCATATGCTAATTTCTCCAGTTGTCCCAATGTCTTACGTAGTTTTCGTCTTTTATTCAAGCACAAACTAAACACGCATTACACTCTACTGTCTCATTTCAAGTTGCTTTCAATCTAGAATGGATCCTGTTGTTTCTTTATAATGATCTTGGCAGTTTTCATGTATCCAAGCGAGTTTTCCAAAATGCCCTCCAATTTAGGCTTGTCCGTATAGAGTATAAAACAATCATAATATAATTTTACAGGTTTTCTTCCACTGACCCTGCACATTTCTCCACTAAACATTTTTTGAAAACTTTCTGAAACATGGCTAGTATTACACCGTATGAATGCCATTTCTTTATCCCCCACCTCCAGCCATTTAGCTAGAAATTGAGCAACAGGTGTATGCAGTCCCTGTACATTCCTATTTCTGTATGTCCAGGAGACTCTCTGATAACAGGCAGGCCCTGCATGATGCAAATCACCTTAATCGAGGGAGGTGCCGGGGTACAGTGTGGGACATGATAATTCCATCTACACGCAGAAGGCCTGTATGACCTAGTGGAGGAGGCTCCCAATGTGCATACTGACTCGGGTTACACCTCCCTACTCCTACCACAGTCAGATCATCACAGGGGGACTTTAAAAATTCTATCAGCTCTGGGCCGGGCATGGTGGCTCACGCCTGTAATCCCAGCACTTTGGGAGGCCACAGTGGGAGAACCACTAAAGCCCAGGAATTCGAGACCAACCTGGGCAACACAGTGAGTCCCTGTTGCTATAAATGAAAAATTTTTTTAATTAAAAAAATTTACATCTAAATAGCTATACATGACTAGTGGCTACCATGTTGTACAGTGCATTCTGGAAGATGTCCATGTTGGATCTCCTTACAAAAGACCTATGGGAGACTGCTTTTCAGACTGGATGCTGATTTCTTCCCAGTTACCCATTGCAGAAACAACTTGAATACCTTGGAGGACATGAAGATAACACTGGAAATGGGGGACTTGGCTATTGGCTAAAACTTGTATGTAGGGGGCTCTCATAATTGGGGCTCATTGATACAGGAAATTTAACAAAGTAACTTGGAAATGTATGTGTGCGCTACAGCCACCCTCCAGGGACCTTTATCTTGTATCTTTGGTATCATCGAGTTGAAGCTGTTTTACACTCAACTGTTTCTGTCAACTGAACACACACACACACACGAGTATATATAGAACAAGTATGAATATGACCAAGACACACACTCTCTGCTCATGTGAACACTGTATGGGGGATGCAGACAGTAAACAATGAAAGAAATTATCAAACTTACTTTAATTTGAAACAGTTAAGATTTTTGTTTAAATTTATTTTTTGAACTGGTAATAATTTTACATGTTTCAAAATTCCAAAAATATAAAATGATAAAGAGTGAAAATTATTCCTCATCACTGTCCTCCCAATTCTTCTGGCCAACCAGTATGCCACTTTTACCCTTTCAGAGATTATGTGTGTACATATAAACAAATGTTTCTTATTTATTTATTTATTTTTGAGATGGAGTTTCGCTCTTGTTGCCCAAGCTGGAGTGCAATGGCACAATATTGGCTCACTGCAACCTCCACTTCCTGGGTTCAAGCGATTCTCCTGCCTTAGCCTACGGAGTAGCTGGGATTAGAAGTGTGCACCACCACACCCAGCTTTTGTATTTTTAGTAGAGATGGGGTTTCACCGTGTTGGTCAGGCTGGTCTTGAACTCCGGACCTCAGGTGATCCACCCGCCTCGGCCTCCCAAAGTGCTGGGATTACAGGCGTGAGTCACCTTGCCTAGCCTGTTTCTTCTTTACATAAATGGAAACATACTCTACAGTTTGACACCTTGCTTTTATCTACTTAACTATCTTAGAGCTCTTTCTCACATTAGTATAGTTTGAGGATCCCTAATTCAAAAATCTGAAATCTGAAACACTTCTGGTCCTGAGCATTTTGGATAAGGGATACTCAACCTGTATATAAAGAGTCTTCATTTTTAAGGCTATGATCTCCATTCCACCATAAATGACTTAGCCAGTTCCCCATGGTGGACATGGAGGGTTGTTTCCAAATTCTGACTTTTAAAATCAATAGCATAATGAAAACCATGTACAAACAGTCTGCACACATACAAATATATGTGTAGGATTTATTCCCAGCAAGTTTGCTTAGACAAAGGGTTTATGTATGTGTAATTTAGATAGTGGCTGATAAACTGCCCTCCACAGAAGTTGTATCAATTCACATTCCCACTGTAAATGTATAAGAACCCCTCCAATGCCCCCTTTGAGAAAACTCAAGGCTGGTAAAATACTGGGTGGAGAGCACATTGTTACAATCCTCCTGAAAGTTAATTTAAAGAGCTACATGAAATTCATAGAGAAAATCCTCAAAATAGAGTAAGCACATGTTACAAGACAACTAGAAGGGATTCCAAATTTCTAAACACAAGATAACTATACACATATATATTCCTCTGTGTGTATGTAAAATTTAGTGTACACTATGTATGTGTAGACACACGTGTATATTTTAAGAAAAAGCTGCAAGGAAAATTAGTAAAATCCTAATGGTAAGGACCATCTATGGATGGCTAAAGTATGAGGAATTTTACACAAGTTTTCATTTTTTTTTTACTTTTATGCATTTTCCAAGTTTTGCTACAAAGAACTCGCATTACTTTTATGAACAGAAAAAAACATGTCTTTTCCCTAGTTAACAGTAATTTCCACGGAGGAGTTTCTTATCTGTTTCAAAATATCTACAAGGAAATCAGTAGGAATATCATGCTTAGAAAATGTGAACTGAAATGAGAAACAGAAAATATGCAAAGATCTGAAACACTTCTGGTCCCAAGCATTTCGATAAGGAATATTCAAGCTGTATATAGAGTCTTCATTTTTAATGAATTTTTATGATCACCATTCCACCATAAATGACTTAGCCAGTTCCCCATGGTGGACATGGAGGTTCTTTCCAAATTTTTACTTTTAAAATCAATAGCATAATGAAAACCATGTAGCCTGCACACATATAAATATATATGTAGGATTCATTCCCAGCAGGTTTGGTGAGACAAAGGGTTTATGTATTTGTAATTTAGTGACTGATAAACTGCCCTTCATAGAAGATGTATAAGAACCTTCCCACACCCCCTTTGAGAACTCAAGGCTTGTTGAGTTCCAGTTGATTGCTTCATCCCAGCTTACCACCCTGTGGGGCTGCTATAACCTCAGCCAACCCCATGCCCCCTCAGAGAAGTATCAACTGTGACCCCTTCAGGACTGGCCATTTTGGGGGCCAAGGTGGAGGGAATGAGGCAATCACAGGCCTGACTTCCAGAGCTGTCTAGAACCATGCTGTCATTTTTGGTCCCACTGCTTCAGAGGGGAGGAGCTTTCCTGTCTGGATTCCCAAGCCTGTGCCCCAAACTGCTGGTGGAGCAGAAAGGAGGAATGATCCAGAATAGGGTTTTGGTACCAGACTGTTTGGTTCACACTCTGGCTGGGCCACTTGGTAGCACATTACTTCTCCTCTTAGGGCCATCCTGCACTGTTGGTGGCAGTGGGGATGAAGTAAGCAAATCCGAAATGTTTACATGGCAAAATCAACAGGACCTCTAACTCCATGGAGTGGGGAAGGGGAGAGGTCAAGAAGACTGGTTTTCTGGCTTCCATGATGGGATGGCAAGTGGAAACAGCCTCCAGGAAAGGGATCAGGGAAGCAGAGACTAGTCTGGGTGGAAAATGAGTTTTGTTTGGGGTAGGCTGGGTTTGGGGAGCTTTCGGCACACCTCGGGGAGTTGCCCAGTAGCACACAGCAGTTGTTTGGGTCTGAAGCCCAAATCTCAGAAGCACCAGACTGATTTGGTGGTGAGCAGCACAAAGCTAGGGATGTAGATGACACCTGGGGAGGGCGTGGAGCACAAGGTGGACTCTAGGACCCCAGCATTTAGGAAGGGTGACGGGAGGTTGAGAAGTCCCTGAAGAGTTAGAAGGAACCCCACAATGCAAGGAGATGGAGCTCTGCAAAGAGGTTAGCAGGCTTCACAGTCCTGGGGATGAAGAGAGACGACACCAGAGGTAGTACCTTGGACAGTGGTTGCAGTGGGTTCTGTGAAGCAGTGGGGGCGGACAGCAGGTCTGAGGTGTGAGCTGCCACCAAGGGAATAGGGAGCACAAGCGATTCTCCCAAGAGCTTGAAGGAGAAAAGCAGCAGATACGGCTAGCTGCCTCCATCATCCACCAAGGGAATAGGGAGCACAAGCAATTCTCCCAAGAGCTTGAAGAGAAAAGCAGCAGCTACGGCTAGCTGCCTCCATCATCCACTTCCCAGGACTTTTCTCTCCCACCTGTCTCCACCACAGAGGTTAGAAAGGTAAATACGAGGTTTCTAAGCCCCGTTGTTATTAGGGGTGGCCCCCTGACCCATCTGTGGCCAGTGAGACTAAGGGGGGCATGTGCTGCAGGCTTCTGGGAATGTTTTTCCTTTAAACACCATCAGCGGTAAGTGTTGGCCTGCCCATTCCCCCTTCTTTCAGTCTTCACTGTGGATGCAATGGCTGGAGCCATAGGAGTCTCCTCATGACCACAATGGAAAGGTTGAGAGATTGCAGAAAACATCGACTGTGACACAGCTGAGCCACTGAAAAGACAGCCTTTGAACAAAGCCTCATCTGTTTAAGCCATGGTCAGCTGGGTGCTGACATCAAATTCTAACTCCACCACTTCCTAGCTTGGGCTGGTTACTTTTGTTCTAGTTACCACTAACTTTTGTCCTGTGCCAAATTTTGCCTATCTATAAAATGGTACTAACTCACAGAACTATTATTGTGGCAGTGTCGGAGGGTGCAGCATTTAGCTATGCGAATGGAGGTTATCTAAGGAGACAGAAGTGGCGCAGTCCAAGGTAGGAGGCCAGAGTTGCTGTGAAAAGTGAGAGCTGACACGGCAACGTTTTGAGGACAACCCCGAAGAGGTAAGTGCAGAGAAACGAACTTGGGCCATCCACAGGGTCCTGTTGAACCTCTAGAGATGAACCACAAAGCTCTGGCTCTGGCATCCTGGAGGCCAGCTCTGCCTTGATTGGATAGCTGAGTTGTGACACTCCCAGCATCCAAAAAGCAAAAACGGACACGGGAAGTTCTTTTATTTTTTTCGAGATGGAGTCTAGCTCTGTCACCCAGGCTGGAGTGCAGAGGCACTATCTCAGCTCACTGCAAGCTCTGCCTCCCAGGTTCACGCCATTCTCCCGCCTCAGCCTCCCGAGTAGCTGGGACTACAGGCGCCCGCCACCACGCCAGGCTAATTTTTTGTATTTTTAGTAGAGACAGGGTTTCACCGTGTTAGCCAGGCTGGTCTCGATCTCCTGACCTCGTGATCTGCCCATCTCGGCCTCCGAAAGTGCTGGGATTACAGGCGTGAGCCACCGCGCCTGGCCTGACACGGGAAGTTCTGATGCTAATGCGTTCCAATGCTCAACCATTCCAACATGGTTATTCAAATTGCTGTTTTGGGGCCAGGCGCGGTGGCTCACTCCTGTAACCCCAGCACTTTGGGAGGCCGAGGCAGGTGGATCACGAGGTCAGGAGATTGAGACCATCCTGGCTAACAGGGTGAAACCCCGTCTCTACTAAAAACGCAAAAAATTTGCCGGGCGTGGTGGCGGGCGCCTGTAGTCCCAGCTACTCGGGAGGCTGAGGCAGGAGAATGGCATGAACCTGGGAGGCGGAGCTTGCAGTGAGCCGAGATCGCACCACTGCACTCCAGCCTGGGTGACACAGCGAGACTCTGTCTCAAAAAAAAAAAAAATTGCTGTTTGGCAGGGTGCATTGGCTCACACCTGTAATCCTAGCACTTTGGATGGCCAAGGTGGGAGGATCGCTTGAGCCCAGTTTGAAACTGGCCTAGGCAATGTAGTAAAACCCCATCTCTACAAACAATTAAGAAATCTGCTGAGTGTGGTGGTGCATGCCTGCAGTCCCAGCTACAGGGGCGGCTGAGGCAGGAGAATTGCTTGAACCTGGGAGGTTGCAGTGAACCACGTGACAGAGCAAGTCTCCATCACAAAAAAAAAAAAGAAAAAGAAAAAAGAAAAATTCCAACCAAATGCACTGTGTGGATCTTGTTTAGATTATGATTACTATGAAACAAATAGAAAACAAAATTTATGAGGCAACCCAGAACATCTGAACACTAGGTATTTGATGATATCTGTTTAGATGTGATAATGACAATATAGTTCTACTTGAGATTTAACAAAATTAATTTTTCCCGTTTCATCACAGAAATTCAGTGAAAGTAGGCCAGGCACGGTGGCTCATGCCTGTAATGCCAGCATTTTGGGAGACTGAGGCGGGCAGATTACTTGAGGTCATGAGTTTGAGACCAGCCTGGCCAACATGGTAAAACCCCATCTCTACTAAAAATACAAAAATTAGCCGGGTGTGGTAGCGCACACCTGTCATCCCAGCTACTTAGAGGGCTGAAGCATGAGAACTGCTTGAACCCGGGAGGCGGAGGTTGCAGTGAGCCAAGATTGTGCCACTGCACTCCAGCCTGGGCGACAGAGCAATACTCCATCTCAAAAAGAAAAAGAGGGCCAGGCGCAGTGGCTCATGCCTGTAATCCCAGCACTTTGGGAGGCCGAGGTGGGCGGATTATGAGGTCAGAAGATCGACACCATCCTGTCTAACATGGTGAAACCCCATCTCTACTAAAAATACAAAAAAGTAGCTGGGCAAGATGGCGCACACCTGTAGTCCCAGCTACTCGGGAGGCTGAGGCAGGAGAATGGCGTGAACCGTGGAGGTGGAGGTTGCAGTGAGCCGAGATCACGCCATTGCACTCCAGCCTGGGCGACAGAGCGAGACTCCGTCTCAAAAGAAAAAAAAAAAAAAGAAAAGAAAAGAAATTAAGTGAAATTAGCTTTTCTTTTTCTTTACTGCATTTCCCAGTGGAGAAGAATATGAACAACCAACCTCAGGGCTACTGCCCTGCTTTGAACTCAGGCTCAGCAGTTTTACCTGCCATTGCTTTCACACTATCAGTGCACAGCAAAAATGTGAAATGACAGCTTAGTATGATTGTGAAAATGGTTTTGTCCCAGTGGACAAACATGGTTATATATATATCCAGGGAAGGAGAATGGTGGGGAGGTAGATGGGAGTACCAGCAAAAATATATGACTCATGTTTGAAAATGTCCACAATACATCCTTAAAGGTTACTCAGAAAAATAAGTGGCTGGGCACAGTGGCTCATGCCTATAATCTCAACACTTTGGGACGCCAAGGTTCGAGACCAGCCTAGGCAACACAGTGAGACCCTGTCTCTGCAAAAAATAAAAAAAATCAGGAATGGTGGCACATGCCTGTGGTCCCAGCTACTTGGGAGGCTGGGGTGGGAGGATCACTTGAGCCCAGGAGGTCGAGGCTGCCAAGTGAGCAGTGATTACAACACTGACTCCAGCCTGGGCAAAAGAGTGAGACTCTGTCTCAAAAAAAAAAAAAGGATTATCTTCCTTATTTCACATCAATTATGAATGCTGCAAAACCGTAAAGGATGTACTAAAAAGTACATCATGTATAAACTAGCTAATGATGCCATCTGTTAAAATCAAGCTTATATGATTTCTAGTCTAGTCCAGCCCTGATTAATCAATTTGAAGGTTTTTTTTCTTTTCTTTTTTTTTTCTGAGACAGAGTCTTGCTCTGTCACCCAGGCTGGAGTGCAGTGGTGCAATCTCGGTTCACTGAAACCTCTGCCTCCCAGGTTCAAGCGATTCTCGTGCCTCAGCCTCCCCCAGGTAGCTAGAATTACAGGCGCATGTCACCACACTTGGCTAATTTGTGTATTTTTAGTAGAGATGGGGTTTCGCCATGGGCCCAGGCTAGTCTCAAACTCCTGACCTCAAAGGATCCGCCCTCCTCAGCCTCCCACAGTGCTGGGATCACAAGCGTGAGCCACCACAGCTGGCTGCAAGTTTTAAAAATGTCAGCTACATTTCTGGGCTGGGTTTATACCCAGGTGGCTTCTCCACCTTGGCACTATTGACATTTGAGCTAGAGAATCCTTTGTTGAGGAGCTGTCCCGGGCACTAAAGGATGTTGAGCAGCGTCCCTGGCCTCTACCCACTACATGACGGCGGCACCCTTCCTCCAGGCACAGCAACCAAAAATGTCCCTAGATGTCACCAAATGTGCCCTGGAGGCAAAAGCACCACCAGTTAAGAACCTCTGGCTCAGCTGGGCATAGTGGCTCATGCCTGTAAACCCAGCACTTTGGGAGGCCGAGGTGGGTGGATCACGAGGTCAGGAGTTTGAGATCAGCCTGGCCAACACCCCATTTCTACCAAAAATACAAAAATTAGCTGGGCGTGGTGGCAGGTGCGTGTAATCCCAGCTACTCGGGGGACTAAGGCAGGAGAATTGCTTTAACCTGGGAGGCGGAGGTTGTGGTGAGCAGACTGCGCCATTGCACTCCAGCCTGGGTGACGGAGCGAGACTCCATCTCAGACAAAAAACAAAAAAAAGAACTTCTGGCTCATAGCAACACCAGATGTTTTTCAAGAGGAGCTGTGACACTCCCCTGCACGGAATGCTGTGAAATTTCGTGGGGGCTGGTCACGTAATTGGGTTGGGGGTGTGGTTGAAATGTGGGCAGGAGCCATGCATGCTGCCAAGATGGTGAGGAACAGAACTGCCCCCAGTGGACCACATCAACAGATGTGGAATAAGCAGTTTTCAGGGTATGAACTGAGAACCTAACTGGACTTCACACATAAGCACAAACTAATTGCTGCATGCTTGGAATTTACCCAGAATTTCCCAGAAATGCAATAGCATATTATGTTGTTAAAAACTTTTCCAAGAGTTAGTCACTACTTTGGAAGGTCACGTTCCACATGGGAAGGCCCCTCACAGTATTGCCATGGTCAACATCATACCCTCTACCAGTCCACAAGCAACAGGCTATTGCCCTAGGTCTCCTGGCAAAATTGGGCCCACAGTGACAAGGAGAAATACTGCACCAAGTCAGTACACGTTACTCTACAATTTACTCTACCATAAATTACTTTCATTTTAATGATCCTTTACAAAATGGGGCCGCATATTGATTTTTTTTGACATTACACAGGTGGGTAGGTTATATTACCTGTGAACTCACTGTGGTGTAATGGAAGGAATGTCACAAAATATGTCGCTAAAGAGGGCACTGAGTTTGATAGATTTGGGACCAACCAACCTCGGGTGCTTGGGAAGCATCATTTCCTTAGAAAGTCAGAAGTCACCCATGACATTTC
Source organism: Homo sapiens (assembly GCF_000001405.40). Taxonomy (NCBI): domain Eukaryota; kingdom Metazoa; phylum Chordata; class Mammalia; order Primates; family Hominidae; genus Homo; species Homo sapiens. The sequence continues at coordinate 58,295,624 of NC_000019.10, read as the reverse complement.
TACCCCCAGCCCCTCCTTCCATGAGTACACTATGTGGACTTACCACATTTTTTACTTGTGGTTAAAAGTCATCAGCAAAGTTTCTCTCCTATGTGGATTCTCTGATGTCAAATAACATGGAAGCACCCACAGAAGGCTCTTCCACCCCAATAACGTGCACAGGGTTTTTCTCTTGCATGATTTTTTGGATGTCAAACAAAGCCAGGGCTCTGCTTTCCGGCTGCCCTGCCTTTGCTCCGCCTGCAGAGCTCTTTCTGGAGTTCGGGTGTTGATGCTGAACCAGGTGTGAGTTCCTGCTCGAGGATTGTTCACGCCGCCGGCTTCGCCCATGGGGCTGCTCCTCTCTGGTGTGAGTTATCTGGTGCCGGATGAGGTGAGAGCTCTGAATGAAACACTTCCCACACTGATTACATTTGAAGGGTCTGTCGCTTCGGTGAGTCCTCTCATCTTGACTCAAAGGTGGGTCACAGCCCAGGGCTTCTGTCCATTCATGCTTTGTGAGAGCTGGCGTCTGCTCAAAGATCAGCCTCTGGCGGCACTCAAAGGGCTTCTCCCCCGCGTGCTTCCGCTGGTGCTGGGCCAGGGATGAGCTGTGCCTGAAGCCCTTCCCGCAGTGGTTACACTCGTAGGGCCTCTCCTCGGTGTGAGTTCTCAGGTGCAGGAAAAGGCAAGTGGTCCGAGAGAAGGATTTCCCACACACACTGCAGGTGTATGGCTTCTCCCCAGTGTGTGTCCTCTTGTGCCGCCCCAGGGAGGAGTTCTGGTTGAAGGCCCTCCCACAGTCCTGACACTCATAGGGCTTCTCCCCAGTGTGAATCCTCCGATGGACGGTAAGGTGTGTACTATGGCAGAAAGACTTCCCACATTCGGCACACTTGTAGGGCTTGTCTCCAGTGTGGATGCGCTCATGCTGGACGAGGGAGGAGTTCTGGCTGAAGGCTTTCCCACACTCCTTGCACATATAAGGTCTTTCTCCCGTATGAATCCTCTTGTGCACGGTGAGGTGTGCGTTATGGTTAAACGACTTCCCACAGTCAGTACATTTGTAGGGTTTGTCCTGCACCTGGCTTTTTGTGAGTTCCGTAATTGGAATGGCCTGACTGGAATCTCTGTGACAGTCACTGTTTTCACCGGGCTGTTTTCCTGGGGAGCCTGTCTGCTGACTGACTAAGCTGGAGTTATGTTCTGAGTCTGTAATCTGTGAGTCGTAAGTATACAAATACTCCCCTCTAGAGATCTCTGGGAATGGATTTGGGCTTGAACTCAGGACGCAGTTTTCCCTGAGTCTGAGAGTTTTGTAGCCTTGATCTTGAACTGGTGCTTCCTTGAGGCCAAATTCCAACTGCTTCAAGTTATTCTGCTCCTTGAGTGCCAGACTCTGGCTCTGACACTCCCTGTCTTTCCCTAACGTGGTGGGATAAGGAGCATCTGTCGGGAATCCTTCCCTTCCCGTGACATGGGATGGCTCCTCTTCAGGCAGGCCCTCTTCCTTGCGTGATGCTTGGCTTTCAGATCGAGGCTCCCAGGCTGAAAGAAAACCCAAAGATCTCTGAGCTGTTGGGAGAAAAAAACGGAAGGGGGACAGGCCTCCAACACCATAGGCCTGATATTGAAATGGGGTCCTAACCAGCTGCCCTGGCAAGTCCCCTGATTCTCCTCTTATTTTAACATCAAGTGCCCTCAGACACGGCTCCACTCATTCAACAAACATTTATTGAGCACCTGCTGTGGGCCATGCACTGGCAATGAAGTCAAGGTATATGAGTTCCCTGTTTGCTGCTGTAACTTAAAACACACTTATTATCTTATAGTTCTGGAACACAGAAGTCCTAAAATCAAGGTGTTGGCAGGGCTGGTTTCTCTTCGGGAGGTTCTGGGGAAAATCCTTGCATCTTCCCGTTCCTAGAGGCTGCCTGCATTCCTGGCCCTTTCCTTCACCTCTAGAGCTGAGCACAGCATCTTCAGATCTCTCTCACTCACCTCTGCTTCTGCTGTCACATCTCCTTGTCTGATTCTGACCCTCTTGCTCACCCAGTATCCAAGATAACCAGTTCTGGGGATTAGGACAGGGACTCTGTTATAAGCCAGGCTTCCCGCTTTCCCCAAGCCCTCTTCAAGCCCCCTCATCTGCTCTTGTCCTGACCAAAATACAGGTCATGTGTTCATTCATTCTGGGTACACCTCACCGCACTAGAATGTTCACAGCCAGTGCCTAGAAATGACAAGTAGTAGAAGCTCAAAAATATCTCTCAGTGAATGCTGAAGGAACGTATCGAGGGAATGAATGAATGAGAGCTTGACAACGGGAGAGATAATGGAGGAGCTGAGGCTGGCCAGGTGCCAGGCTTCCTGCTCTGTCACCTCTGGCCCCCAAATATGACTCTCTGGCTAGGCCCGGTGGCTCATGCCTGTAATCCTAGCACTTTGGGAAGCCGAGGCTGGAGGATCACTTGAGGTCAGGAGTTCAAGACCAGCCTGGCCAACCCTGTCTCTACTAAAAATACAAAAATTATTCGGGTGTGGTGTTATACACCTGTAGTCCCAGCCACTCAGGAGCCTAAGGCATGAGAATCGCTTGAACCTGGGAGGCGAAGGTTGCAGTGAGCCAAAATCACACCACTGCACTCCCGCCTCGGCGACCAAGCAGAGACTCTGTCTCAAAAAAAAAAAAAAACTGACTCTCTACATAGCACCCAGAGGTTTATTCTAAAATATAAGTCACTTCACACAAAAATTTATACACTAATGTTCATAGTGGCACTATTAATTAATAGCCAAAAGTAGAAACAACCCAAATGCCCCTCAACAAATGCATAAACAAAATATGGTCTATCCATACGACGGGATATTATGCAGCCACAAAAAAGAACAAAGTACTGACATACGCTACAACATGGATAAGCCGGAAAACATTCTGCTGAGTGAAAGAAGCCAGATACAAAGGTCACAAATTGTAAGATTCCATTCGTATGGAATATCTAGAACAGGCAAATCCATAGAGAGAGAAAGTAGGTTACTGGTTGGCAGGGGATGGGAAAGACGGAGAGTGACTGCTATGGACTGAATGTCGATAGCAAAATTCCTATGTTGAAACCCTAATCCCCATTGTGAGGGTATTTGGAGATGAGGCCTTTGGGAGGTGATTAGGTCACGAGGGTGGGGCCTTTAAGAATGAGATTAGTGATCTTATAAGAAGAAATACCACAGGGCTTGCTTCCTCTCTCTGCCATATAAGGGCACAGAGAGAAGGCGGCCTTCTGCAATTGAGGAAGGGGCCCTTACCAGGGCCCGAATCAGCTGGCACTGTGCTCTTAGAATTCCAGCCTACAGAACCGTGAGAAATAAATGTCTGTTGTACAAGACACCCAGGCGGTGGTATTTTGTCACGGTACCCCAAGCTGACTAAGATGGTGATGAAATGTTCTGGAGTTAGATAGTAAAGATAGCTGCACACAATCTGAGAATATACTCAAAACCGCTGAGTGGTACATTTTAATAGGTGAACTTATGGTATGTCAATTTTATCTTGATAAAGCTATTATGCAAAACCAAACAGACCCACCCTCCTCCCCACTGCAAGCCAGCCCTGGTCACTCCTCCATTCACTCTGCAGTCACTTCTGAGGATGGACACGACCCTGTGCCCTTCTCCACCATGCCCTGGCTCGTCTCACCTCCTGACTCTTGCCCCACGCCCACTCTGCTCCACATGGCTCCTCACATCCCTCTAATGCATCCCCCATACTCCTTCCTGGGGCCCTTTGCACCTGCTGCTCCCTCTGCCAAGAACCCTCATCCCCAGACATCTGCCCACCTTGCTCCCTGTGCCCCAGTTTGAGTCACTTTCTCAGAGAGGCCTCCCTGCCAGTCCCGGGGCATGAGCACCCCATCTTGCCCTCCCCAGGTGCATTTCCTTTACGGCCTCATCACTGCCTGGCACTGGCATCCATCTCTCAAGACTTCCATCTCCCAGATGCTGAGTGAGGGCTCAGCCTTTCCTGTCATTCTTTGCTGCATCCACAGCACAAACAGCAGCACATGGCAGGTCCTCAGGAACATCCATGGAACAGGCTCGTGAGCTGGGAGACTGCCTGAGAGACAACACGGACGAAAACACAGAGACTAAAGACAACACTGTGACCCCAGCCAAGACTAACGCTGCCTGCTGGGAGAGTGCGGAAGAACATCCGGAGGAGGGGGACTTGAGAACACTAGTGAACTGGCCTGGCCAGGAACAGCAAAGAGCACTGAGGTTGAGACAGGCTCCAACTCCAGCCTGACTCCTGGCTGCCCAGAACAACTCACTGATCCTGGCACATGGGAAGCCATGGAGTCTCCGAGAGAGAGGGTGAGCAGTTGATGAAGAGAGGAAATGGGAGAAGAGCTGGGACTGTAGTCAGCCAGGAGGTGACCTGCAGCAGGTGAAGCTGAGCAACCGCAAGAGGGAACCAGTAAGGAATGATGCCAGACGAGTGACAGGGGCCAAGGAGGGGCTTGAGATCGCCCAGCCATCCCTGAGCCCACAAACCCCTGTGAGTGCACTGGGAGTGGGATCTGCCTGGACAGGGATTCTTCACCATTATTTTATTTTATATTTGAAATAAGGTCTTACTCTGTCACCCAGACTGAAGTGCAGTGGCATGATCTCAGCTCACTGCAACCTCCTGGGCTCAGCCTCCTGAACAGCTGAGACCACAGGCATGCACCACCACACCCAGCTAATTTTTTTGCATTTTTTGTAGAGATGTGGTTTTGCCAGGTTGCCCAGGCTGGTCTTGAACTCTTGGACTCAAGCGAACCACCCGCCTCGGCCTCCCAAAATTCTGGGATTACAGGCGTAAGCCACCATGCCTGGCCTCTTTTCCTTTATTTTTTAATGCTCTGTTGCTCAGCCTGGAGTGCAGTGGTGCAAATTGTAGCTCACTGTAGCCTTGAACTCCTGGGCTTAAGCAATCCTCCCCGCTCAGCCTCCTAAGTAGCTAGGACTACAAGAACACACCACCATGCCAGGTAATTTTTAAATTTTTTTGTAGAGACGCGGTCTTCTTCTATTGACTAGGCTTCTTTTCCTTAAAAATAATAAAAAAAAAATTTACTCTCTATTTTAATCATGTGGTATGCTGAATAACGGCCCCTCAAAGATGTCCCCATCCCAATCCCTGGAACCTTATGTGGCAAAAGGGATATTGTAGCTGTGATTAAGAATCTTGATGGCCGGGCGCGGTGGCTCACGTCTGTAATCCCAGCACTTTGGGAGGCCAAGGCGGGCGGATCACGAGGTCAGGAGATAGAGACCATCCTGGCCAACACGGTGAAACCCCGTCTCTACTAAAAATACAAAAAAAAAATTAGCCGGGTGCAGTGGCGGGCACCTGTAGTCCCAGCTACTCGGGAGGCTAAGGCAGAATGGCGTGAACCCGGGAGGCGGAGCTTGCAATGAGCCGAGATTGCGCCACTGCAGTCCAGTCTGGGGAAGAGAGCGAGACTCCGTCTCAAAAAAAAAAAAAAAAAAAAAAAGAATCTTGAAATGGGCCAGGCGCGGTGGCTCACGCCTTTAATCCCAGCACTTTGGGAGGCTGAGGCGGGCGGATCACAAGGTCAAGAGATTGAGACCATCCTGGCCAACATGGTGAAATCCCATCTCTACTAAAAATACAAAAAATTAGCTGGGCATGGTGGCACGGCCTGTAGTCTCAGCTACTTGGGAGGTGGAGGCAGGAGGATCGCTTGAACCTGGGAAGGCGGAGGCTGCAGTGAGCCGAGATCACACCACTGCACTCCAGCCTTGTGACAGAGCGAGACTCTGTCTCAAAAAAAAAAAAAGAATCTTGAAATGGGAGATTATCCTGGGGCCCTAAATCTGACCAAAGAGTCCATATAGGAGGGAAGCAGAAGGGTCTGAGTCAGGGAAGCGGTTGTGATAATGGAAATGGGTCAGAGTGAAGCACTCTGAAGATGGAGGAAGGGTCTATGAACCAAGGAGTCTGGGCAGCCTCCAGCTGCTGAGAAAGACAGAAATGCATTCTCTCTGGGCGCCGTCAGAGGAACTAGCCCTGATGAACCATTTTGAACTTCTGACCTCCACAACTATAAGAAAATAAATCTGTCCTTTTTTTTTTTTTTTTTCTTTGAGACAGAGTTTTGCTCTGTCGCCCAGGCTGGAGTGCAGTGGCATGATCTCAGCTCACTGCAACCTCCACCTCCTGGGTTTAAGAGATTCTTGTGCCTCAGCCTCCTGAGTAGCTGGGATTACAGGCATGCACCACCACACCTGGATAATTTTTGTATTTTTAGTAGAAACGGTGTTGTGCCATGTTGGCCAGGCTAGTCTCGAACTCCTGGACTCAAGTGATCCGTCTGCCCTGGCCTCCCAAAGTGCTGGAATGATAGGGGTGAGCCACTGCGTCCAGCCAAATCGGTGCTTTTTCAAGCCACCTAGATTGTGGTACTTTGTTACAGGAGCAACAGGAAACTAATACAAAGCATTACATGGAAAATATGTTTCTGTCTTAACATAAAGCCTTGAAAACCTTCTGCTTCTGGAGTATTTATAACTGTCTAGGTATTAAGTTATTGAAACTGTCCATCATGATTTTGACCCCATACTCCTAATCCATGCAAGCACAACATTTTGCTTAGTATTTATGGGCACACGTTTTAGATCCTGGATTTGGTTATGGCATAAGACTTGTGAGTGACAGGCATATGTCCAGGGTGATGAGAATTTGCTTCCGACATACATGTCTGAAGTAACAGCAGTGACAACCGATGAAAGGGGCAGGAAAACAGGGTCTGCAGCAGATTCACCCGACTCCCAGTTGATAGGTCATACGCTATCATGGGGGCATATGTGTTTTTCTGCAGAATCAGAAAGCCCTGGGTGGCATCAGAAGTATTTGGGTGGGAGGCTAATCTGCAGGCATTGCTGGTTGTACATCCCATGGCCAGATGCTATTTACTCTAGAATGTGGTCAGGGTACCAACACACAAGCCACAGCAAGGGGACCATGACTCGCCCAAGCCAATTATGACAATCTAGACACCCCTAGCTTTCCAGCCTCTCTAGCAACTAGGGTCAGTGCAAGAGGAGGTGACCTAGTTCTGGCTAAAGAGACCCCAGCAGGTGACATCTAGAGTTCTGCCAAAAGGGGACAGATGTGGCTGGCAGAATTCTTCCTACCTCTTCCCCTCCTTCCTGCATGGAGCACAACTGTGATGGCTGGAGCTGCTGCAGCTGCACTGTAATCCCAAGGACAGCCTGGGAAAATCACAGAACAATCAGCCCTGGCACCTCTGAGATGCCAAGACAGTACCAGCAGACTCAGGGCTCCTGTTTTACAAGAAAAATGCTTCTTTATTTTGAGCTGCTCCAACCTGGTTTTAGGGTATTTATAGCTAAACACAATTCTTCCTCATAAGAGAATAAAGAAGGGTGTGGGGAACAAGTTTACAGAATCTAGACATGTGACCAGGTACAGTGGCTCACACCTGTAATCCCAGCACTTTCAGTGGCTGAGGCAGGAGGACTGTTTGAGCTCAGGAGTTTGAGACCAGCCTGGGCAGTGTAGAAAGATCTCATCTCTATTAAAAAAAAAAAAAAAAGGACACACAAACAAACAAAAAGTCAGGCATAGTGGCTTACGCCTATAATCCCAGCACTTAGGAGGTTGAGGCAGGATTGCTTGAGCCCAGGAGTTAGTTTGAGCAGCCTGCAGCCTGGACAAGATGGCGAGACCCCATCTCTAAAAAAAAAAAAAAAAGGAAGAAAGAAAGAAAAAAAAAGAAAAAAAGTAAAATAATTTTTAAAAAAGAAAAAGAAAAAAATCAAAAAAATCAGCTGGACATGGTGGTACACACCTGTAGTAACAGCTACTAGGGAGACTGAGGTAGGTGGAACACTTGAGCCTAGGAGACTAAGATAATGCAACTGTACTCCAGCCTGTGCAACGGAGTGAGACTGTCTCAAAAAAAAAAAAAAAAAAAAAAAGGCCAGGTGCAGTGGCTGATACCTGTAATCCCAGCACTTTGAGAGGCCAAGACAGGAGGATTGCTTGAGCCCAGGAGTTTGAGACCAGCCTGGGCAACACAGTGCAACTGTGTCTCTACAAAAAAATTTAAAAAGAAAATTAGCCAGGTGTGGGGGTACACACCTGTAGTCCCAGCTACTCAAGAGGCTGAAGCAGGAGGATCATTTGTGACAGGAAGGCTGAGGCTGCACTGAGCCATGATCACACTGCTGCCACTCCAGCTTATGCAACAGAGACGGTCTCAAAAAAAAAAAAAAAAAAGCTGGGCATGGTGGCTCACGCCTGTAGTCCCAGCACTTTGGGAGGCCAAAGTAGGTGGATTGCTTGAGCCCAGGAGTTCGAGCCCAGCCTGGCAAGATGGCAAAATCCCATCTCTACTAAAAATACAAAAATTACCAGGGCGTGGTGGTGCATGTCTGTAATCCCAGCTACTCGGGAGGGTGAGGTGGGAGGATCATTTGAACTAGGGAGGTCAAGGCTGCAGTGAACCGTGATTACGCCACTGCACTCCAGCCTAGGCGATAGAGTGAGACCCTGTCTTAAAAACAAAACAAAACACAAAGAATCTGGACATGCAAGAATGAAATGGAGAAGATGAAGGGCAGGTTCACATATTAGAAATGATGCCACAGAAAGGACATGCTGAGAAGGATGGTGAGAGAGGGAATGACCTGGAACCTATAAGGGAAGATGAAGCAGAGAGGGAGGAAGGGGTGGGATTCTCAGCACTGGAGCACAGGTGATGACCTCTGAGCTTAGAAGATGGGGAGCACAGGTGAGAAGGCTATGGAGCACTGTGCAGAAAAGATTTAACAGGGCAGGCCTGAAACCAGCATTCTTAGGAGAAGCCTATTCACAAGGTTAGCCTTTGGCTGCAACTGAGAATTTGGATTTGGGGATGGTTCCCACAACCCTAACTGATGAGAGTGGTTTACTACACCCACACTGCACACACTATGTGGTTTATTCCAAACACTGGCTTTCTCCTGGTAGTCTGGAACCTTGGTCTGTGCTAGGCAGAGAGTGTCTATGTGGCAGCCTCAGTCAAAACTCCTAGCACTGAGTCTCTTAACAAGATTCCCTGGTAGAGCTCATGTCTCATGAGGTGTCACACCTGAGTGCTGGGGGAGCCTGGCACATCCTGAATGACTCCACAGTGAGGGGACTCTGGAGGCTCATGCCTGGCTTCCTCTGAACTTATCCCCACGCGCCTTTCCCCTTTGTTGGTCTCATTATACTGAGAGCTGTCAGCATGACTCTATGCTGAGTCCTGTATACTCCTAGTGAATGGGGTGGTCTTCAGGACCACCAACCACCACCCTTTCCATGAAGTGCATCTCCAGTGACCTGCTAGGCTGCTCCCATTAGCTGCTCCCACATAGTGGGTTCTCACCTGGATGGCAGCCCTGGGTGGTTCCTCTCTCAGCCACCCATAGCTCGGTCCCTTGCTCCAGCTGGGAGATGACTTCAGGCTTCGGAAGCTCAGGACCTGGAAATGGGGAAAAACACAGGAGGTGAGGGGCTGCTCAGGAGAGAAACAACAAGCCCAGGCTCCAGACCAGACTCCCGACTGTGAGGACACGTGGGCACCTCACAACATGGTGAAGCTCTGCATGGTGATGGAAAAGGGCAGACCTCCCTCTTCATGCACTCCCCATAGGGAGTGAGGACCCAAGGTCAGGTCCTCACACCAGAGGCCCCATGACTTATAACCCAGAGAGAATCAGCTATCACACCTTGCGAAGCAGGGCTTACCTATGGAGAGCAGGTGACCAAAGGTCTCCAGCATCACGTCACGGTAGAGGATCCTCTGGGTAGGGTCCAGCTGCCCCCATTCCTCCTGGGTAAAGTCCACAGCCACATCCCGGAAGGTCACTGGTTCCTGAAACATCACACACATTCTCAATCAGCTGGACTATCTCCATCAGTGCTTTCTGGCAGAGGAAGAATGGAAAAGGAGAAAACAGGCAGGCCTGTGTCACGAGAGACTGCACGTTATGAATGATGGGAGTCAGGTCTCACTGGGCACCTATTAGGCCACTACACATAGGTGTGGGTTGTACAGTGAGGACATGTGAGAGGACTCACCAAGATCAACAACGCCAGGCAGAGCTGACCTACATCTAACAAGACAGACGAGGGTACCAGCAGAGACTGGCCTAAACCACTTATTTGCAGGTTTGTGAGCTAAAGAAACAGTTACTGTTTTAAGTAAAACAGATACTGTTTTAGGACAGTGTTACACAGCAGCTAACTAATACACTCACTAATACTTAGATACAAAGTGAAATTGGCTGGGCCACATGCCTGTAATCCCAGCTACTTGGGAAGCTGAGGCAGCAGAATCGCTTGAGCCCAGGAGGTGGAGGTTGCAGTGAGCCAAGACACCACTGCACTCCAGCTGAGGCGACAGAGTGAGACTCCATCTCAAAAAAAAAAAACAAAAAAACAGGTTCACCATCCTTCCTGAAAAGAGAAGCACACAGGGCTGGGGTCAGAAATTCGCCTGCTTTCAGGGCAAGGCAGGCTCACATGACAGAAGTGGGCCAGTTTAAGAGCCCACAAGGACACTTACCTATGAGTGGTGGGACTGGAGGTGATGGGGAGCATGGACCCTGTCTGAAGGAGCAGCAGGGACTCAGAACTCACTGATTACGGGAAAATACAGGTCCCTTTGTCAGAACTGCTCATCTCTGAAGAGAAGCTGAAAATTAGGTCAGATTTTTATGTGAAAAATTATTTTTCTTTTTGAGGTAGAGTCTTGCTCTGTCACCCAGGCTGGAGTGCAGTGGTGCCACCTCCACTTACTGCAACCTCTGCCTCCCAGGTTCAAGTGATTCTCCTGCCCCAGCCTCCGTAGTAGCTGGGACTACAGGAGCGCACCACCACGCCCGGCTAATTTTTGTATTTTTAGTAGAGATGGGGTTTTACCATGTTGGCCAGGTTGGTCTCGAACCCCTAGCCTCAAGTGATCCACCCGCCTCGGCCTCCCAAAGTGCTGGGATTACAGGCGGGAGCCGCCGCGCCTGGCCTTTACGTGAAAAATTCTGATTTTTATAAGTTGATGCAACATTACCTAAAATGTGTCCCATAAACAAAGCCCTTCTGCAGCCATGCTTGAAAGCCAGATATTTCTGGATCAGAGTCTTGGCTCAGTCACTTCGTCCCCAAGAAGCATCTTTGCTTCCCAGTTTCCATGTCAACAAAGCATCACCCCTTGGGGGCTGTATAATGATTAAGTGGTTTACAAACACTTCCTACAGGACATCTGGATAGCCACATGGAAAAGAGTAAAGATAGTCCCTGTCCCAGCATATTTTCTGTTGCTGTAACAGAATATCACAGACTGAATAATTTATTATTTTTTTTTTCTCGAGATGGGAGTCTCACTCTGTCAATCAGGCTGGAGTGCAGTGGCACAATCTTGGCTCACTGCAACCTCTGCCTCCCGGATTCAGTTGATTCTCCTGGCTCAGCCTCCTGAGTAGCTAGGACTACAGGTGCACGCCACCACACCCAGCTAATTTTTGTATTTTTTAGTAGAGACAGGGTTTCTCCATGTTGGCCAGGCTGGTGTCGAACTCCTGACCTCAAGTGATCCTCTCGCCTTGTCCTCCTAAGGACGAAGTAATTTATAAAGAAAGTTGCTTTTTTTCTCTCTCTCTCTTTCAATAACTTTGATGAAGACAGTTTATTTGTGGGCTGGGAGCGGTGGCTCATGCCTGTAATCCCAGCACTTTGGGAGGCCGAGGCGGGCAGATCACGAGGTCAGGAGATCGAGACCATCCTGGCTAACACGATGAAACCCTGTCTCTACTAAAAATACAAAAAATTAGCCGAGCGTGGTGGTGGGCGTCTGTAGTTCCAGCTACATGGGAGGCTGAGGCAGGAGAATGGTGTGAACCCGGGAGGCAGAGCTTGCAGTGAGTCAAGATTGCGCCACTGCACTCCAGCCTGGGCAACAGAGTGAGACTCCGACTCAAAAAAAAAAAAAAAAAAGAGTTTATTTCTTACAGTTCTGAAGGCTGGGAAGTCTAATATCATGGTACTGGCATCTGGTGAGGGCCTTCTTGTTATGACATAAGATGGTGGAGGGCATCACATGGCGAGAGGGCAAGAGTGTGCCAGCTCAGGTCTCTCTCTCCTTCTAAAGCCACTAGTCCCATCAAGGGAGTCCAATCCTGATAACCTTATCTAATCCTAAATTTCTCCCAAAAGTCGCCACCTTCAAATACTATCAACACATGAAATTTGGGAGACACATTCAAACTAACACAGACTTCTATCTTATATCATATATAAAAATTAACTCAAAACAAATTAGGCTGGCTGGGCAGAGTGGCTCATGCTTGTAATCCCAGCACTTTGTGAGGCTGAGGCAGGCAGATCACTCGAGTCCAGGAGATCAAGACTGGCCTGGGCAACATGGTAAAACCCTGCCTCTACAAAAAAAATTTGAAAAAAATTAGCCAGGCTGCCTGTAGTCCCAGCTACTTGGGAGGCTGATGTAGGAGGAGTGCTTGAGTCTGGAAAGTGGAGGTTGCAGCAAGCCAAGATCATGCCACCGCACTCCAGCCTAAGCAACCAGAGTGACATCCTGTCTCAAAGAAAAAAAAAAGAAGAGAAAAAAAAGAAATAAAATAAAATAGAAACAAAGCCATAAATGTAAGAGGCTGGGCGCAGTGGCTCACGCCTGTAATCCCAGCACTTTGGGAGGCTGAGACGAGTGGATTGCCTGAGCTCAGGAGTTCGTGACTAGCCTGGGCAACATGGTGAAACACCATCTCTACTAAAATATCAAAAATTAGCCGGGCGTGGCAGCGTGCTCCTGTAGTCCCAGCTACTTGGGAGGCTGAGGCAGGAGAATTGCTTGAACCCAGGAGGCAGAGGTTGCAGTGAGCCGAGATCATGCCATTGCACTCCAGCCTGGGCGACACAGTGAGACTCCATCTCAAAAAAAAAAAAATTAAATTAAATTAAAAGTAAGAGCTAAAACTATAAAACTCTTAGAGGAAAACAGAGAGATAAATCTTTGTAACCTTGGATTTGGCAAGGGATTCTTAGATATGAAACCAAAAGGATAAGCAACTAAATGTAATCAATTGGACTTCATCAAAACAAAAACTTTTGTAGTTCAAAGGACATTAGCAAGAAAGTGAAAAGACAACTCACAGAATGGGAGATAATAATTGGGAATCACATATCTGATAAGAGACTTGTATCTAGAATATGTAATGAACACATACAACTCAGTAATAAAAAGACAACCCAGTTAAAATAGGCAAAGAATCTGTATAGTTATTTCTTTGAAGAATATATAAAAGAAGATACACAAATGGCAAATAAGTACATGAAAAGATGTTCAACATCATTAGTCATCAGGGAAATGAAAAATCAAAACTATACACCACCAGTGTTGCTGCTAGGTTAAAAAACAAAACAAAACCACATATACTAAATACTTCAATTTTTTTATTTTTTATTTTGAGACAGGGCCTCACTCTGTTGACCAGGCTGCAGTGCAGTGGTGCAATCTCGGTTCACTGCGACCTCCATCTCCCTGGTTCATGTGATTCTCCCACCTCAGCTTCCCAAATAACTGGGATTACAGGCATGTGCCACCAAACCCAGCTAATTTTTGTACTTTTAGTAGAGATGGGGTTGCACCACGTTGGCCAGGCTGGTCTTGAACTCCTAACCTGAAGTGATCCATCTGCTGTGGCCTCTCAAAGTGCTGGGATTACAGGCATGAGCCACTGCACCAGGCCCCAAATACTTCAATTTTAAAAGGACATTTCCTTTTAAGAAAAACATGAGTAGATTAAAAAATAAGAAAGAAATTTTAGTACAGGTAGCAGGTGGCTCTAATAGGAAACATACAGAAAGATGCCTTTGGTTGGGAACTGAGGTCTCTGCTCCTGTCTCTGTGTCTTCGCTTTCCTCCACTCAGAATGCCCACCAATTTTGATTTGTGCTTCCCGTGCCTCCTGCCCCCACCTCCCATCATCACCCATTCTGCAAGAGTCACTGGTGACAGCCTAGACACCACGTCCACTGAGTACTGGTCTGTCCAAGCCATGAGAATTCTCAGTGGCATCATACAAGTCCTTCATGCCTCCTCTTGGCTTCCTTCTTGGAATTCTAGCAGAAGCCCACTCCTTGTTGTCTCATGATGTTCTTTCTGCCCTACATCAGATCCCTGCAGCCTTCCCTCTTGTCTTGCACTTCTGGAGCCTGAAGGGGTGGGGCTGTGCTCTGATGTTTCTCCTTTACATATTCTTTTCACCCCAGCATCAGCCAACACCTGGTCACTGGGCCTAACCACTCCTCTCTTTTTCCCACTGCCTTAGTTGAGCTGCCAGTATCTCCCTTCCCACCAGCCCCTAATGCATAAGTGGATTTTTTCAACCCTATGCCAGTCCTGCTTAAAACACGTGAATGGCTCCTTCTCATCACTGAATACTGGATGGCTCCTCTCAGCCTGGCTATGGTAGACTGAGATATATAATGGCCTCCAAGGATATCCAGGTCCTAGTTCCTAGAACCTGTGAATATTACTATATATGGTAAAAGGAACTGTGCAGATGTGATTAGGATTTTCAAACAGAAAAATTATCCTGGATTATCCAGGTGGGCCCTAAATGCAATCACAAGTGTCTTTATAAGAGGTAGACAAAGGGAGCTATGACTATAGAAGACATAAGGCAATATGATCACTGAAGCAACATGCTACAATGCAGGCTTTGAAGACAGGCAAAGGGCCATGAGGCAAGGAATAGAAGGTCTGTACCTCTCACAGCTGGAAAAGACGAGGAAACATTCTACCCTAGAACCTTGGTAGGGAGGGTAGCTCTGCTCATACCTTGATTCCAGACCAGAAAACCGATTTCAGACTTCTGACCTCCAGAACCTAAGAACAAATGTTTTAAGCCACAAAATTTGTAGTGAATTGTTACAGCAGACACAGATAACCAGATAAAACACTGGACCTTGAAGCTCTCCATTCTGGTCCTTGTCTCCTGTGATGGACAGTCTCCAAGATGCTCCCCCACCACCTCTGCCAATGACCTCCAGCCCTGGTGTGGTCCCCTCCAACACTCAACAAGGTTGACTTTGTAACCAGTAAGACACCGTGGAAGTGACAAGAGTGTGAATTCTGAATCCAGGTCATGGAAGGTGTTACAGTTTCTACCTTGCCCTCTCCTGGATCACTTGTTCTGTGGGAAGCCAGATGCCATGTTGCAAGGATCCCTAGCAGTTCCAAAGAGAGGCCTACATGGAGAACAACTGAGGTCTCCTATCAACAGACATGTGAGTGAGCCATCCTGGAGGTGGATCCTCCAGACTCAGGTCTCAGGTGACAACAGCTATGCTGACATCTTCACTGTAACTTCATGGGCCTGAACCAGAACCACCAGCTAGGACATTCCATTACTCCTGTCAGAACTCGTGAGATATTTATTGTTGTTCCAGGTCACGAAGTTTTGAGTTACACAGCAACAGGTAACTAATACACTTTCTCTCAAGCCTTTCTTACGACTCATTCCTTGTCCCCCATCCACAGCAAGAACAAAATAAAACGTGGTAGCATTTCATGCAAATTTGGAGCAACACACATCTGAAAACCTGCAACCTAAGATTATCAAGTCTCACTTTGTGTACCAAATCTGAAATAATGCAAATCCCCATGAACAAACCAACGACAAAAAATAAAAAAAAGTATAATTTCAAAGTTGCAGAGCTTGAGGAAGGATAATTATTGTTGTTTCCTGCCACGCGAGGCAGCTTTATGGAGAACACAGGCCGCAACCACTTTGTCTAGAAAGTGGAGCTCTGATGGCCAGATGGCCCTGCAAACACTGACCGCCCTGCACTGCAGTTCTCCCACAGTCTCGCAGGGGACGACCCTGGTGGTCACTCTCATCACACTCAGTGCGTGGTGACCCATCATTGCCCCCAAGAGGTTGTGCCCAAGCCCCAGGGCAGGGGCTCCGCGGTGCTGGGGTCCCGGTGGGTGTCCGCTGACTCCACGCGTTAAAGCATCTCTATTCGATGATTCTTGCCATCTGGGCACCCGGCCAACGCTACAATTACTGTTATCAGTCAACACGAGGACAGACCTTCCTGGAATGGGCAAGGGTGTCGGCGGGGCGGAGCAGAACGCAGGAGATGGGCCTGCTCGATTCTCTCGGGAATGACCGACCCCAGCCCTGGGGAGGACAGAGCCGCGTGGAGCATGCGCATTCGGGGGCCAGGCGCCTGGTTGGAATCCCGGCCCCCTCTCTGACCAGCCAGGACGGTCACCACGCCCCGACCCGCGTCTGAGTTTCCCCACGTGTCAAGGGCATTAACAGCGGTGCCGCTCTCATCGCGCCGCGAGGTGAAAGGGTCAGTCTGCGCGGGAGACGCTTGCCCGGAGCCCGCCGCCGTCGTTATTGTTGTTATTGTTACCTGAAGCCGGGCCGCCGGCGGCCCCACAGACATCACTCCCGCTACCCCTTCGTCCTCGGGGTCCATGCTGGATCGCCCAGTGAAGGACAGCGCCTGAGGTGATCCCCAGACCAGAGAGGCACTCCAGCCAAAGGGACCACCCGACTCGCCGAACGCCGGACAATGGCGGCCGCACCGGCGACGCGGCGACTACAACTCCCAGTAGGCCGTGCGGCGAACCACAGCCCTCGGCCAATGGGAGTCTCCGCTG
Organism: Homo sapiens; assembly: GCF_000001405.40. NCBI lineage: Eukaryota > Metazoa > Chordata > Mammalia > Primates > Hominidae > Homo > Homo sapiens. The sequence goes on along the minus strand of NC_000019.10, from coordinate 58,278,897 downwards.
GTCTGGCCTTCGACCAATGGAAGCATTATGGCCGATGGCCAATGGGAGCCCCCACCCGCTGGCCTCTGGCCAATGGGAGCACTCAGCTAAGGCTGGTGGGGGCGGTGTTGCTCGGGGCTGCGATGCCCCTTAGGTTGCGGGCAACCAGAGGCCTCACTCGTGGGCAGGAAGCAAGGGCGGACCCCGAGAGATGACTGATTGTGGGGGTGGGGACCGTCTGCTCCTCCTAATGGCTGGGGACCGTGCACGTCTGCGCGGGCCGGACCTGCTCTTCTCGGGAACTTGCGCGGGAGGAGGCCCGGAGCTGCGCCGCTTTACCCTCTGCTCCCCGGTGCCTAAAACGCACACGCATCAAAGTCACAGGACGAGTTAGAGGTTTGTTCATATAAAAGACTTTGGGCTTAGCGGCTGGAAGCGGGGAGGCTGGGAGCGGTGGTTGTGTTACAGGAAAGGGGTCCGATTCAGACCCCAAGGGAGGGTTCTTGGATCTCGCGCAAGAAAAAATTCAGGGCGAGTCCGCAGTGCAAAGTAAAAGCAAGTTTGTTGAGAAAGTAAAGTTGTGAAACAGCTACCCCATAGACAGTAGGACGTTCCTGAAAGTAAGAGGAACGTATGCACCCTAGGTACAATGCTTGTGTATATTTGGGCTAAAAATAGATTTTGGGGAGATGTGCTCTGCTACAAGGGTTTGTGAAAAAGGATTAATTTTCTTACTGTATTTTTCAAGAATCGATATTATTTTTAAAGCAAAATTAGGAATGCCTTTGTTCTCTAGATACCGGGATATCTGGACACTCCCAAGTCTGGGTCTGTTTTAGTACCCATTATTAATTTGTTCCCTTAACCGTAAACATCTAGAGGTTAGGAATACCTACTTTTCTGGGAATGCAGCCCAGCCTCATTTTCCTAGCCCTCACTCAAAATGGAGTCGCTCTGGGTCGAATGCCTCTGACAGCCCTATTGCTTCTCCCTGTGGGTGTTCACTTTGTGATGTGTCTTTTTCTGTGGGTCTGTTGTAGTCCATTAAAATGTTTATTAAAGGTCGGGCGCGGTGGCTAACGCCTATAATCCCAGCACTTTGGGAAGTCGAGGCGGGTGGATCACGATGTCAGGAGCTCGAGACCAACCTGGCCAATATGGTGAAACCCCGTCTCTACTAAAAATACAAAAATTAGCCCGGCGTGGTGGCGGGCACCTGTAGTCCCAGCTTCTCGGGAGGCTGAGGCAGGAGAATCGCTTGAACCTGGGAGGCGGAGGTTGCCGTGAGCCGAGGTCAGGCCACTGCACTCCAGCCTGGGTGACAGAGCAAGACTCCGTCTCAAAAAAAAAATAAAAAGTTATTAAAAAAGAAAAATGGGGAAGCAGATTTCCATTCAAAAATGTTGCATTCAAACCACAACAATTTTTAACTTTTTTAAATTTTACCAAGAGCCAGACACATAGCAGGGAACAGTATAGTTACTTGTTATTTGCTCACCCCCATGGGGCTGATGGTGTAGTCTGAGGGACTGAAGATCAACCATGACATGGCCCTTCACACCGTGTTGAAGGGGTGAAGACGTTACCAGTGGGGACGGAGGAGCTGACTCCCGAGGGGCTCAAGCTGGCCACACTCTCTCAGATCCTTCTGGCCGACTCCTGAGGGCTCAAGCTGGCCACACTCTCTCAGATCCTTCTGGCCCTGTACCGTCTCTGCTTTTTGCTGGGCCTCGTTCCTGAGAAGGAGCAGGTGTTAGGCAAGTTACACAAAATTATGAGAGGACATGGTTTTGGACTGAGCTCCTGCTCTAGGCCTCATGAGACCAGACCAAACCAAGACAGAGTCACTTAGGCTAAATGCCACATAATCAGACTGATACTTTAAGCAGGTAGATCCCTAAACAAACCAGATTTCCAGTCTACCTGAGCAGCATAATAAGGAAGTCCCCTCTGCTTTAATCCTTACAAGAAAAGTAACCTAGTGTTAACTAATTAGCCTTTTCTCTATCTTACAAAAACCACTATTCTACCATTTGCCCCGTGGGAGCTCTCATTCCGTTTTGCAGAGTGGAGGCTGCCCAGATTCATGAATCACAAATAAAAGCCAATTCGATCTTTAACCAAATTTGTTAAAATTCTGTCTTTTGGCTGGGTGTGGTGGCTCACGCCTGTGAGTGAATCCCAGCACTTTGGGAGGCTGAGGTGGGTGGATCACCTGAGGTCAGGAGTTTGAGACCACCCTGGCCAACATGGTGAAACCTTGTCTCTAATACAAATACAAAAATTAGCCAGGTGTGGTGGCGGGCACCTGTAATCCCAGATACTCAGGAGGCTGAGGCAGGAGAATCGCTTGAAACTGGGAGGCGGAGGTTGCGATTAGCTGAGATTGCGCCACTGCACTCCAGCCTGGGCGACAGAGTGAGACTCCATCTCAAAAATAAAATAAAATAAAAATAAAATTCTGACTTTTGACAGATGTCTTCACTCACCTGAGCAAGTGGCAGCTGCTGTGGGAACTGGATCAGGCAGCCTTCCAGGAGACTAAATCTGTCTTCTATTGGGAGTCCCAAAAAGCTCCCAGGCAGCATCCCCTTCTCTGTAGGCAGAGAAGGTACTAGGAGGATCTATTGCCTTCCCCTGCACAGTGGCCACCAGTGTTGGAGAGGTAGGGGCAGGTGTGCAAAGATCTATTCTCTTTAGGGGAAACCTGTGTGTTCTTTTTTTGTTGTTTATTTGTTTTTTGAGACAGGGTCTCACTCTGTTGTCCAAGCTGGAATGCAGTGCTGCAATCTTGGCTCATTGTAACCTCCACTTCCCAGGCTCAAGTGATCCTGCATCCTTAGCCTCCTGAGTAGCTGGGAGCACAGGTGAGAGCCACCACACTGGGCCAATTTTTGTAGAGACTGGATTTTGCCATGTTGCCCAGGCTGGTCTTGAACTCCAGAGCTCAAAGCAATCTTATCTGCCTCAGCCTCTGAAAGTGCTGGGATTACAGGAATGCGCCACTGCACCCGGCCCTGTGTATTCATTTTGGAGCCAGTCACTGGGCTCAGCTTTCCTCCTAGTTCTAATGGTGTGGAATCTGTGATTTTGATGTCCTATTATTTCCTCTTTCCTTTTTTTTTTTTTTTTTTTGAGACAGGGTCTCACCTGTTGCCCACTCTGGAGAGCAGTGGTGTGATCACAGCTCACTGCAGCTTCAACCTCTTGGGCTCAAGGGATTCTCCCACCTCAGCCTCATGCTACCATGCCTGGCTAATTTTTGTATTTTTTGTAGAGACAGGGTTTTGTGATGTTGCCTAGGATGGTCTTGAGCTCCTGATTTCAAGCAGTCCATCCGCCTTGGCCTCCCAAAGTGCTGGAATTACAAAAACGGTGCCCAGCCTATTTTTTTTTTCTTTTCTAGTTCTTGTTTATCTCCTTGATTATAAGGTAGGAGTTTGTCTATTGCAGTAGTTCTTAAAGTGTGGGTCAGGGAGCCCTGGGCGTTCCTGAGATCCTTTCAAGGGATCGGTGGGTTCAAAACTAAATTCATAATAATAATGAGATGTTGGCTTTTTCTTTTGTTGCCAGAGGGCTCAGGAAGGTCACCGGATGCCAGTGCCAGTTGGTGTCCAGGTTCTTGAAGCCATCACAGGAAAGAATTCAGGGATAAGTCAGAGTAAGCAGAAAGGCAAGAAGCTTTCATTGCAAAGTGAAAGGAAACACGGGAGACAAGTGTGGGGGGGCTCCTGGCTCCTGAGTCACACCCAACATTGTTTGCATTTCTCATTTTATGGGTGTTTAATTATGGGTGGAATAGTCATTCGGTATCTGGAAAAGGAGGGGATTTCAGGCACCACCCTCCCCCTGCCCCACCCCAGTTACCACCCCCTTTCTCCCTTATTTGGGTTTGCCTGGAAGAGTCATGGACCTGTCACCCTGACCAGGGTTTTGGCTGTCTTCTCTCCCTTATTTTGGGTTTTGTTATTCTGTGGTTTCTTTGCCTACTGCTTGTTTTAGTTGTCGTTTGGGTTTTTCCATTCTCCTGGACTACCCAGTGCTATTCCTCTCTCATTTTCATAGGAATATACAATAGAGTTTTCCAGAGGCTGCTGGATGAGTCATATTGTAACAGATGCAATGGGAACATGGAGCTATGGGAACTCAACTGCCTTAAGTGAAGCCAGACATTAAGGAGATTTGAAAAAATATAATACAATGCCACTCTTCTCCCTATTTCTGTTTTGGAAAATGCTGTTTTTCGTAAAGTAGGTGCTTTTTAAAAAATATGTTGTATTAGTCATGAGGGCTCTGGTAACAACATACCACAAATGGGGTGGCTTAAACGACATAAATTTATTGTTACAGTTGTGGAAGCCAGAAGTCTGAGATCAAAGTGTTGGCATAGTTGGTTCCTTCTGAGGGCTACAAGAAAGTATATGTTCCATCCCTTTCCTTAGTTTTTGGTGGTTTGCTGGCAATCTCTGGCATTCCTTGGCTTGTAGATGTCTGACTTTGTCTTCAAATGTCATTTTCCCTGTATGCGTGACAAGTTGTCTGTCTCCAAATTTCTGTTTTTATAAGGACAACAGTCATAATGGACCAGGGCTCACTCTAATGACCTCATTTCAGCTCTTTAAAGACACTGTCTCCAAATAAGGTCTGAGGTACTATGGGTTAGAACTTCAACATATCAATTTTGGGAAGAGACACAGCTCAACCTATATATTAACATAGAATAGATTTTGAAAAATTATATTAATAAAATATATTAATTTTTTTCCGTTTTAATTCCTAATACACCAAATATTGATAGGACCTACATAAACAAAAACTGTTTAGGAGCCGGGCACGGTGGCTCACACTTGTAATCCCAGCACTTTGGGAGGCGGAGGTGGGCAGACCATGAGATCAAGAGTTCGAGACCATCCTGGCCAACATGGGGAAACCCCGTCTCTACTAAAAATACAAAAATTAGCCGGGTGTGGTGGCATGCGCCTGTAATCCCAGCTACTCGGGAGGCTGAGGCAGGAGAATCACTTGAACCCGGGAGGCAGAGGTTGCAGTGAGCTGAGGCCACGCCACTGCACTCCAGCCTGGCGGCAGAGCAAGACTCTGTCTTGGGGGAAAACAAAACAAAACAAAAACTGTTTAGGGTCTTCAGTGACTTTTAAGAGTGTGAAGGGGTCTTGAGACAAAAAACGTGAGACACACTTGTCTACAGAATAGGCTTTTTTTTTTTTTTTTGAGACAGAGTCTCACTCTGTCGCCCAGGCTGGAGTGCAGTGACACGATCTCGGCCCACTGCAATCTCCACCTCCCGGGTTCAAGCGATTCTCCTGCCTCATCCTCCCAAATAGCTGGGATTACAGACACCCGCCACCACGCCCGGCTAATTTTTTGTATTTTTAGTAGAGACAGGGTTTCGGCCTGTTGGCCAGGCGGGTCTCTATCTCCTGACCTGGTGATCCGCCCACCTTGGCCTCCCAAAGTGCTGGGATTACAGGCGTGAGCCATCGTTCCCGGCCTAGGCTTTAGGCAAGCTTTGGTATTTTGTATTCATGTTGATCATTTGATACAGAGTACTTATTTTTACTTAAACAGATGTAGTATTTTTATTTCCTCTTTGACCAAATAGCTGTTTCATATATATTCTAAAATACCCACAATTATTAATTTGTAATTTTGTTGTGCTATTAAAGTATATGATAATATGATTTTCTACTTTTTTGGTTTCTTTCTTCTTTTTTTTTTTGAGACAGAGTTTCGCTCTTGTTGCCCAGGCTGGAGTACAATGGTGCGATCTTGGCTTACTGCAACCTCCGCCTCCTGGGTTCAAGCGATTCTCCTGCCTCAGCCTCCCAAGTAGCTGGGATTACAGGCATGCGCCACCACACCCGGCTAATTTTTGTAATTTTAGTAGAGATGGGTTTCACCATGTTAGCCAGGATGGTCTCGATTTCCTGAACTTGCAATCTGCCCAACTCGGCCTCCCAAAGTGCTGGGATTACAGGCATGAGCCACCGCGCCCGGCCTTTTTTTCTTTTCTTTTCTTTTTTTTTTTGAGAAGGAGACTCGCTCTGTAGCCCAGGCTGGAGTGCAGTGGCACGATCTCAGCTCACTGCAACCTCCGCCTCCCAGGTCCCGGTTCAAGCAATTCTCCTGCCTCAGCCTCCTGAGTAGCTGGATTTACAGGCACGCACCACCACGTCTTTTAGTAGAGACGGGGTTTCACCATGTTGGCCAGGCTGGTCTTGAACTCCTGACCTCATGATTCTCCCGCCTCAACTTCTTCTTGATAAGAATTCTGGAAAATCAAATCTTCAAGGACTAACCCACTCCCTTTAAATCCAAGGGATTATTTTTATTTTTATTTTTAAAGAAACAGGGTCTCACTCTGTTGCCCAGGCTGGAATGCAGTGGTGCAATCTCAGCTCACTGCAGCCTCAACTTCTCAGGCTCAAGTGATCTCACACCTCAGCCTCCTGAGTAGCTGGAACAACAGGCGCGTGCCACCACACCTGGTTTTTTATTTCTTGCAGAGACAGAGTCCTGCCATGTTGCCCAGTCTAATCTCAAACTCACGGCCTCAGTTGATCCTTCCACCTGGGCCTTGGTCTGTTAGGATTACAGGTGTAAGCCACCACACCCATCCAACTCCAGGGGATTCTAGGAAGCCAAGGAACCTTCCTGCCCTGCCTGCTGAAATAAACTCAAACTGGCCAAACAGACAAGTCTGACATCTTTTCTTTATGCTTTTTTTTTTTTTTTTTCCTGTCAAGGAGTCTCACTCTGTTGCCCAGGCTAGAGTGTAGTGGGGCAATCTCGGCTCATTGCAATCTCCAACTCCCGGGTTCCAGCGATTCTCCTGCTCAGCCTCCCAAGTAGCTGGCATTACAGGCACCCACCACCACGCCCAGATAATTTTTGCATTTTTAGTGGGGACAGGGTTTCACCATGTCGGCCAGGCTGGTCTTCAACTCCTGACCTCAAGTGATCCGCCCGCCTCGGCCTCCCAAAGTGCTGGGATTACAGGCATGAGCCACTGCGCCCAGCCTGCTCTTGCTTGATTTTTTAAATTGTCAGATCACTAATACAGAGACACCGAATCAAAAGGAGAGTAGGACAGTTGTTCATAATCCCACAAATCAAATGCTTACCTCCTCATGTACCATTGCTTCTCTCACCTATAGGCACACATTTGAAATAATTTGTTAGTTATCCAAATAAGAAGTGAACCACCAGGGAATTAAATGCTATGGGCTTAAAAGGGAAAGTACTCATCTCCTGCCCCAGTCACTCATCCTCTCAGCCTCCCGACATCACTTTTTTTTTGAGATAGGGTCTCACACTGTCACATAGGCTGGAGTGCAGTGATATAATAACAGCTAACTGCAGCCTCAACCTCCTGGGGTCAAAGAATCCTCCCAACTCAGCTTCCTGAGTAGCTGGGACTTCAGGTATGTGCTACTATGCCCGGCTAATTTTTGTATTTTTTGTAGAGACCAGGTCTCGCCATGTTGCCCAGGCTGGTCTCCAACTCTTAGGCTCAAGTGATCCACCTGCCTCAGCCTCCCAAAGCACTGGGATTACAGGTGTGCACCACCATATCCACTGCACCCACCTCCAGCCACTTTTAACCATATCTGTTCCAATTCTTCTTGAGGACACCTCCGTAATTCTAATCTTTGATCATCTTTAGTCTTTTTTTTTTTTTTTTTCCTGGAGACGGAGTCTGACTCTGTTGCCCAGGCTGGAGCACAGTGATGCAATCTCAGCTCACTGCAACCTCCACTTCCTGGGTTCAAACGATTCTCCTGCCTCAGCCTCCTGAGTAGCTGGGATTACAGGTGCCCACCACCACGCTGGGCTAATCTTTGTATTTTTAGTAGAGACAGAGTTTCACCATGTTGGCCAGGCTGGTCTCAAACTCCTGACCTCAGGTGATCCACCCACCTCAGCCTCCCAAAGTGCTGGGATTACAGGCATAAGCCACCGCATCCAGCCAATCATCTTTAGTTTTCACTAACTTCCTGCTCTGACAGGTGAGGATCTGACTCACATCCGCTGCCAATTCCTCTCATATTACATTTCAAGCTTTAATTTTCATCTTCTAAATAAACTTACATATCATGTTTAAAAGCCTACTTCCTAAAAGGATGGTAAGGGAAACCTCTACTCTCCACTACTACTTTCCCCATCTACTCTCCCACATCTGCAGGTGGGGCTGACATTGTCAGTGACAGGAATAATGACAACAGTGCCCTACCCTACGGCCACTATGAAGTTGTCAGGTCACAGCCATGTGTTACTTCCTAAAAATTAAAAGCCAATACAGGCCGGGTGCAATGGCTCATCCCTGTAATCCCAGCACTTTGGGATGCCAAGGTGGGCGGATCACAAGGTGAGGAGTTGGAGACCATCCTGACCAACATGGTGAAACCCTGTGTCTACTAAAAATACAAAAATTAGCTGGGCGTGGTGGCACGTGCCTGTAATCCCAGCTACTCAGGAGGCTGAGGCAGGAGAATTGCTTGAACCCGGGAGGCGGAGGTTACAGTGAGCCAAGATCGCGCCACTGCACTCCAGACTGGGCAACAGAGACTCCTTCTCAAAAAAAAAGAAAAAAAAAGCCAATACCTAGGGTTCACGTCACAGCTATGCAAATGCCATTCCCTGAAGGGTCAATCAACAATCTGACTGCATCTCCTCCTCCTTTATTCAAATTTCATGAGCTTTTTGCCCCCTCCAGCAAGAATTACTCACATCAGTGTCAAGTGAACACTACTTTCTAAAGTTACCTTCACATAGGAACTATAACCATCTAGCAGAATTTGTATAGTTTGAGCACAATTTACCTTGAAGCCTTCAATTAAAATTACCTTTTTTTTTAAGTTATGGGTGAATAAACATTCCTTTTCTTGCCCTATTCCTTTTCTAGATTAAAGCTATTCCTTTCTTAGATTCAAAACTATTTTCTCTAGAGAAGGTTCTGCCATGCCATTTGCTCTGTTTTGAGACAGAGTCTCATTCTGTCGCCCAGGCTGGAGTCCAGTGGCATGATCTAGACTCATTGCAACCTCTGCCTCCCAGGTTCAAGTGATACTCCTGCGTCAGCCTCCTGAGTAGCTGGGATTGCAGGCATTTATCACCACACTTGGCTAATTTTTGTATCTTTAGTAGAGACAGGGTTTCACCATCTTGGCCAGGCTGGTCTCAAACTCCTAACCTAGAGTGATCCACCTGCCTCGGTCTCCCAAAGTGCTGGGATTACAGGCGTGAGCCACCATGCCAGCCCTGCCATCTTTTTTTTTTTTTTTTTTTTTGAGACAGAGTCTCGCTTTGTCGCCCACGCTGGAGTGCAGTGGCACAATCTTAGCTCACTGCAACCTCCACCTCCTGGGTTCAAGCAATTCTCCTACCTCAGCCTCCCAAGTAGCTGGGATTACAGGTGTGAGCCACCATGCCCGACCCTGACATTTTTTTTGTTTGTTTTTTTTTGAGACAGAGTCTCGCTTTGTCGCCCAAGGCTGGAGTGCAGTGGCACAATCTTAGCTCACTGCAACCTCTACCTCTCGAGTTCAAGCGATTCTCCTGCCTCAGCCTCCTGAATAGCTGGGATTATAGGCGGCTGCCACCATGCCTGGCTAATTTTTGAATTTTTATTAGAGATGAGGTTTCACAATGTCGGCCAGGCTGGTCTCAAACTCTTGACTTCAGGTGATCTGCCTGCCTCAGCCTCCCAAAGAGCTGGGATTACAGGCGTGAGCCACCACGCCCAGCCTGCCATCTGTTTTTAGTCGTGGTGTTCTCAGTTTTCCACGATGCATGGGTCTTATTAATTCTGATAATAATGGCATGACCTGAAAATTTCCTTTCAGCCCTGGGGAAGTTTCCCTTTCTTTTTCTTACTTATTTGTTCAATGTGGAAAGTAAAAGTTCCTCTTCAAAGTTTCCCTTCTTGTTAAAGAATAAATCATAAGTGTTAAAAAATAATAGTTTCTTTTATAAACTAACTTCCTTGAAACCTCCTTGCTTTGTGCTAGTAAGTCTTTGTTAGGCCCTATCCTATGTAGCTGGTAAACATGCTCACAGGCACGTAGTACGTTCTATGTCCCTGTACCTTAACCAAGTTATTTGTGCTGGACATGCTCATGGTCACGTTCCAGCTTACAGCCTATGCTCCTTCCATATCTGGCATAAGCAACTTCCTCTTTTCCTTCGTCTTTCCACTACTTTTACCTATTTAGAAAAGTTTTAAACTGTTAGCTAATCTAGTTTTAGTTTAGATTGTGCAGGCTGGCTCCAGCCAACGGAGACAGGACACAGTAGCAGGGACAAACTGCCTAAGGAATAAAAATTGCTTCCCTCCTTTGTTCAGGTGTGCTCTTGCCATTGTTCCATCTGTGATGAGCACCCTTTCTGCAGAAAGTAAAAACGGCCTTGCTGAGAGAATTAAATTTATGTTTTGAGTGCTATTTCTTTGCAGCACCAGGCAACAAGCATTCTGTTTCTCACTAAACATTGTATCTATAACATTGAACAATCTTACTTGTAATTTCAAAGAGCCTGTTCTGGTTCTCATTGTTCTATTTTATCAAAGTATCTTATTTTTTATTTTTATTTATTTTTTCTGAGACGGAGTTTCACTCTTGTTGCCCAGGCTGGAGTGTAATGGCACTAGACCTCGGCTCACTGCAATCTCCACCTCCCAGGTTCAAGCGATTCTCCTGCCTCAGACTCCTGAGTAGCTGGGATTACAGGCATGCACCACCATGCCCGGCTAATTTTGTATTTTTAGTAGAAACAGGGTTTCTCCATGTTGGTCAGGCTGATCTCAAACTCCCAACCTCAGGTGATCCGCCCGCCTCGGCCTCCCAAAGTGTTGGGATTATAGGCGTGAGCCACTACGCCCAGTCTGTCTTATTTTTTACTGGTAACCCTCTTTTTTTTTTTGAAACGCAGTCTCGCTCTGTTGCTCAGGATGGAGTGCAGTGGCGTGATCTCGGCTCACTGCAAGCTCCTTCTCCTGAGTTCACGCCATTCTCCTGCCTCAGCCTCCCGAGTAGCTGGGACTACAGGTGCCCGCCACCATGCCCAGCTAATTTTTTGTATTTTTAGTAGGGACGGGGTTTCACCTGTTAGCCAGGATGATCTCGATCTCCTGACCTCGTGATACGCTTGCCTCGGCCTCCCGAAGTGCTGGGATTACAGGCGTGAGCCACCGCACCAGACCTTTTTTTTTTTTTTTTTTTTTTTTAGATGGAGTCTCGCTCTGTCACCCAGGCTGGAGTGCAATGGCATGATCTCGGCTCACTGCAACCTCTGCCTCAGCCTCCCAAGTAGCTGGGATTACAGGCGCCCACCACCACACTCAGCTAATGTTTGTATTGTATTTTTAGTAGATATGGGGTTTCACCATGTTGATCAGGCTGGTCTCGACCTCCTGACCCCACGATCCGACCGCCTCGGCCTCCCAAAGTACTGGGATTACAGGCATGAGCCACCACACCCGGCCTTGTAACCCTTTCTTGACTCACTTTTACGTTAACAAAATGCTTTAAATATTTGATTCTGCTGGGTGCGGTGGCTCACACCTGTAATCCCAGCACTTTGGGAGGCCAAGGTGGGTGGATTACTTGAGGTCAGGAGTTTGAGACCAGCCTGGTCAACATGGTGAAACCCCGTGTCTACTGAAAATACAAAAAATAGCTTGGCATGGTGGCACGTGCCTGTAATCCCAGCTACTTGGGACATTGCGGCAGGAGAATTGCTTGAACCTGGGAGGCAAAGGTTGCAGTGAGCCGAGATCGTGCCACTGCACTACAGCCTGAGCAACAGAATGAGACTCCGTCTCAAAAAACAAAGAATATTTGGTTCCTCTGAATATCTGTCTTTTCTGCTGTCTTAGATACCTTCTCTCATGATGGAGACTTTATCTTTTGCTCCTTGCCTCCCACCCATATTGAAGAGACTATCAGAAAGCAGACAGGAAGCTCCACAGACAGGCGGGGCTGCTTTAACAGTACGCTTTGCTCGAGGGTGAAGAGGGCGAGAACCAGCTATCAGGTAAAAAGTTCTGAAATGCCAGAATAAAGCAGCCCTTGCTGCAGAGCAAAATACATCAGATTCCCTTGTCCCCTGAACTAATCTTTTAGCACATGACTCCTTCCCTACTTTAATTTTTGCTACCCACAGCCAGATAGGTAATGCCAGGCAAGAAAAAAAAATGGGGAAGAGTCTGAGTTTCATGGACAGACCTTCGATTAACCCACTTTCTGGTCTATCAGTCTATGGCTCTGCTGGGGCTGCCACATCTGCTGCCACAGCCTCTCCTCGCCTGACCCTCTCCAGCCTTCCTCATTCTGTATGTTTCGCTATTGGCTATACTTCCATCTTTTTTTTTTTTTTTTTTTTTTTTTGAGACCGAGTCTCACTCTGTCGCCCAGGCTGGAGTGCAGTGGCATGATTTTGGCTCACTGCAAGCTCTGCCTCCTGGGTTCATGCCATTCTCCTGCCTCAGCCTCCCTCGTAGCTGGGACTACAGGCACCTGCCACCACACCTGGCTGATTTTTTGTATTTTCAGTAGAGACGGGGTTTCACTGTGTTAGCCAGGATGGTCTTGATCTGACCTCGTGATCCACCCTCCTTGGCCTCCCAAAGTGTCGGGATCACAGGCGTGAGCCACCGCACACAGCCCTTTTTTTTTTTTTTTTTTTTTTTGAGACAGAGTCTCGCTTTTCGCTTTTTTGCCCAGGCTGGAGTTCAACGGCGCAGTCTCGGCTCACTGCAACCTCCACCTTCTGGGTTCAAGTGATTTTCCTGCCTCAGCCTCCCGAGTAGCTGGGATTACAGGCACATGCCATGACACCTGGCTAATTTTTTGTACTTTTAGTAGAGATGGGATTTCACCATGTTGGCCAGGCTGGTCTCGAACTCCTAACCTCAAGGGATCTGCCTGCCTCGGCCTTCCAAAGTGCTGGGATTACAGGCATAAGCCACCAT